>NC_000024.10:14721862-15331410 GCF_000001405.40 Homo sapiens
GCAGCCCTAATGTCAGATTAATGTTATAAACACATCGTTTAATCACAAGTTTTCAGAGAGCAGGCTCCACAGATAGTCTCTAACTTTCTATCATTACAAATCGCTATTTTTATATCATTGCTAATTTAAATAATAAAGTAAATTATGAAGAGGAATCATTGGTTGCAAGTCACCATGGGAGTTTAGTCCCTGTGAAAATATAAAGCATTTAAATAATTTGTATTCTTTTACCATTTTTTATTACATCTCTTTAATTTTTGTCACTTGAATATATTAGGATGATGATGATACTATAATCACTGGAACAAAGACATTTGCTTGGACATCTTTTCTTTTTTCCCCCATTTTTGTTCTGTTAATAATTTTTAACTATAGCTTTTCCTTTCTTGTCCTTATCTGTCCCTTATCGATCATAGATAGTTTCACTACTATTTTTAAGTTTTTATTGTTAAATTGAAGATGAATCTGTACAGTTACTTGTGAATTAAGATGCAGCTAAGTTAAAATCAAGTATAATTTTGAAGCTGATTTTACATTTAACTAGATGATTAAATATATTTTTTCAGGTGCTTCTTCAATTTAAATCAAGTTTTATGGTTTCAGCAAAATTTAGAAAATATGTACTTTACCTAAAAACTTTTCTTTTAGTGCTTTGGATATATACAGAAGCTTAAATGAGTAGAGTATCCCAAACATCCAGATGCTTCTCAAAATAGCATTTCCGGCCGGGCGCGGTGGCTCACGCCTGTAATCCCAGCACTTTGGGAGGCCGAGGCGGGCGGATCACGAGGTCAGGAGATCGAGACCATCCCGGCTAAAACGGTGAAACCCCGTCTCTACTAAAAATACAAAAAATTAGCCGGGCGTAGTGGCGGGCGCCTGTAGTCCCAGCTACTTGGGAGGCTGAGGCAGGAGAATAGCGTGAACCCGGGAGGCGGAGCTTGCAGTGAGCCGAGATCCCGCCACTGCACTCCAGCCTGGGCGACAGAGCGAGACTCCGTCTCAAAAAAAAAAAAAAAAAAAAAAAAAAAAAAAAAAAAAAAAAAAAATAGCATTTCCAGAAACAGAAAATGTAATAGCATTAGTCAAGTTACTTAGAAACTCTTATCAAGTGTCATATCATCCATAAAAATTAATTTGCTTACTTCAAGTCAAAATAAGGAAATCAGGGAATCTCCTTTGTTCTTAATTTAGCATCAGTGAGTGAGCCAGTAAGATTCTTTACTGCGTTTCCTTACTTGGCTTTTTTTCCAGATATTCATGAACAGAACAGTAAGAAGCCTGTTATGGTCTATATCCATGGGGGATCTTACATGGAGGGAACCGGTAACATGATTGATGGCAGCATTTTGGCCAGCTATGGGAACGTCATCGTTATCACCATTAACTACCGTCTGGGAATACTAGGTAAGTGATTTCATCATGTGAATGACTAAGCAAGAGGAAACATGAAAGTTCCACTTCTTATTTTGATGGGACTCATGGATTTGAATCCCGTTATTACAGTTCCTGGTTAATTCCACTTTACGGTATTTACTTTATGTTATCAGGTATGTTTTTTCCTTTTATTACCTTCATGCAACATGACCATCTTATTGTTTTATTATCATTCTTTTCCTTTCGCTTCTGATCCAAAAATTTTTTTCTTGTGGAAGTTGAATCCCTTCTCAAACAAATGGCCACTTCAAGTTCATCAGGATTAAATGAAATTTTATTTAAAGCATGTTTCTTCATTGGAATTAAATGAATGTGTATTTATCTACATAAGTGTGTATAATGAGCACATATTTGGTGATATGATAATTAGTAATGGCCATAGATCTTAGCTTTCTAGTCTGATTGTGTTACTATATGAATTAGTATATTGTATGGAGGAAAAGATTTTATCCAGTTCCCTAACTGATTATGTTGAGGCTTTGGAAGATCTGCTGTTTAGGTTCTGTTAGTTGACTTTTTTTTTTCATTTGATAATCTACAATTAAAGGCCAAGTACATGGAAATTCAAGTTTAGCTCCTCCTTGTTTAGATGTTTCATTCATTGTCTTCTAATTGTGGGTTGGAAAATTAAGTTACAACTTCAGGGTAAAGGTTTTAATACCTTCTTAGATGACCTTTCCTGCTTTTGGTTAGTTCGTGAATAATATTCCTAGATCTCTGTAAAAACATTTGTTTTTTTGGGTAAAAATCCATTAAAATGATGTAGAAAATAAAATTTTAACAAATTATTCAATTCACTACATGTAGGTTAGCTTGAATGAAGTTATATTTGTTGCATGCATTTGATCTTGAATTGAAACCTACAGTTTAAGAAAATCTGCATGTCTTTATATTTTTAACAGACTGTCAGAGTTATAAAAGCAAAACATTAGAGCTTTACAGTATAATATTTTTTCTTTAGATCTTTCATGGGCATTTAAAATCACTCATTATGAAGAGACCATAAACCATGGGTTTCTAAGAGGTGTGCTGAATTTTGCAACTGGCTGGTGTGTTTTCTAAATAATCCTGTAATCTTCATGTATTAGTTTTTTTTTTTCATAACAAATCATGACAAATGTTCTCTTTAAACAAGAGGAATTTACTTTCTCATAATTTGGGAAACCAGATGTTCAAAACAAAGGTGTTGGCAGGGCTGTCTTTCCCTAGGTAGCTCCAGAACAAGATTCTTTCTTGCCTTTTCAGCTTCTGGTGGCCCTGGTGTTTGTTTCTATCTTCACAACACTGTCTTCCCTGTATTTTATGTGTCATCTCCTTTTCTTTTCCTTTCTTTTCTTTTCTCTTTTTTTTGGGGGAGGTAGGGGGACAGAATCTCTGTCACCCAGGCTGGAGTGCAGTGACATGATCTTGGCTCACTGCAACCTCTGCCTCCCAGGTTCAAGCAATTCTCTGGCCTCAGCCTTCTAAGTAGCTGGGATTACAGGCACCCACGACCATGCCCAGCTAACTTTTATATTTTTTTAGTAGTCATGGGGTTTCACCATGGTGGCCAGGCTGGTTTCGAATTCCTGACCTCAGGTAATCCACCCCTGTCGGCCACCCAAAGTACTAGGATTACAGGTGTTGGCGACCTTGCCAGGCCTCCTTTCCTTGTAAGGATACCAGTCATTGGATTTAGGGTTTATCCTAAATTCAGGATAATTATATCTGAAGACCCTTAACTAATTACATCTGCAAAGACCCTGTCTTCAAATAGATCACATTCATAGTTTCCAGGTAGAAATATATTTTTGGAGGATATTGCTCAACCCACTCCACCCAATCGATGATTATTGCAATATGTATGTGTGAATATAGGTGCTTTCAGATGCTTCCATTCCATATGTGTGCACAACCACTGTGTTCAGAATTCCACCTTGCTTTCTACTTACTAGGCCACACTCTGGTAAGATGATCTGAGGACAGTCTGGAATTCTTCTTCCCTTTGTATTCAAATAATATAGTCATGCAGTATCTAAAAGTTTATTCCCTGAGCCTTTAAAACTTCTCCATCAGTTTGACAAGGAGTAAAAGTGTTTTTCCCCATTTGTCACAAAACTTGTGCAAAAAGCACCTTTCCCATGGGCCAATACACAGAGCTATATTTCACATTTTCTTCTTAAATTACAGGGTTATAAATATAAAACAAAACCTTTACCTTGCTGTATTATTTCCAACTTTTCCCTCTATTATTAATTCCGATTACAAATGCTCATTAATGTTCTACCTTGGAATTGCAATTTGGGCATGTGCCATCTGAAAATGGAGGTTCCTAAAAATTAATATCAAAGATTAATGCAAGTTTTAAAAAAGGGACTTATTCAAACATAACTCCCATTTTAACGTGACTCGTGGACTTTTAATGAAATGAATGGCCTTGTAATGCCTAATTTTTTTTCTTAAAATCAACTGTGTCATAGCCTTCTCTTTAGAACATATCTGATTTGCCAGAACCCAAGATTTGTGAGATGGTGTTATTTTTTATTTTTACTCTTTCCCCACCCCATAGTACCATGAAGAGATTATGTAACATCCTTTTCTGGTTTTAAAGACAGGTGAATAATGATTATGTAACATGCAAACAAGTTGGGTGTTTTAGAGAAGGTGGTGTTAATGGTGTCTGATTCACAGATGCTGGCTTGAACCTTACTGGTGTTAGGACCTATATTCTGGTAAGATCCAACTTTAGGCCATGGATTACAGGACCTAGGTGTATAAAAACGATACCTAAAACCCATAAGATCTTAGTTCACTGATCAGCAGGAGAGATAGTTTTCTTTCAAATGATACCATCAGATGCATCTCCAGCAGACTGTTAAGTCAGTGAAAAGAAAAATGCCATCATAGAGAAGTTCTTCAGACTTTTAAAAATTTCCTAGGATTATGCCAGTGATTCCTACTACAGAGACAAAGATATATGTATTTCTGAATTTGAGATGTTGGATATTGGTAGAGATTCATCTTTTGAATGCAAATAAATATGCTTTACTTTTAGCCAGCATGAATGCTCTCATTTGCCACAGGTTGGCCAGCTTAAGTATGAAGGGTGTTGTGGGTAACCTTAACAGAAGGTTTTTATAGTACCAAAATTTCTTTCTTTTTTTATTATCCTATTTCAGAAAGTTTCTTAACTCTGAGATACTTTATATTGGGGATAATAGTTCTGGTGCAAGTATAGATTAATAGATTATTAAACACTTCAACATATAGATGGAAGAGTACAAATAGTATATTATTACTGATTCCCATTTACTCTTTCTTTAATTTACACTGGAATTTTTGTTTATGCTAACTTTTGAAGATACCAATGATAGGAAGTTAATAGTGCTTGCCTTTTATAATTTTTCCAGAGCTTATTCATTTGAAGTTCAAATTTGGAAACTTTCCTTTTGTTCTTTGGGAAACAGATATTATTGCTATTCAAAATGGGTAATCTCTAAATTGATATAGAAAAAGATATTTGAGGCTGGATGCAGTGGCTCATATCTGTTATCTTAGCACATTGGAAAGCTAAGGCAGGAGGACAACTTGAAGCCAGGAGTTTGAGACCAGCCTAGACAATATGACAAAACTCCATCTCTGCTAAGAATACAAAAATTAGCTGGGCATGGTGTCACACACCTGTAATCCCAGCTACCTGGGAGGCTGAGATGCACGAATCAGTGGAGCCTGGGAGTTGGAGTGTGCAGTGACCACCTCACTCCACCCTGGGCTACAGAGCAAGACTGTGTTTCCAAAAAAAGAAAAGAAAGAAAGAAAGAAAGAAAAAGAAATTTGAGATATTAGTATTGTCCAAAAAGTATAATTCAAATACTTAATGCAGAAGGTAGTAGCATCATTAACTTACTGACCCATTCATCAATTATAACAGAGGGAAGGTTCTATGTTAGTGTCTTGGAGGCTGATTGAGCTAGGGGATACAATTTTAAGTATGAGTTTCATAGAACAGATTCAGGAGGTCTAAATAGAGGGGTCTACAATTAGGAAGCACCCTTAATCCCACCCCTGAATTACTGACAGCAACACTAACTAGGCAGCAGAGAGATATTTCCTGATCTCAGCAGTCAAGACAATGGTACTAAAGGTTGCTAGATAAATGTGATTTTTGTAGTCACTCACCTGCAAGTTATAGGCAAGATAATATTTACCTGCACTCCCACCAGAAATTAGACCTAATTGACTGCTCTTAATCAGAACAAGACATTCCAACCTCTTATTCATGGTTAGCAATATATCCCACTTGCTTCACTTTGTGATTCATCATTGCATGGGTATAACTGGACATGGAATGCATTTGAAACTGAGCCTCAAGTTCAAATCACCATAGAACCTAAAAAGAAAATGTAGGAGAGACAAAACAGAAGAAAAATGCCAAACAGAGAGTTATTATTTAGATGTGTTCATTCTGTGAACAGAGAGCAGTTTCTATTGGATCTGGCTGAAATAGGGGCCCCTGGTGTCGTGAAAGTGGTGTATGTCTTCATACATGTTCCCATGGGCCTATACAACCAATCTCATTTGACAAATGAAGAAATGAAGGCTTGTGGTCAGGGTCACAAAACTTGACAGTGGCAGAAGTGGATCCAATTTCCAGTCAAATCTATGACTCAATCCATCTTCGCCACAATCATAGTGCAAATCAGTTGCTCTGTTTCCGATCAGTACCCACACACCAGAAGGTCAGCTCTTTAAGGGCATGAATTGTTGTTGTTTGGTTCATTGTTGAGTGTTTGGAGCTTGGACCAGTACATCGAAAGTCTTAATTGTTGACATTCTCAGTAATGCAAAATAAATTGTATTCTTGGATCATTGGCATCATATCCATTAGGATGGCTGTTAATAAAGTAAATGTAAAATAAGAAGTTGTGATGGAGATGTGGAGGAACTGGAACTCTTTCACATTGCTGGTGGGAATGTAAAATGGTACAGTCATTGTGGAAAACTCTTTGTCTGTTCCTCAAAAAAGTAAACATGGAACTACCATATGTGATCCAACAATTCTACCTCCGGGTATATACTCAAAAGAGTTGAAAGCAGGTATTCCAAGAGATATTTGTATGCCCAAATTCTTAGCCATGTTTTCTCAATAGCTAACAGGTGAACTTTTGAAATAGCCACTGCCCAGTGATGGATGAATGGATAAAAATTGATGTATATGTATATATGTATGTGTGTGTGCACAAATACAAACACATACACTACTGAAATGGAATGTTATTCATCTGTAAAAAGGAAGGAAATTCTGATACATGCTACAATATAAATAAACCTTGAATACATCATTCTAAGAGAAATAAGCTATAAGCTAGTCACAAAAGGACAAATGCTGTATTATTTTACCAATATGGGGTTCCACCTAGAGTTGTCAAATTCATAGAGACAAAAAGTTGTATGGTGTTTGTGTGGGGCTGGGAGACAAAATGGAAAATTATTTTCTAATGGATAGAATTTCAATTTTGAAAGGTATAAAATCATTTGGAGATGGATGGTGGGGACAGTTGGACAATAATGTGACTATTCTTAAGGCCACTCAATTATACACCAAAAAATAGCTAAAATGATAAAATTTCATATTATCTATATTGTATCACAACAAAAGAAATCATTATGATATCTGTGATTTAATTGACTCATTGTAATCATTACCATGTTAGGTCATGTTCAGTATCTCATATCCAGCAATATTGCAATGGACATGGTAATTTTTGAGTGGTAGAAACTCACGTAACTTTTAAAAACACATCTGTGTGTATTCACATATTCTTATATTTCTTGGAATTGAAATCATACTCTCTATATCTCATTTATTTCTCGTAGCAAAATGTTTACAAGGTTTTCAAGATTCATCCACATTGTAGCATGTATCAGTCAGTACCGCATACTGGTTTATGGCTGGATACTGTTCCATTTTATGATAGACCACATTCTATTATATATCTGTTTTTCATTTGATGGACATTTGGGTTCAATTCATACAGAAAGAAAGTAGACTAGTGGTTACTGGTTCTGGGATGAGAACCATAGGGAATTAGCATGTCATGGTTACAGAGTTTCCATTTGTGAAGAAGAAAGAGTTCTAGAGATAGATTCATAAAAATGTGAATTACTGAATGGCGTCAAACAGAACAGTACACTTTAAAATGGTTCACATTATGTTATGTGAATTTCATCTTAAATAGAAGAAGAATACAGTCTGAAGTTGTCATGTACTTCACTAGGATGATCTCTTTAAAAGGGTAGGAAAGAAATTAGTGTTCATCCATGTCCTCAAAAGAGCATATAAACAAACTAAACAACCATCAAATAAAACATGTCAATGTACCTCACAGCATCCCAAAAGGGAAGACTAAACTAAACTGTTCTCAGGGCTCCTTCTTCCTTATGTGTTACTTTCAGAGGCACTTTAGCTTAGGACTTAATTTGACTATTCACAACCCCAGGGTGTCCATTTGATCTCACAGCAAACTTGAGTTGACTTTGACCAGGGAAACACTTTACTTTAAGAAACTGTAGAAAGGAGAAAATTTTATACGTATCCAGTTTCTATCCATTTCATTGCACATATGGTGAGAACTTAAGTGTTGTAAGCATGCCACTTGCAGGGCCCTGGGCTCACAGCTACAAGCTATATTTTGTATTTGCATCCACTGTTTTGTTAGCAGATGTATATACTTGCTGACAAAATACATGTTTTAAGAAATAAAATTATTTTAAGAACAAAATAATAATATGTTTTAAGAAAACATGCTTGTATTTACCTTTTATTTTTCATAAAAAAAAATGTTTATGGGCAGGGCACGGTGGCTTATGCCTGTAATCCCAGCACTTTGGAAGCCCTAGGCAGGTGGATCAGGATGTCAAGAGTTTGAGACCAGCCTGGCCAATATGGTAAAACCCCATGTCTACTAAAATTACAAAAATTAGCCAAGCATGGTGGCGCACACCTGTAGTCCCAGATACTTGGGAGGCTGAGGCAGGAGAATCACTTGAAGCCAGAAGGCAAAGGTTGCAGTGAGCCAAGATCACGCTACTACACTCTGACCTAGGTGTCAGAATAAGACTCCATCTAAAAAAAAAGTTTATGAATTTATGGATGTTAGAAACTCAGTTTTGTTACATGGGTTTATTCATAGTGGTGATCTCTGGGCTTATATTGCACCCGTCACCTGAATAGTGGAACCTGTATCCAGTAGGTATTATTTCATCATTCATTCTCCTTCCATGTCCTCATATTTTGTAGCCTCCAGTGTCTATTCCACTCTGTATTCCACTATTCCACTCTGTATGTTAATGTGTACCTGTTGTTTAGCTCCCACTTATAAGTGAGAATATGCAGTATTGAACTTTCTGAGTTATTTCACTCATGATACTGAGTTCCACCCAGTTTCACCCATGTCCCTGCAAAACACATAATTTCATTCTTTTTTATGACTGACTACTGAGTTGTATTCCATGGATATATAAACTACGGTATATATAATTTATGTATCCAGTTATCTAGTCATTTGTTATGGACACTTAAGTTGATTTCATGACTTTACTATTGTGAATAGTGCAGTGATAAACATATCAGTACAGGTCTCTTTTTAATAGAACAATTTCTTTTCCTTTGGGCAGAAACCCACTACTGGGATTGCTGAACCAAATTATGTGTGTGTGTGTGTGTGTGTGTGTGTGTGTGTGTGTGTGTGTGTATAGTTCTTGTTTGTTTTTTTGAGACAGAGTCTGACTCTGTCACCAGGCTGGAGTGCAGTGGCATGATATTGACTCAGTATAAATTTCATCTCCCAGGTTCAAGTGATTCTTCTGCCTCAGCCTCCTGAGTAGCTGGGATTACAGACCTGCACCACCACCCCCAGATAATTTTTGTATTTTTAGTAGGAACAGGGTTTCACCATGTTGGCCAGGATTGTCTCGATCTCTTGACCTTGTGATCTGCTTGCCTTGGCCTCCCAAAGTGCTGGGATTACAGGCGTGAGCCACTACGCCTGGCCCCAAATGGTAGTTCTATCTTAAGTTATTTGGAAAATCTCCATACTGCATTCCATAGAGGTTGTATTAATTTACCTTCTCACCAACAGTGTATAACTGTACCCTTTTCTCACCATTCTTGCCAACGTATGTTGCTTTTTGACGTTTTTCAAAATGTCATTCATTTCCACATTTTATTATAATTCCTTAAAATTATGACTTTTAACAAAGAGAAGGGAAACATACAGTTGGTAATTTTTTTAAGTGCTGTATAATTTCTAGTTAGAAAGCCACAGATAAGCCCCGTGCTGAAGCGAGGTGGTAAAATAGCACAAGTTTGAAATAAAGTAAATTTGGGAAGATAAAGTTGTTTTTAGGATGATAAAGATGTTAGATGTTTAAACTTGGTCCAATTTTTCTAACTTTTACTGTATTCTTCACACTTACCCAAACCACAAACAACAAAAGTGAGATAAGGCAGTGATTGGGGATCCTGTTCCAATGCAGATACCAGAGATTCTCTTACTGGAATGATGAATGGTTAACAGCTATGCTGCATGTGGAAGTAAAATGCTTTCCCCCCCAAAAAAAATGGACCAATAAACACATAGCTTGGGCCTTTAAGGTCATATCAACCAATGGTTGACCCAAAGTCTGTCCAGGTGTGTTGACAGACTTCAGTCTTTCTTCCTGTGATATGAGTTCAGGTAGTAGAAACTCAGGGAAGGGCCCTTTGCTTTCTTTTTTGATGGGTCCAGACTTTAGCAGATAAGCAACATTAGAGAAAAACTTCCTCCTGTGCTTTGGGGTCACAGAGGGTTGAAAGACAAGAGGGAGTGAGAGAAGATGAGAGACATTGAGGCTTCTTCTTCAGTTCAACACATCAAAGCACCATATGTTGGAGCATGGATTTCTGAGTCCCAACAACTGGGTAGTGAAGACCACCCAGGGCTGTGTGTTGAGGATTCTGATGCAGACAGTCAAGGCTCACTTCTCTGAGAGGAAGCTAAATGCGACTCAGGAACACATCCCCATCTCAAATGTGTTTGTTATATTGATGACAGTTGGCACTCAGATAGCATGCATCCCTTGTGGTTTCAACGGTTGGTTGACATGACCTTAAAGGCCAAAGCTATGTATTCATTGGTCCATTTTTTTGAGGAATGCATTTTATTTCCACAATGCAGCAAAGCTGCTAACCATTCATCATGCCAGTAAGAGAATCCCCGGGATCTGCACTGGAACAGGATCCCCAATCACTGCTTTATCTCACTTTTGTTGTTTGTTTTGTTTTAATTTGTTTTATGTTTTACAAATAATCTGAAGTTAAAATATAATTGATAAAAGCAGTTATCTTGTGATGTCAGGATAAGTAAACTAGTGCACTTCAAGCAACATCTAACCAAGTGTCATTTTCTTGCTGGATTGCAATATTGATAGGCACATGGGATAATATATCACGTAGATCCTGATTGTAGATCAATGCATCTTGATCCTGCATCTTGACCCTCTTCTCAGTGGGCTACATTTATGCCTAAAGAAAAATATTCTCTCAATCCTCAAGAACATGAAACATTACAATCTGCAGAGCAAATTGCCAGCAGGAGAAAATGTTACCAAATATTCAAAAGCATGCTTTTTGTGTAAATGATCTTGAAACTCCAGGTAATGGGGGAAACAGGGTGAGGAGTGCATAAGCCAAGAACCTTATTTGACCCAGCAGCTTCCGGTTTCTAAAACCCTACTCATGCAGTGCCAGGAGGAAAATAACCAATTGGCATCACTTAATGTTTAGTGATAGAAAAAGAAAAGCATGCCTTTGTTCATTTTCTACTCTTCTCATTTCCTGCCTCACCATTCATCAAATGAAACAGTACATTTTCATTTTCTCTATATGACTTGTAGCATTTTTGGGAATAGATGATGCGCTTAACATATTGCTGTTCATTTATGTGAAAAGATATTTCTGCTATTGTCCAAAGAGAGTGTCCATTTGCAAAATATCTAGTGTATGAAGACAAGTTTTATTTTCATTTTTCCCTTGTCTTTATATTTTAAATGTAGTTATAAAATGAGAGAACATGGGTTCACAAAGAAACATGAAATTCATAATTAATAAATGTGATTTTCTATTTGTTTTAGGTATGCAAGAGGCACGTTTGTGTGGGAGCTCAAAAATGTTTAATTATTTTAAATCTCCTTTCACTAATTTAATAAATTTTTTTTGAGTTCAGATGCAATCTATTACACATGTTTCTTGATTTTAGGGCGATTCTACCCCAACATGCAAAATAAACAAGAGATCCTTCTAGTTCTTTACAAGTTTCTTAGTGAAACACGGCACTTCCCTGATGCTTTCATGGGTGGGAACTGGAGTGCACAGGTGCTGGAACTTGCTGGCCACTTCGGGGCAGGCAGTGGCAATCTCCATTGACTCACTGCTCCACCCCTCACAGGAGGAGAAGCACATGTGAGAGGGTGCAGGAGCCAAGATGAGCAATTTTGGATGCCAGCAATTTTAGGTGTAAGGAAGAAGGAACTCCATATCACCCCCACAGCAGCATCTCATAGAGGGTGTTTGCTACCCTGGAAGCCCCAGAGGAAGTACTACAGTGTCCCTTTATCTTTGCCATCTGCAGACAGCATGTTAACAGCTCAGTGGTGGGTGGGTGTGACAGCCTTTTACACCCACACTCATGGCACCTAAGTTCTTGTCCAGCCTCCAGGAACAATGAAGTCACACAAACAAATTGAAATGGTAAATGTGGGGGATTTTATTGCCAGTAGAATTGCTCTCAGGGGGAAGGGAAGCTGGGATAGAGCAGAAAGTTAACCTTCCCTAGAAATCCAGTCATTCATGGTCAAAATCCTCTCCAAAGCTGCACCATCACGATGTACTTCTGAAGTCAAGCCACTTCTCTCTGATGTCCAACCATTGTCTCTAATGTCCAGTTGGTATTTCCCTCTGCTGTTTATGCCTAGAGTTTTTATGGGCACCAAATGAGGGGCAGGGAGGGCCATGGGTGGTTTTGGAAAAGGCAACATTCAAGTAAGAAGACAGGAATGTAAGTTCTCACTTTGGGCTGTGGTTGCATGCTTTTTGGCTTGAGGGTGGAGCCCTCTCCAGGTACCCACTCTCTTCTGCCCATAATTTCCCTGCCTCTGTCCCTATCAATTTTATATTTATTTTAGGTATGCAAGAGGCACATTTTTGTGGAAGTTTGAAAATGTTTAATTATTTTAAATCTCCTTTTGTTCATTTAAGGAATGTCTTTGGAGCTCAGATGTCATTACACATGTTTCCTGACTTTGGGGAGCTTCCTTGCTAACATGGGAAATAAACAGAGTCCCTAGTAATTATTTCCAAGTTTCTTAGGTAACCAATTATATGTATTCTACACCCCTTAGCAGTGAGTGTTCATGTTGTCAAATTTCCACTTGTTCTTAAATGAGATTAAAACACAACAACAACGATGTTTAAAAGTTTCAACTATAAGAATATAAAATCAATGTATACTCCTTTGGGTTTTTCTCTAATTTTTTCACAGAATTCTGGTTTGCAAAAAGCCAGTAGCTGATTTATCTTCTGAAGATCTCTGTCTAAAATTAATAGGTATACTTTCATAAGCACACTTCATTTTGCAGGTGAAAAATTTTCTCCCAACAATTGTATATGATAGTGATTTACAAGTCAGTATTTTTGCTGTAAAGAGCGTGCCTCTAAGTATCATGTGAAGTAATTTAAATTATGCCATTTTTTAGTAAGCATGTTGACTGAATCTCATGTATTTCCACTGATTCCACACTAAACAAACTATGTTTTATTTTTACTGCATTTGACTTGGTTTATATAGTTTACATAGACACTTTTGTATGTCTAAGCATGCCTGAGCATTATACTACATGGCATGGTAATGTGGTTTGGCTGTGTCGCTACTCAGATCTCATCTTGAATTGCACTTCCCATAATCCCCACATGTCATGGGACAGACACAATGGGAGGTAATCGAGTCTTGTGGGTGGCTATCTTCATGCTGCTCTCAAAATAGTGAGTTCTTATGATATCTGATAGTTGTATAAGGGGCTTTTTCCCCTTTTGCTCAACATTTTTGTTGCTACCACCATTTGAAAAACACGTTTGCTTCCCCTTCTTCCATGATTGCAAGTTCCCTGAGGACTCCCCAGCCATGCTGAACTGTGAGTCAATTAAACCTTTTTACTTCATAAATTACCCAGTCTTGAGTATGTCTTTATTAGCAGTGTGAGAACGGACTAAATACAGTAAATTAGTTCTGAGAGTGGGGTGCTGCTGTAAAGATACCTGAAAATGTGGAAGTGACTTTGGAACTGGGTTAAACAGGCAGAGGTTGTAACAGTTTGGAAGGCTCAGAAAGGAAGATATGGGAAAGTTTGGAACTTCCTAGACACTTGTTGAATGACGTTGACCAAAATGCTAATAGTGATACGGACCATGAAGTCCAAGCTAAGGTGGTCTCTGATGGAGAAGAGAAGCTTGTTGGGAACTGGAATAAAAGTGACTCTTGCTATGTTTAAGGAAAGAGACTGGCAGCATTTTGCCCCTGCCCTAGAAATCTGTGGAATTTTGAACTTGAGAGAGATGATTTATAGTATCTGGTGGAAGGGGAATTTGGGGTTAGAACCCACATACAGAGTCTCCACTGGGACACTGCCTAGTGGAGCTGTGAAAAGAGGGGCATACTCCAGACACCAGAGTGGAAGATTGCACCAAGCACCTGGAAAAGCCACAGAGGGTCAATGCCAGCTATTGAAAGCAGCTGGTGTTGAAGGGTGTATGCAGCAAAGCCACAGGTGTGGAGCTTCCTAAAGCCATGGGAGCCCAACTTTTGCATTATTGTAACTTGGATGTGAGACATGGAGTCAAAGAAGATTATTTTAGAGCTTTACAATTTGGCTGCCCCACAGGATTTTAGACCTGGATGGGACCTGTAGCCCCTTCATTTTTGTGAATTTCTCACATTTGGAACAAGTGTTTTTTAGCCAATGCCTCTACTCCCATTGTGTTTGGAAGTAACTAACTTGCTTTTGATTTTACAGGCTCATAGGCAGAAAGCACTTGTCTTGCCACAGGTGAGACTTTGGACTTGGACTTTTGAGTTAATGCTGAATGAGTTAAGACTTTGGGGGACTGTTGGTATGATATGATTTGTGTTTTGAAGTGTGAGGACATGAGATTTGGGAGGGTCTAGGGACCGAAAGATATGGTTTGGCTGTGTCTGCATCCAAATCTCATCTTGAATTATAGTTTCCCTAATCTCCTTATGTTGCGGGAGGGACCCAGTGGGAGGTAATTGGATCTTGGGGGCAGATACCCTCATTCTGTTCTCATCATAGTGAGTTTTCATGAGATCTGATGGTTTCAGAAGGGGCTTTTCTCCCATTTGCTCTGCCCTTCTCCACGCTGCTGCCATGTGAAGAAGGACATTTTTGCTTCACCTTCTGCCACAATTAAGTTTCCAGAGGCCTCTCCAGCCCTGTGGAACTGTGGGTTAATTAAATGTTTTTTCTCTATAAATTACCCAGTCTTGGGTATGTCTTTATTAGCAACATGAGAATGGACTAATATCCATGGCACACAGAAATCTTTCTGGGGAGAAAATCATGGTCTACAATATTTTCTTACTCAGAAATAAGGGGATTCTTTGGGAAATCATCTTCCAGATAAAATCATAGCAAGCTGTGGCAGGAGATTTCTGAAGATCAAACATCCTTGTATGTGTCTATAAATATTATCTGAGTCAGCACTCACAATCTGATAAATGCCCTATGTGTTCCAGTTTTCAAATGGTAGGTTTTGAGACAGAATTCACATGTCAGATGAGTCACATAAATTTGCAGAATGTCTGTGAAGGGGCATGGATATCTTTGGTTAGTAACTACCCAACCATTTTCCAAAGTGGACTTGATCTTTGGTATTAGAATTGAGAAGTCCACCTGACCTAAAGAGAATAAGGTATCATCAGGAAGAAACAATATAAAACAAATTTTTTTACTGTTCCATTAGCCAAAGGCAGATGATGTCTTAGAGATGTTTGGTTACATAGAGGAGAATCAAATTAAAACACACAAAACAAAGCTATCCTCCTATTAATATGATTTACTGTATAGGACACACTAATTTACTTGGTGAGAAAAGAAAATGGTTTAGGGGTACAAAATGCAGTTAGATAGAAGGAATAAATTATATGATTGGATAATGTGGTAGGAAAATGTAT
Source organism: Homo sapiens (assembly GCF_000001405.40). Classification (NCBI taxonomy): domain Eukaryota; kingdom Metazoa; phylum Chordata; class Mammalia; order Primates; family Hominidae; genus Homo; species Homo sapiens. The sequence continues at coordinate 14,737,564 of NC_000024.10, forward strand.
ATTTCAAAATAGCTGGAAGAGAAGAATTGGAATATTCCTAACCCAAAGAAAAAATAAATATTTGAGATGATGAATATCCCAGTTACTCTGATTGGATCATTACACATTGTTTACAGGGGTGAACATATTACATTTGCCTCTAAAATATGTTCAAATGTATTATATTGATAATAAATAAGTAAATAAATGGCAAAAAACAGCATTTCCAAAAGAGTATATTTCTATTAATAACTTTTTAAAGGGAAAGAGTCCGATGAATTGCAATAAGGTTAAAAGACAGAAAGATCCTGTCTCTAAAAAAAAATAATAAAAATAAAAATACATAAATACATTGCCAAAAGGTTAAAGAAGTAAAAACCTTCTACACATCCATAACTATAGCACCATTCTTGCTGTGGTAACTATGGTTTTCTCTAGGCTTAAATATTTTAATTATATTTTATATTGATACTTGCTAATAATATAATATGTATTGTATAGATGACAGACTGGCCTTTTTGTGATGGCTTTTGCTTGCTTGGCGTATGGTAAAATTATTTATGAAACTTTAGGAAAAAGGTTTTTATATTTTCTTTTTTCTTTAGTATTGTGGAGTACAGTTCAAACTAACTAGGAAAATTAAAGACCTAAGATATTTTATAATTATATTAATATCATGAGTAATTACAAAAATAACAATAATGACTTTCACTCTGTTTTCCAGTCCTGTTCAAGATATTTACATGCAATGTCCAATTCAATTCACAAAAGCAATAAAAAGAGACGCTATTTTTTTTTCCATTTGTCAAACAGTAAAGCTAAGGTTACAGTCTTTCTTATTGATAACCTGGTGGTGATCTTTTGGGATATCATTGGAATCCCATTGGTTTTTCTCCAGAGGTACCTGCCATTAAGACTTGTTGCCTCAGTGGTTGATATTGGCCAAGACTTCTTAAGTAAAAAATTATTTAATGTTAGGACTTCTGCCTCACTTTTCTAATTAGTGGAGCATTTTGCCTCTCTACAGAAGAGAATCCCGGAAAATGCAAGAGCTGTCTGGTGTTGCTTAGTGTTCCTGATAATCTAGTATTTTCAGTAACGTTAACTCATATCCGCAGGGCTATGGAGGGGGTCACATATTTTTATTCAATTAAATGTCAACACTTGAGAAAAACTTTGACTGTCAGAAAAAAACTGAGTGAGATACTCAGCAAATTGTTTAACAGTTGGGGAGTTTGCAATAGTCTATGAAAACTGTTTTACTTTATAGAGCCAGAGAAATTTTTCATTGACCCTAGCACAGTGTTGGTTTCACTCAGGGATGCTAACTTTGCTAATATATTTATCCATATACTGATATAATAATTATAATATCATGCTTGTCACTCACTTTGTAACAACCAACCACATTGTCAGAAATAACATTTGTTATCCCATCTCCCTCCTACAAAAATCCTATGAGATCCTAATATTATCTTGATTTTCTTTAAACAAATACCACCAGAGGCCCCCTCTTCTTGAATTAAGTTGGGTTTATTGACTCTTATGTATTTCTATTAGTATTATTATTATTCATTACAGATAGGATCTTGCTGCGTTGCCCACTCTGGTGTGCAGCTGTGTGATCATAACTCATTACAGCCTCCAACTCCTGGGCTCAAACAATCCTCCCACCTCAGCCTCTTGAATAGCTGGGACTACAGTTGCCTGCCACCACGTTTGGCTAATTTTTATTTATTTTTTTTTACAGGTGTGATCTCATTATGTTGTCCAGGCTGGTCTTGAATTCATGACCCCAGATGTTCTTCCCACTTCTATTGACTCTTTACAACAAGAAAGAATATGTACATAGGGGATGTCTCAGTACAAGGGTAGGAAAGAGTTAGAGAATTGGGGCTTGTTTTAAATGATTTACAGAGGGTTCTGGAAAACTGTGCTTGAATTTGGAATTGATACTTTCAGGACGTGTTGGCAGTTCTATGACTGGTTATCTTAATCTTATGTAAGAGGAGGAAAAATGAAGCATAGGTTAAAGCAATGGTTGACAAAGAAACAACAGTCACTGATGATACCAAGGACAGGTGGACACTTGATCATGTTTGAGTGTTTGAATAACCACTTTTTTGTGTAAGTGTCCAGACATGATTACAATGTGGTCTTCATTTTGTCTTGTTCTTTCATGATCACACAGTGGTTTTTCCTTCTGTCACTGTTCCATTATTATTATTATTATTACTATTATTTATATTCAATAGAACAATGGCACAACCTAGCTGCAAGGGACAGGAAAACACCCAGGATTGCCAGGGTTTAGGTGACATTGCCAGGTCAGCTGCTGATCACCAGGGATTGCTTTTCTCTTTTGTGAGTAACTGAATATTAAATAAACCGAGTAACATATCCCAAATCCTACCGAGAGTTGGAGGTAATACTGGAGTCTCAACAAAGACTATAGAGGAGAGTCTAGCCCATTCATCTCCAGGCTTTTCTCTAGGAAACCAAAGACCAATATTATATTTGTTGCAGAAAAGAGACACCCTATAGTCAACATAATGTCCAGTGAGAGTTAATTTTAATGAGGTTCTTTTTCAGAATTCAAGAAAGCTGGAGAAAAGAGGCGTTGTGTAACTCACATACCAGGAGGCATCTTCTGTAGCTAGTCAGCAGATGCCTCTTCCACTGGAGGGATGCGATCTTAAGGATAGGAGAATTCCATTTATAACCAAGACCGCTTCATTCATGGGCCTGGATTGGATAGGGATGGCCCATACCAAGGTCTTTGATTCTCGCTTTTATTGTTACATTCTGTATGACTGATTCAGATTTGTCCGCACTAATATATTTTCTCTGGTTCTGATCATTGTGGCCATGTCTTCCTAGAACAAAGGCCTTGGGTTAATTTTTGCAGAGTAATGACGTTCTCAGCAGCAGCTGAACTCTGTAGATCAATATTCCTCTTTCTTGTTTTCTTCCAATGGCAACTAAACATGCAAGACACATCAGGAGAAGGGTATGAGATTCCCCAATAGCTAACCAGCAATAATAATGCAACATGTAAGGCTAATGCATGCCCTTGAAATGCCAAGGGATAAATTCATATGCATTTTTTCATTTGGGGTTTGAAGAGCCAGATGACATGCAAAAGAAAAATATTGACAAAAGATATCTTATCATTTATTTTCAATTATTAAGCTTGATTTTCATACATTCAAACTTAGTTTTTTAACAGGTACATGACTCTAGTTTTTGAAAGCCAGAAGAATGCACATATAAAATCTTTTTTGTCTAACAAATTAATCCCATGTTTCTTGGTTCTGATGCTTGCATACTGCTTATGTTAAAACAATTGTGAGCAAGCCCAAACTATACTTTTTTTTTTGAGATGGAGTCTCACTGTGTTGTCCAGGCTGGAGTGCAGTGGCGCGATCTCAGCTCATTGCAAGCTCTGCCTCCCAGTCTCACACTATTCTCCTACCTCAGCCTCTGGAGTAGCTATATTATACTTATTTTTAAAATGACAGTACGGCTGAGGTATTCAAAATATGTTTAAAGGTTCTAACAGAAACATGTTAGAAAAAAAGAAGCTTGACAGCTTTTAAGTTTATTAGATACAGAAATTTATACTTAGATTTATTTAGATTGAAAATTAATCCTAAGGCATTTAACCAGCTGGGAGAGCTTATGCATGCATACGAGTTTCAAGCTGCAACTAAGGCAGTTGGGCAGCAGTAGAAACAAAAAGTTGATATTTATTTTCTTTCAGAACCAACTGTGACTGATTAACCACAAAAGATCAGCAGGGGTATTTGGGCCTAGGTCATGTTGATGGCCTTTTGGGTTTTAGTTTGCTTTAGGGTTCATTGCTGCAAAAGGAAGCCTCCTCTACAAATGAGATGAGACTGCATGAGTACAAAGCAGAGAGATGCAGTGCTTTCTACAGCACTGAGTAGGCAAATTGTGCAGATTTTTCAGTAGAATCTACTTAACACCAATCCATGCATTTGCATTTTATTAAAATGAAACTATGATAATTTAAACTGCACATTGCAGATATGACCTATAAAATGTTTGATGTCCTATTTTTAACAAAAGTTTTGAAAATTTGCACTCCATATCAATTTCTCTACTTATGTGTTTTAGTTATTTTTTGTAAAGAATGCCAGATTTTCAAAGCAAGTAGGCCAAGAGGATGATCTTTTTTTCCTCCTTTTTTTTCCCCCGATGTTTAAAATGCAACTGCCATGGGGCTGTGCCCTTTTAGCTGTTGGAAAAAATAATCTACTATGCCTTGGTTGTATGTGTGAGTCACCAGACCTTCTGGGAATGATTCTTTGGCACATTCTACCAACAATTTAACATGATACAAAATCATTTTCATATCTTGTGATAGTGTCAGCCAAGTGTTTCATACACATGGAGATAAGTGCTGAAAAAGGTGTTTGAATAAAATTGTTTTCTTAAAGCAACTATAGAGGATGAGATAAAAGGATGCACAATTACATTTCATAAATTGAGAGAGTTTCCTAAACAAGAGAGCATTCCTGGAAATGCAGAGAAAAATAAAAAGATCTTAAAGATGTTGTATTAAGATAAGTTAGACTAAGGCAGCTTGGACATGTGTCTCCTTTACTTCATGTTTATATATAAGTAAACATTAAAAGTAGAGGAATTTCAGTTTCCACATAACTTATATAGGAGCAACAAATGGGGCTTTCAACTACTGACCACATTGGCATATCACCCAATGTTTTCTTTCAGACTTCTCTACCTACGACAAAACCATTGTGGTATTAGAGCTTCATGAACTGTGTATCTTTGATTAGTTGATTTAACCTGTCTGGCCCTCATTTTTCTCATCTGTAAAATAATTGAGTCTTATGTGATTTGAAGATCAAAAGAATTACTACACAAACAGTGCTAGTAAGAGTCCCTGCCACATAGAAAGGCTAGTACACACACACACATACATATATACACACACCCCCTCATACTTTTATATATTAAAGGTGTATGATTTATGAATTATTGCATTAGAAATGTAAATCTGTTATATATATCATATATATGATAAGTGAAATACAGATTATGTAATTTACACCACCTATTTTATTTTGTAACTTCGTAAACAGATTTTGAAAATTTTATTTTGTGTGTATGTCTTCCAAGTCATTCCCTAAACTTCATTAAAATCCCTTTGATTTATGGGAAAATATCTGTATATATCAGGTATTCATATATATAACACATATAACTCTTCTGAGGTTATAAACACACATATATTTATAACATAGAAAATTACTAACTCATATATGTGCCTATCTATATATAATTTTCATATATAACATTGTATATTACATATAAATATTTATATTACATACGAATAATCATCACGTTCTGACAGAATTTGTTAATCTAACCTCCCTCAACCCCACCCCAAAAAAAGTAGAAACTAAAAATAGAGGAATTTTAAGTTCCACATGATTTATGTATAAGCAAAAAATGGGACTACTGACTACAGATCACGTTAGCTAATTGTACAGTTTTCTCTTCTGTGCTTTGTTGTAAATATGATTTTTATTTAAGAGGATATTATTAATTATCTATACAAGAATTGGCTATCTTCTCCAAACTTCTACTTCGGTTTCATGTTTTTAAAAGGGGTGAGGATAGGCTGAGCACAGTGACTCACACCTGTAATCTCAGCACTTCAGGAGGCCAAGGCAGGTGGATCACTTGAGGGAAAGAGTTTGAGTGGCCTCGCCAATGTAGCAAAGTCTGATCTCTGCTAAAAATACAAAAATTAGCCAGGAATTGTGGTGCATGCCTGCAGTCCCAGCTACCTGCGAGGCTGACACAGGAGAATCACTTGAACCCACTAGGTGGAGGTTTTAGTGAGATGAGATCATCCCACTGCATTCCAGCCTGGGTCACAGAGCAAGATACTGTCTTTAAAAAAAAAAAAAAAAAGTGAAAAGGGTGAGGATTGTTATTTCTATGGGCAGGCCCACACAGCATTGGATTCCTCAGAAACTGCACAGTAAACGGGAGTCTCTTAGCACATCTGACAGAACTTCAAGGGGCTGACTGTTCATTATCCCACAGCCCACTCTGCTCTGTGTAAGTGGAGACTCCATGTCTTTGTTGTCTTGCAGTCCCTAGATGATAAGGGCACAGAGAAAAATCACAGAAATCAAACATGGTAGCACAGAAAAACACCCCAAAGTCAAGGATAAGATGAAAGTTGTGATCGTACACATCAAAGTCGGACTCTTATCTAGATGGGCACACCTAAGCCACAGGCTGACAGGCTGAGATTCTACAAAGGCTCTGGACCCCAGATAAGTTTAAGTGATTGCATCGTGATCTCTTCTTTTCATTGGTGGAGGCAGTGCTTTGAATGACTAAGCTGGATATCACTTTCCAGGGAATCCTTTTAGGGAATGTGACCATCCAGCTATCTCTGGATGTCTTTGGTGCCATAAATACTTTTCACTTGGTTGAGGATACTTTTAGTTTTATATTCATGCGTCAACTTGTACAGAAATGTGTGTTTTGGGCTTGTAAAAAAGTTTAATCATAAGACAAAGGGCTACAGGTTTCATGTTTATTCACAGTTTGATGAACGGCACTTATGGACACATATGTGTATACGGTAAGTGCTCACTGAATTCCTCTTGAGTGATAAGCTAGGATACAAAATGTCAGAAGATAAAGAGTGAGGATGGGCACTGGATCCAAATGTCAGTGAACTCTGAGGGTCTCTTGCTGGTTGAAACAACAGAGTACTTTTATTTTCATTCTAAACCCTCCATGACCCATGTCCTTATACCAATGAATCACCTCCTCAATAACCCCTCAAACATGGCATCTTTGAAGTAGAGCCTCATTGACAAGCACTAATTAAATGTCTGTCATGGATACTAAAATGTATATACGGCCTTTGTGCCTGGACAACAGTACATGTGTCAGCTGTTTCTTAAGCCTACATCCAACCATTAAGTAAAGCCCAGTGCGCTCTTAGTTCCTCAAATCTGTTCAAGTCTTGATGTTTGTTCAACATTTTGCCTGGCTCCAGTCATATGTCTCCAGCTATCTGTAATGGACTCAATATCCTGCTTATAAAATGCTTTAGTCATGTGGGTTCATTTTTGGTTTAGCTGTATAGGTCAGGAATAAGTTAGAAATAACCAAAATACTCCAAATCAAGTTCTAGCTGTTTTGATACAAACATTTTCCATCAACCTTACTTCTCCCTAACTCATCTGTCTGTTTCTGTGCCCTTTCCCATGGGGTAAAACCTTTTATAGTATCCAGATGCCTTCTACACACAGAAGCAATTTTGTGCAAAAGGCTCCCCAGGGGAAGAAGAGGACAATGCCTTCATGGGAAGCTCCTTTCTGTTAAATCGGATTTGCATACCTAACCAAAGCATTTGCTTCAGTTAACCAAGTGAGGGTGGAGAAAGTCTTGCAAAACTATAGCTACATTGAGAGGGATTATTAAAATTATTCAGTCATTCATTAGAGGAGCTTTGACAAAGATTGCAGAAACAGATATAAAACAGGAAATATTAACAAAAACATTCTCAAAAATATTTTATAATGTCCAGAACAACTGGCATGACTAACATCAAAGAAGGGATATGTTTTGACATTGATTTACTAACCACTTATCATTGATACTAAATCCTCCTTTGAATACTTATTTACGATTAAGACAGTCAAGTTATATGAGTATGTTCAACCAACAAAGGTTGCAAAACATAGTGAATTTAATATTCCTCTGCCATATGGCCATCCTACACTTCTGCATCACAGTCATGGCTCTGCAAATAGATCAGACTTTTTGGCCAGTCCCTTGGGGGTCACTGCATTCTAAGGTGCTTGACCAGGAAGTAAGATGCTCTTCTCACTAAGTGATATACGTGTGGTCCTTGTGGATCTGCTAAGAATCTCAGAAAAGGAATAAAAGATACATGAAATTGTTTGCATGCTACTAGCTCTAGTGGGTAGATTGGTGGCATATTTCTTCTTGGCAAAAGACAGAAAGTATCCAAAAGTTCACCATTTTTCTCCTGGTTGGGGAATGGTGTCTTTTAGACCATTTTGTTCAAAAGAAAGGTAAAAATAGCATGAAAAGAGAACCCCTAAATTGCCTTACTCAAGCCTTCTACTCTAAGTGACTTGTATAAAATGTCTTGTTCAGTAGTTACCCAACTCCAATCTACCCCTAAGAGGTTCTAGTAAAGTACAGATTAGCTGGATTTAATAAAGCACAAATAGGTAGCAGATGCATTCTTACATCTCAATCTAATCGGTAACCTTCTTTATCCTCACCCATGGCTGACTACTATGCATAAAGAATAGGAATTCTGACCACTCAAGAATCTTAACCATACATTCAGTCTGTTGCAGTTTCTCCTCCATTACACATTTTTTTTTTTCGCTTTTCTATCCTTGGACAGCCACAGACAGGACAACTAGTCAATAAGAAATGAGTGTGAAGGTGACAACTTTCCTCACTAAGAGGATAGGGGCCATGAGAGGAAAAGGGTACTTCTTGTGTGGCTGGTAATGGAGTTAAAATTTGATGCTACAGTCTTCTGGGAGCAGCAGCTGTATGTGCTTGAACTTTACTTTGGAGGCATCCTCTAATTCCAGGGGTTCTGTGGCCAGTACCATCCACTGCAGTTCACTTAACTTGGGCTGAGTCTGTTTCTTCCCTCCATCACTTCAGCTGGACCTATTCTTTGACCCTCACATGGTTTCCAGTGGTGAAACCAGGGAAGAGTCTCTTTGTAGAGGACCAAGGAGCACTTTTTTCTATGTAGTGCACATTTGGCTCCATCACCATCATAGCTAACATGTCCAACCCTCCAGCATCTTCAACCTTCGCCACTGTCTTTGCACTGCCCCATAAGGCCTGAATAAGGCTGATGGGTCATGTATGGCAGGGCCACCCCAACAGTCTAGTAATAGGTCTTGCATTGTTGGACACACTTCTTGATTTAGAACTATGGCTTTCAGTCATGGTTAGGTGTGCCCCAGTTGGCAAGGTAAGGAGACATTTCCAGTTGTTACAGTGAGTTTGAAGGGTGTTAATGCATTTAGTTCATGGAGACCAGGGTTGCTGTTCAATATCCTACAATGCACAGGACACTTGCCCATAGCAATGATCTGATTCCAAATGTCAACGGTGCTGACATCAGTAAACCCTGCTCTAAGTCAATGCTTTTTTTGTATGCATATTTTAAAAGTCTCCTCCAGCTAAACCATTAGCTTTTAATGGGGTATACATTTTTCTTTCCAAGGGATGTTTGGTTATGCCTGGAGACACTTTCAGTTTTTGCAGCCAGAGTTTGGTGATGTTTCTGGTATCTAATTGATACTAATCCTAGATGCTGCTCAACATACTACTATGCAGAGTATGGCTCACCAGAACAAAGAATTATCCCATTCATAATGCCTCTAGAATTAAGATTGAGAAACCTTGGTTTAGAATACAGGGAGAGCTAGTGGTATCCTCTAAGATGCTGTCTGGAAGCAGCTTTGAAGACAAGCAGAGACCAGAGACTTTGAAGCCATACTCACAGGGTTTGATATAGTTTGGATATTGGTCTTCTCCAAATCTTGTGTTGAAATTTGATCCCCACTCTTAGAGGTGGGACTTGGTGGGAGGCATTTCTGTCTTGGGCCAGATCTCTCTCATGAATGACTTGATGCAGTCCTCCAGATGATGCATGAGTTCTTGCTCTGTTATTTCCCGGGAGATCTGGTTGTTATAAATAACCTGGCACCTTCCTCTCCTCTCTCTCTTGTTTCCTCTCTCGCCATGTGATCTGTGCACACAGCAGCTCTCCTTCCCCTTCCACCATGAATGGAAGTTCCCTTAGTCCCTCATCAGAAGCAGATGCTAGTACCATGCTTCTTGTACACCCTGCAGAACTGTGAGCCAAATAAACTTCTTTTCTTTTCTTTTTATTCTTCTAATTAGAGACAGGATCTTGCCTTGTTAGAAAGGAGTACAGTGGTGCAATCATTGCTCACTGGAGCATCAAACTCCTAGGCTCAAGCCATCCTCTGACTTCAACTTCCTGAGTAGCTAGAACTACATATGGCATGCCTCCATGTCCAGTTAATGTTTATTAAAAATAGTTGTAGGGACAGAGTCTTGCTGTGTTGCCTAAGTTGTTCTCAAACTCCTGACCTCAAAGGATCATCCTCCTTCATCCTACTAAAGTGCTAAGATTACAGATGTGAGCTGCCATGCCTCGACTGTCTTCTCTTTATAAATTACTCAGCCACAGGTATTCTTTTATAGCAATGCAAATGGAGTAAGACATTGTACAAATCCCACATTAGGCACTTATAGATCTGTCTGTGATTCTGGACAAGTTATTTAACCACTCTTTGTGTCTAAACCTGTTGTTTGTTTCTTTCTTTATTCCTTATCAGGTCCAGCTCCAATGATGATAAAAATATAGATGTAAATGGAGCTAAGAGGGGTGCCTGACCAAGAGTAAACAGTCCAGAAGTGTTATTCTGTCAATATGACTTGGATTTTTGCTTCGAAACTTCAGCTGAAACTGACATGACAGGAAAAGGCCCAAATTAGAATTCTTCTTATGCAAAATTCCTTCTGTGAGGAGGTAGCCCATCTGTTGTCAAATAATCCGAGTTGTAGAAATTTATTAAATTTCTCCTTTCTTGCCCCTTGCCTCCTTCATTAAATGAAATCAGATGGTGACAGTATAAGGAAGTTAAAGTGAAGGTAAAATAAAACAGACAGGAAGAAGTCTGTCTTCAGATTAGACATGCAATTATTCCTGTCTTTGCTGCTGATTTCAATTATAACTCATTGGAATTATCAGTCCACAATAGATGTTCCCTGCCTATGTGGTGTTTTTAATTAAACGTTGACATCATTCTCACATGTTCACTGTTATTAGCACTGATGGATGTAATCTTCATGTTTTCCTCTGAACACTGCATGCCAAGAAAGGGGCCCTCTATCCTCACGGATTTTCTAGGCAAGAGAATATCAGGCCCTCATCTGTCATATTTCCATCTCATTCAGCACAAAACACCCTGGCTCATGGAAACTGCAAGCATCGTTGTCAGCTGCACCTGCAGGCACCACGGGATTGCAAGTCAGCATACCCTTTCAGAAATGAGGATGAAATTAGAGGTAGAGAGAAAATTCTCCACTGTCCTCTCACTTGTCTCTGTTATGGTTTCTGCTATGTTTTCATTGATTATGCTATAGGGAGAAAGGAGGAAAAGAATCCCCTAAGAAGAACAGTGTCTCACTGGACATTGTTTCTTTGCAAAAAAAAAAAAAAAAAAAAAAAAGAAAAAAAAAGAAAGAAAGAAAGAAAGAAAGAAAGAAAGAAAGAAAAAAAGAAAAAGAAAAGAAACATTTTTGGTATTTTTCACTTTTTCCACCCTAGAATCTAGATACCACCTTTAAACAGATTTGAATCCCACAGGGAGAATGTGGTCATATATTTCACTACAAATGCTAGACCATGTCTTCTGGCGTCAGAAATGCTGTATTGTGCATGTGTTCTTGCTGCAAGCCATCTTCAACTTGGTTTTTCAGGGATAGGCAAAACATTAGGCAATCTGAATAAAATTGCATTTCTTGCAACTGAAAATTTTTGCATGCACCCACATACGTGTATTGGTATTACTGTACAGCTTGCATGGTGCAAAGCTGAAGGCTAAGGGATTAAAGGAGGCTGAAATTTAGCCCTGGACACACTGTGCAGCCTGGGTACCTGTAGGGCTGCAATTCCTGGCTAGAGGTGTGTCTATTTCTCATGCATCCAGTAGAAGGCACCCTTTTGAAGGTCTCTCAACCCTCTCCTCATTCCCCTCCACCTATCATATTTAGCATATTGTGTATTTGTCCTTAGTCTGTTTAATCCAACTTGATCACTTTGTAGCCTTTCTTTATTCCCAGTGTGTAAATCAGTATTTTGAATGCATTGAGCTAAGTTTCAGACATATGCCTTTCCAAATAGACTATCATGAAGGATGCTATTCTGGCGCAGCTATGCATTCTCTTCTGTGTAAGAATGCTCATTGTGTAGTCTCTCCTTTTAAAGTCTGTTTAGTGTAATGTTCGCTGACTTTTCCATGCACCTCTTATGTAATCTTTTGCCAGTTCTACCATTTCCAATAACCAATGAAGATACTTGCTTCATGTTAAATTCTAAGTAATCTACTTTCTATTGAACTAAATCATTTCTCCACAAAATGTCTTTGAATAATTAAAGATCTTATAATGTGGTTTCCATAGACTGAACTGAATATTTCATGTGGCTAGATAAGTAGGTAAAGTACAGTATAGTAGCAATTGGTGTACACACTTAGAATGTCCTAATAAATTATTGCAGATACTGATATGCAATGAGAAAGAATAACTGTAGTGTTAAGCCCCAGATGGTATTATAGACCTGAGGGTGGGTGAAGATGGGCCTGGGATTAATGGATTGATAGCTCAGTTCATATTGGAGTTTCATATCTGAGATTCAGTGAATTCGAGGCTATTCTTCACCTGCTGCAATTCTAGGGAAGTGTGTCCATTGAGGAGTCGCTGAAGGGGCTGGGAGTTTGGATGGGGTTCTTTCAATACCCACCTTTTAAAAAAAAATAGTGTGGCTCTGTCATGCAGGTTGGAGTGCAGTGGTATAATCATGGCTCACTGCAGCCTCAAACTCCTGGGCTCAAACGATCCTCCTGTCTCAACCTCCCAAGTAGCTAGGACTACAGCTGGGCACCACCATAACTAGGCAATTGTTTTAAAAACTTTGCAGAGACAGTCTTGCTATGTTAGTTAGGGTGGTCTCAAACTCCTGGCCTGAAGCAGACCACCAATGTTAGCCTTCCAGGGTGCTGGGAGTAAGACATGAGCCACCGTGCTGAACTGCAATATCTTTTTAATTAGCGGGAAGTAGAAAACAGAAATTCTGCAGCATGTTTTTCTTGTTAACATGAATCAGTCTTGGGTGAAGTGTCCATAGTTTTTAATGATATTTTCAAAATGAACAATTTAGAGACAGGCATCAGAAACCACAAATAATAAGGCCATGTGAAGGAACACAATAGATGCATAAGGTTAATTGGTCAGCATTTATGCTGCACTTAGTTTCCCGTTGATTTTTTTTTAATGAGTTTGAAGTATAACACACAGAAACCAAAGTTCTGTGTTTTGTATTATGTTATATTATCAATGTTCAGTGCAATTTGAAAGCCTAAAGCAAGTATTTCTGTAACAAACACACATTTCAAGAAATATAATGTTCCTATCTTCAAAGCAATTCATGCTCTTTCCCATTTTGTCTCCTTATCCTCCTCAGTGATAAGCATTTTTCTCTTATGCTTTTCTTTATATTTTCCATGCTTTTCTTTATATTTTCCCAAAAAGAAAGGCATCCCTGCATCGCATAAATTTTGCTTGTTTGGAGATACTAAATGAATGCAACTTCATATTACTTTCCGATGTGTTCTTTTCAGGCATAATTCTGTTTTATAAAATTCTTACATGCTGCTATGTATACATTCATTCCACTACTTTTAATTGTTGTATAGTGTTCTAAAATCTGAATATATCACACTCCATATTTCCATTTTATTCCTAATTGATACAGATACTTTTTCCAGTTTGAGGTTATTATGGACTCGTGTTATGAACGTTGTTTTTCACGCATCCTCATTTCTCACAAGCATTGATTTTCTGAGATATATACCACTATGTAATTGCTGGTTCAAATCTTCAACTATATACTCTTTTGCAGTACACAAATGCCTGTTTTCACCAGCAGTATGCATCGTTCAACATGTAGCAGTATAAGAATTCTGTTTTCTTCTTCTGATCTAATGGGTGTATGTGGAAACTCACTGTGTGTTTATTGTGTTTTCCCTGGGATTGAGATGTTTCCATGTATTTATTGGCCGTTTGTTTTTCCTGATTAGTGGAAGCATCTGTTTGTTTTTGATTAGTTTTTCTATTAGATTGTGTGTCTTCTTATTGTTTTATTTTGATTAGAGTACTTCATTGATTATGTATGTCACAAATTTCTTCTTATGTTTTTTGTTTTTAATTATTTCTTATCTATTTTTTTTTTTTTTGAGATGGAGTGTTGCTCTGTCACCCAGGCTGAAGTGCAGTGGCATGATCTTGGCTCACTGCAACCTCTGCTTCCCAGGTTCAAGCAATTCTTCTGCCTCAGCATCCTGAGTAGCTGAAATTACAGGTTTGTGCCACCATGCCTGGCTAATTTTTGAATTTTTAGTAAAAACGGGGTTTCACCATTTTGGTCAGACTGGTCTTGAACTCCTGACCTTGTGATCCACCTGCCTCGGCCTCCCAAAGTGCTGGGATTACAGGTGTAAGCCACCTAATGATTTCTTTAAAGTTCTTACTCTTAGTTTACACACTTTACCATAATTTTTTTCAGATTAGCACTTTGGGATTTTTGTTAATGGTATCTTTTCCTACTCCTAGATATGAAGATTTCCTTTTACTTTATCTGCAAAAAGGCTTATGATTTTATCTTTGATATTGAAAATACACATTGATTTATTTATTGCATTCTGTAAGAGGTGTAGTTTATTTTCCCTTAGAATGTCACAATACCATTTATTTTAAACAATTTAACCCATATCACTAAAGTTCAACTGGTCTCTGTCTACCACTGTGCCAGTAATCACATTTTTTATCATCATGATTTTATAATAATACAAAATATCTAGTATAGCAAATATTCTTTCCTTGTTCTTTTGCAAGAGAGTCTTGGCTATCTTTGGTGTGTTGACTTTTGTATGAATTTTGGCATACCCACCTTGAAAAATAAATAAGCATCTGATTTTCAATTAATAATGAATTGAATTAATTAATTACTTAATCTCAAGGCTAGTTTGGGCTGATTGGACATCTTTAAACATTGAACAGACATATTCATGGAATTGTACATCCTTATACACATTTATGTATTTTAGATTTTTTTCTATTTCATATTCTGTACTATTTTGAATAGCAGTCTTTTATACATTTTGGTTAATTGATTTGTAAGAAAAGATGTTTTCAAAAGTATGGTAATGTTTGTTTTAAAATGTTCATTCTCTGTTATTGCTAAAATGGAAAATGCCATTACTTACTTGTTGAACATTAATTTTGCAACTTGTGAAACTCTTGTATTCTTTGGGATTTCCTAGAACACACTCCTATCAACTGTGAGTAAAAACAATTTTGCTATTCCTTTTTAATTTTTAGATGTGTTTATTTTTCTCTCCTTAACAGCTCATTCGTGTAACCCTTCAAGTACAATGCCAAATAGAACAAAGACTTGAGCATCTCTTTATGACTTTTGACTTTAAAGACAAGGTTTCCAACACCCTAACCCATTAAAATGAGGTCTTCAATTCTACTGACTTTTAGTTGTGAATTTTTATTAGATTAGGAAAATTCCCTTTTATTTTTTGTTTGCTAAAATATTTTTGAAGCTGTGAATGAATGGGTGTTGCATTTTGTTATTCTTTACTGAATGTAGTGTGGTTTTTTGGTTTCTTTTTTCTTTTCTTTTCTATTTTATTTTATTTTATTTTTTTGAGACAGAGTCTTGCTCTGTCACCCAGGCTGGAGTGCAATGGCGTGATCTCAGCTCACTGCAACCTCTGCCTCCTGGGTTCAAGCAATTCTCCTGTCTCAGCCTCCCCAGTAGCTGGGACTACAGGTGTGCACCACCACGCTCAACTAATTTTTTGTATTTCCATAGAGATGGGGTTTTACTGTGTTGCCCAGGCTGGTCTCAAACTCCTGAGCTCAGGCAATCCACCCACCTCGGCCTCCCAAAGTGCTGGGATTACAGGCATGAGACACCGCACCTGGCCAATTTTTTTTTCTCTTCAATGTCACTGTAATGATTTTATTATATATATATTACATTTTTGTAACATAATTATAATATATAATATATTTTATATATATAAAAGATGACTTTATATAAGATATATAAAAGATGATTTTATATATACATAAAAGATATGACTTTCTTTTATATGTGTTTATATATATACATAAAAGATATTTATAGATTTTAATATTAATTCCACTTTGTGTGTTGGGATGAACCTAATTTGAGAATTATATATTCATATGCTTTTCACGCATTGCCGAAAATAGTCCCTGGGTGATGTTGTTGGCAACTTTCTTAATCCTATTCTTTGAATTTTGGATAGAAGTTACACTATCATACAATAAAATTGAAATATATGTCTTTTTTTTAATACTTGAAGAGATTAAGATTGGGGATATATCTTCATTAATATGTTCCTGAACTAAGAAATACCACCGTCTCCGCATAGTTTTCCTTGTGGCTTGAGTTTTGGCAGCAAATTTGATGTCTTCCTTTCTTTTGTTTCTTTGTTTTGAGACAGGGTCTCATTCTGTCATCCACACTGGAGTGCAGTAGTACAATCATAGCTTACTGCAGCCTCAACTTCCTGGGCTCAAGCAACTAATTTGGTATCATAAATGATGGGGGGACTGGGTGTGGTGTCTCACACCTGTAATCCTAGCACTTGGGAGGCTGAGACAGGTAGATCACCTGAGGTCGGGAGTTCAAGATCAGCCTAGCCAACATGGTGAAACTCCGTTTCTACTACAAATACAAAAATTAACCAGGCTCTGTGGTGTGTGCCTGTAATCAGCTCCTGAGTAGGAGGTTTAGGCAGGAGAATCACTTGAACTCAGGAGGCAGAGGTTGCTGTGAGCCAAGATCACGCTGCTGCACTCCAGCCTGGGTGACAGAGCAAGAATCCATCTCAAATAAATAAATAAACAAACAAACAAACAAATAAATGATAGAAGGCTTATTCAGATGTGTACTTTTGAATCACTTTTGTTCTACTATACTTTTTCAAAGAAGTCTTTTTACTTCTTTTAAATTTTCAAATTTTTGAAAATGCCAAGGAACTAATTTTTGGTTTTCCTCTTCATTCTATTTTATGTTGTTTTTCCATTAATCACTACTGCTATCTTAATTATTTACTTCTGATAAATCTTGCTGTTGTTTTACTGTCTTCTTGAAATGCTGATTTTATTAACTTTAAGATATGCTTCTTTTCTCATATGTTAATATATACCTGGAAATTTTGCTCAAGTACTGAATTAGCTACATTCCACAAATCAGATAAATGATACTTTTGCTTTTGTTCAGATAAACTATTTTGTAATTTCTATTATTAATTTTTTAGTCATGAATTATTTCACAGATTATTCTTTAGTTTCCAAATAGACTTGTTTTTTTTCTGGTTGTTTATATTTTTATACTTCATTTATTTCTCACCAGTGTGCTTTGCATACTTGAGAAAAGTATATATTTTGCAATGGTTGGTGCAATATGTTATATGTCTAATATCTCAGACTGTTGAAGTATGTTGCTCACATACTCTATGTAGTTTTATAGGTAGTTTACATGTTCTTTCAGTAACTAAAATAGGTATATGAAATTTCCCCTTGATGTTTATGGATGTTTAAAACCTTTCCTATATTTTTTCAAACTTTAGTTTTTTGTGTTTGACGTGCTTATCAATTTTAGTGGATATGGTCTAGAATTGTTATTGAATTGTGGCAAATTGAGGTTGTTCTCATTATAAAATGATCCTCTTTAAGTTTTGTGGTGCTTCATGCCTTAATGTCTGTTTAGTCTGACATTAACATTACCTTATGTTTTAATGTTAATGTTATCTTATGTTTTGTTAATAATCGAATTGTGTATTGTTTCTATGTGTTTACTTCAGGCCTTTCTGCTGGCTCAGGCTTTGAGTGTTTTCTATGTAGCATCTATTTGGGTCTCATTATATTTGACTTTTAACTGCAGATTCACTGATATTTACTTTCATGTTTTATGTATTTGTGTTCAAGTCCTCTATCCTAAATTGTGCTTTTAATATCTCACTTCTATATCTTGCTTGAATTGCTTTTTAAAAAATCATTCCAGGCCAGGAACAGAGTCTCACACCTGTAATCCCAGCACTTTGGGAGGCCAAGACAGGAAAATCACTTGAGGATCCTCCAGGAGTTCAAGACCAGCCTGAGCAACATAGAAAGATCTCATCCCTTTGAAAAATAAAAATAAAAATTAGCCAGGTGTGGTGGTGTGCACTTGTAGTCCTAGGTACTCCAGAGGTTGAGTAAGCAGGAGAGTTTGAGCCCATGAGATTGAGGTTGTAGTGACCTGTGATGACACCACTGCACTGCAACCTGGGCAAGAGCCAAGCCTGGAACAAGATCCTGTCTCAAAAAATAAACAAATAAATAAAATTATTCCATTTTCTTTACTCCCACTTCTCCCACTACACTAGCTGTTAAAAGACTGTACTACTTTTAGTAAATAATCCTAGAAATTACAACATGGGTCCTTAACATAATCACTAAATTTAATTAATACATTTCCTCTTCTCTGAAAATAGTTAGTAATCAGTGTGTTTTAACTCCATGTTTATGACCTAACTTACTTGCTGTTAGTACCTTTCGATGTTTTGTGTTTTTTAGGAATCTTTTTCAGATATGATTGCTTATTTTGTTATTTCAATATTCATTTTGATTTTTTGACAATTACACTCCTTCATTTGTGTTTCATTTCTCTTTGTACCTCCTACTTTATCTGTGATTATTCTCTTACAAAATCTATTGGTGATTTAAAATATATTTTCAGAGCTAGTGAGCTGTTGGAAGCTCTCAGTTTGCATGGCTAAGTATGTCTTTATCCACTTCTTGAACAATTTTCTCGTTGAATTTTAATTTTACTTCTTTCAGCTATTCAAGAAATCATTCTCCTATTCTCTGGATTCCACTGTTCCTATGGAGAATTTAGCTGTCAGTTTAAAAGTTACATACTTAAAAATAATATATTTGGGTGGCTACGGTGGCTCAAGCCTATAATCCCAGCACTTTGGGAGGCTGAGGCAGGTGGATAACCTGAGTTCAGGAGTTCGACACCAGCCTGGCCAACATGATGAAACCCCATCTCTACTAAAAATACAAAAATTAGCCAGGTGTGATGGTGGGTGCCTGTAATCTCAGCTACTGGGGAGGCTGAGACAGAATTTCTGGAACCCGGGAAGTAGAGGTTTCAGTGAGCCGAGATCACACCATTGCACTCCATCCCAGGTGACAACAGCAAGACTCTGTCTCTCTCTGTATATATATATATTAAATATATATTAAATTAATTAAATATTATATATTATACATTTAATATATATATACTATATACACATATACACACATATATGTGTGTATACATATTTTATACATATATATATATATATATATATATATATATATATATATATATATTTGGTAAAGTTAGTTTGTATCCCCTTGATACCTTTAAGATAGTTTTGCTTTCAGTTTCTGCCATTTCAGTGTGATACTGTTTGGGGTTTATTAATCTGATTAGAATTCCTTGATCACCTTGAAATCTGCCATGGGCTTTTCTTCTGTTCTGAAAATAGTCACACCTCTTCAAATATTGCTACTGTTTCTTCTGTTTTCAGTGTGTTTGTACATAATTTAGATTTTCTCCCTCTGGCTCCTTTTTTAGTTTTTGTGTGTGTGTGTGTTTGCTTTTTTAAAAATCTTCATTTTCAAGCTTCATTCTGGATTAATTTTCCTATAACCTACTTCACTAATTCTCTCGTTTAATCTATCTAATCCATGGCTAAACCAATGTGTCCAATCCTTAAATTTGATATGTATTTTCATTACATTTCAAGGTTGAATTTTTGTTTCTTCTCAGTTTCCACATTTTTAAAGTTCTCAATTTTGTATTTTCAGGAATGCTTTCTTCCTGGTTATTTTAAAGTCTGCATCTGTTTTTCTTCCTTTTTTACCCCCCTATCACTCTTATGTTTCTTCCTCTTTGTTTGTTTTTTGGTATCACTGACTAATATCTTCATGGACTAAGTATTAGAATTATGCATATATTCAGCATTCTCATTTTGTTTTTCTTATTTCTAGCTCTCTATTTTATATTCTTTGTATATTACATCTCATGTTGTTGCCCAGGCTGGAGAGCAGTGGCACAATCATAGCTTACTGTAGCTTTGATCTTATGGGCTCATGTGAATCTCTTGCCTCAGCCTTCTGGGTAAGTGGGACTACAGGTGCACACCATCATGTCTGGCTAATATTTTATATTTTAATTTTTTTTAGTGACTAGATCTTGCTCTGTTACGCAGACTGGTCTAACTCCTGGCTTCAAGCAATCCTTTCTCCTCAGTCTTGCATAGTTGGGATTACAGGCCTAGGCCACTGCACCCAGTTTCCCAACGTTTTTCTTCTTTGCATGATACTCTCTGGATCATTTCTTCTCATCTCTTCCCAAGGGTATACGATATCCTTTTTAACTTTTCTGCCCTTAGGCAGATGCATTCATTTTCTCATTTTGTTTATTTCTCTGATCTAGAAATTTGATTTGATCTTTATTTTTTCATTCTTAATACTTTCTTATTCCTGGCAGATGCTTTCCAACTTGTTGTTTTCAAGGTCTTTGAACGCCCTTCAGAAAATTGGTTATCATATATATATCTGGTGACTGCACTATCATAATTCTTTTGGCATTTCCACCAGCTTTTGCTGGTGACTTTTTGTTTCTTTCTTCATGGGTTTGGTAATCTTTGTGAATTGGCTGCTGTATTTGCAAATGGATTAAGGGCATCTTCTGAACCTGTGGACACTGGAATTCAAGGTTCTTTCATTCACTGAGCCATGCTGTTCCCTGAATTTCTTAGATGCTATGAAGGTAGATTACAAGTCCTTGCAAGACCGAATTTACTTTTGTTTAATGCTTGCCTTCAGGGGGAAACCTACAAGGTAGGAAAATGTTAGAGGTGAGTATATTAGATTGTATACCTTCAGGAGTGACTACGGTTTGAGAATTGTCCCATTATCTGCTGATGCTGCAAGAACCCTAACTATTTCTTCAAGATTGGAACAGTGCACTAAGGCAAAGGCTGCACTGTGTGCCAGGCGTCTAGATAGACCATCATTTGGTCATCAGTGTTTTTTGTTTATTTGGTTGGTTGATTGGTTGTTTTGAGGCAGGGTCTCTCTGTCACCATGCTGGAATGTAGTAGCATGATCATGGTTCATTGTTGCCTCAAACTCCCAGGCTGAAGACTTACTCCCACCACAGCCTCCCCAGTAGCTTAGACCACAGATGTTTGCCACCAGGACTGGCTAATTTTTAAAAACTTTTTGTAGACACAAGGTTTCACCATGTTGCCCAGGCTGTGATCATCAGTTTTGAAGCTATAATCTTAAATATAATTTTAGCACTGAAATGCTTTTAAGAGACTTTTCAAAAATCACACATATTACAACCCACTTTCAATTAGAAGGTTGGTCTGAATGATCTTCTCTGTTACTGCTAGATGTAGACTTCTGATTTCCGCTGATATCCACAGAAATGACTAGGTAGAACATGAATTTATAGAGATAATTCAAATATCTTATTAGCACTCCATTATCTCAAGAGCAGTTCTGAGTTCAGAGAATCATGACTTTCTTTTACAGGCATTAAAATAAGTTAAATCAGCAATATTATTTCTAACAACTAACACTTCAAAGAAATGTCAGACAGTTAATCATCACCTGACACCATAGCTCATGCAAATCGTGTTTTATTTAGGATTTATGTTACTGCTAGCATTTTGGATGAAAAGATACTGTTTTTTTTTGTTTTGTTTTGTTTTTTTGTTTTTGAGACAGAGTCTAGCTCTGTCGCCCAGGCTGGAGTGCAGTGGCGAGATCTCAGCTCACTGCCAGCTCCTCCTCCCAAGTTCACGCCATTCTGCTGCCTCAGCCTCCCGAGTAGCTGGGACTACAGGCGCCCGCCACCACGCCGGGCTAATTTTTTGTATTTTTAGTAGAGATGGGGTTTCACCATGTTAGCCAGGTTGGTCTCAATCTCCTGATCTCCTGACCTCGCGATCCGCCCGCCTCGGCCTCCCAAAGTGCTGGGATTACAGGCGTGAGCCGCCGTGCACAGCCAAAAAGATATTAACATTTTTCTCTGAAGCACTGAGTCATACTTTTGTTTTTTCACAAGATTTTTTACACTTTTCAATTAGTATGTGAGTGTTCCTCAGGAAATGCATGTTTGGCTATTTTGCTGTTTTAGAGTGTTTCATCTTTGAAATGCATGATTAAAAGCCATTTTAGAAATTAACACGAGTGTGTTTAAATACAAATTATGAAGCCAGTGTTTTGTTTCAAACTTAGGGATATAATCTTTTTTTTCCAAGAAAATGCTCTCATTTATATATACATGAGGTTATGTAAGACTTTTAAAGATTGATGATGGATTTAGTGCCAGCTGTTGATTAGTATGTCTGCAATGGATCTACAATATGGCAATAACACTAGGTACTATGCAGAGTTACTGTGAATAATAAATAAGACACGATGTATATAATTCACCTAGCAGACTTATTTGTATACTATAATTATTCAATAAATAATGGCCCTTGTGGTTATTTATCTATTGATAGATATTTATGTTGATTTATCTACTGATCAGTCCTATAGCAGTAAATTTATCTTTAAAATCTAGACACATTAGGAAAGAACAATGTTAGATTTTATGTCAAAAATAAAATTTCTTAGTGTACTAAAATAATATATTTTTTCTATTAATGCAAGTTAGGCTTTTATATTGATTATTTTGAATATTTTACTATGCTTGGTATGTTTTAAAAATTTAGTAGTTCTTAATGCAATTCTACTTTTAAAAACTTTTTCATTATCTAGTAAGATTTACTAGTGATTAATTTTAATTTGGTAGACATGAAAAATACACACCAGTTTTTCACACACAATCATAAATCCTGTACATCATATTGGTGAAGCGGGAACTAAACTGCATCAAATTTCCACTAAATAATAGAAGAGCAATCTATGATGTAATTGAAATGTTAATAAATATTGTAGAAATGGGAAATTTTCAGAATGTTCAGATTTGTCAAGAGAATCTCAAAGCGTGACACTTTTCTGTAATCTGTCATAGATAAATCAGGTCTTTTGTTATGTTGTTTTTCTCTTTTTATTTCCAATTCATCACAAAAATATACTTTGGTTTATGAATATGTAAACTATAGAGTAGTAAATTTGACAAAGTCTACGTGTTGAAAACTACATTCGACCACTGAGGGACACTGATGAAGGCTTAAACAAATGGAGAAAAGACTGTATTCACAAACACGACACCCTCCTAAGAAGATACAATATTGTTAATATATTTATTTTGTACAAATTAATCTACAGACTCATTGCAATCCCAAATGAAATAATGGTAGACTTTTAGAAAATACATAAATTAACAAGATGAATTTAAAATTTAAATCAAAATACAAAGGATGTGCAGTAGCCAAACATCTTTGTAGGAGTAGAACATATTGGGAGGACTCCTGCTACTTGACCTCAAGACTTAGTGTGGAGCTATACTGATTGAAACAGGGTATTATTCATATAAAGATAGACAAACAGATCACTATCACAGACTGGAGACTCCACATGGAACTACACATATATGGACAATGAATTTTCCAAAGAAATACAAAGGCTTATCTTTTCAAATCCAACTGGAAGCAAGCAGCTTTAGTTATATTATAAAATTTCCACTAACTAGAATATTCTTGGGTAAAAATGAAGTGTCACCTAAATGGAATTTTCAAACTTGCACCCTATGTCTGAACACGATTCTTTTTCAGTCAGGCATGTAGTTATTGAGGACACATTTCTCAGCTGTGCATACATCCCATCCAGTCCCATCCATAGATGTATTGAAAGCATGTGCTTACTGCAAGAGCAATGCACTAGCCTTTTTCCTAGAGTTGGGTCTCCAAAGAAAGGGCCTTTACTCAGAGTATCTGCCCAGGGTACAAGATTGACTTAAAACCAGTGTTAACAACACACATGGTACTCTGAACCATCTGCTGGAGGACCTCCCTGTGTCTGACACAGTCTATCTATTGAATGTCATGGAAAAGATTGATGGTTGAAGCAAATCACTTTATGCAGTTAGAAAAAGACCATGCTGATCTTTCAGTTTTTGAGCCACATCTACCTAATCCACAGTCAGATTTGTCAGCCTCAGCACTACTGATATTTGGGACTTCATAATTCTTTGCTTTGTTAGGCTTGTCCTGCGCATTGTAAATGTTCACAGTCCAGATACCAGTACATAAATAGATACAGTTTTTACCAATTAAAATAAATAATTAAAAAATCATCTTTACAGGTAAAAATAATAAGCAGCCAGACACAGTGGCTTATGCCTGTAATCCCAACATTTTGGGAAGCCAAGGCTGGAGGATCTTATTAGCCTGGGATTTTGATACCAGCCTGTGTCATATAGTTAGATTTGCCTCTAAAAAAACATAAAAAATTAGCTGCTGGGCATGGTGGTACATGCCTATAGTCCCAGCTACACAGGAGACAGAGGTGATAGGATCACTTGAGCTCAGGAGTTCAAGGCTACAGTGAGCTATTGATGATTCCACCACAGTCCGCTGTAGGTGACAGAGCAAGACCCTGTCTCCAAAAATAAAAAATAAGTAAGCTAAATACTTTTGAATTGAAAAAAATGTATTCTGTAAGAGATATCTGATAATCACCTACTATGACCATGTTTTCATCCTTCAAGGATTTCAAACTATTATAAAAATCTTCTAAACCTCTATCTCTTTAGTTTAAATTACTTACATGAATTTAATGCTCCAGTATGTGACAACAATTATTGATTTTAAAAAATAATAGATCTGTTTTGATATTCCTTTACCAATATTCCTCATGTTTGTGAGAAAATATGAGGCAGTGCAGTTGACTGCATTTGTATGTATTTAATATCATGAGCAAGTGGGAAAAATTCAGAAGTGGCACCGAGTTGATCATCTCTGTTATCATCATGAGAAGGATGCACAATGTGAACATTCTGCCATAGGGCTTGTCTCTGTAAAGTGCAGGTCGAGGGGCATGAAGAGCTTCTACTATTTTTAAAAACATCTTTCTGAACAGATAATGGAGGCTTAACTGTAGTGTAAACACGCTAATGCACAAATCTTGAAAAATGTAAAATAAACTGTGTTGAGATTAGAGGTGATCTATTCACATTTGAAGGATAGAAAATATGCCTACCAGCCATAAAAGGGGTGCATTTACTTTTATTTTTGAGAACAGCATGAGAGCAGAAAGACACATTAACAAAAGGGTAAGAGTCTTCAGAGCAGATTACTCCCACTTGAAAAAAATGAGTTAAGTGATTTTACAGCAGGAAAGATATTTGCAGCAAGAAGTTTCATTAGTCACCAAATGAGGTTTCTCTGACATATATTTTCACAGAATGTGAAGCATGAGGAACAATAAAATTTCTATATTTTTCTTGTGTTTATTCATTTGGCTGGAAGATTCCCTTCCCTAGCCTTCTGGAAGTTTCAGTCTTCTAATCTGATTTAGTGACCTTTGTTCACTAGGAAGAACATAGTCCATTTACGTTTGCCAAAGAGTATTTACATGTATTTGCAGTTTAAACAGGAAACATTCTAAAAAATAGAGGGTGTGTTTGTTGAAAACATTATGACTATTAAAGTCAGAGAAGTTACCTAAAACAGAAGATGCTCAGAGTTTGAAACTGGATGGTTATTAATAGATGCTTCTTTGTGTTGACTGGAGTTTAACTGCCAGTCCTTTCTTAAGCCAAGAGATTTTCCCAAAAGAAACACTTCAGTTGTAGGCCCAGTAAAGAAACTGGAATCTGCTTTATGAATTGGCAATAAAAAGAAAAGGTGGGGAGGATAGGTGAAGAAAAGAGAGAGGGAGTCTTCAGATAGGAAACCCCCCTTGCTTCCCTTGGAGTCTCATCTTAAGATTTAAATTAAATTGAAGACCATATTAAGGAATAGAAAATATCAGGATTTTTCTTTGTGACACATAATCAACTTTATCTCTCAAACAATTTACATGATGACTTACAGAACGACTGCATGATGTTGATTCTACAAAAGATGACTGAATTCATTAGGACTACTCATTTGTCTTCAGTTATACTTTCTGCAGTTTCAATTATCTATGGTCATCCATGGTCAGCAGAAAATTCCAGAAATAAACAGTGCATCAGTTTTACATTGCCCTTGGTTCTGAATAGCATGATGAAATCCCCAGCAGTCCTGCTCCCTCCCAATCCATCCTGTCCAGCCAGTGAATCCTCCCTTTGTTTGGCATCTCCATGCTGGTAAGGCTGCCTGATCTTTAGTCATTTAGTAGTCTTCTCAGTGACCAGATCTGTCATGTTACTGCTGTGTTTGTGCTCAAGTAACCCTTATTTCACTTAACAATGGTCCCAAAGTGCAAGAGTAGTGATGCTGGCATATTTTTACAATTATCCTACTGTATTGTTAGCTATTATTATTAATCTCCTACTGTGCCTAATTGATAAATTAAGCCTTTTCATAGGCATATATGTATAAGAAAATGCATAGTACATACAGGGTTCAGTACTATCTGTGTTTTCAGGTATCCACTGTGGGTCTTGGTACATACATAACAGAAGACTACTGCTGTCCACATTTGTAGCAATGATCACCTTTCTTTCATTGTGCAATGGCATATTTCTCATTTGCCTCTGATGGCTCATATAAATGGAGTTTTCTGTCCATATTTCTAGTGTCATTCTGTTCAAAGTTGCATAGGTCTTCCTTACGATGATTAAGGTTTTCTCTGCAGCCCTTATCTTTTTCCTGAGCTCTCATTAGAATCACCTTCGACGTTCTACTCATGGCTTCATAGGCTCTGTCGACCATACACTTCAAAACTCTTTCAGATTCTACTTATTACCCAATTCCAGAGCTGCTTCTGAATTTGTAGGTGTCTGTTATCTCAATACCACACTCTCAGGACCAATTTCTGTCTTAGGTCATTCAGGCTGCTATGATGAAATAACATAATCTGGGATGGGGTGGGAGGTGGGTTGTAAAAAACTGACATTTATTTCTCACAGTTCTGGAGGCTAGTAATCCAAGATGAAGGTACTGGAAGTTTCAGTCTCTTGACAGCCCACTTCCTAGTCCACAGACAGCAACTTCTCCCTGTGTCCCCACATGGGAAAAGGGTGAGGGGCTCTTTGAGATCTCTTCTTTAAGGGCACTAAGCTCATTCATGAGCACTCCATACTCAGGATCTAATGACCTCTCAAATACACATCCTCCTAATACCATCTCCTGGGAAAGGGAGTTTAGGATTTTAAGGTTGAATTTGAGGAGAATGCTAACATTTAGTCTATAAAAGAAGACAGTACAGGAAAACTACAGAAATCAATAAACTCAGCTATTGTTTTGATTAAAATAGAGCCAAGTGCATTTTTGTTTTACATGTTTTACTTTATATTTGTTATTATTCTTCTAACAAACAAATACACATAGTGATAGTTAATTCTTCCATGATGTTTTTGAAAATGTGTTGTTCTGCATTGGCTATAAGTCTCCTCTCTGACTTTGAAGACCTTGGAAAGCTGCCAAATATCTCAGAACTTGTTATCTTGAGTCTTAAAGTGAATAAAATGACCTCAGTACTACCTGCCTTATAAAATGCTCTGCCAATTAATGCATACAGTATGCATATACTTTGAACCAAGTATGTTTTGAGACTGCAGGTTTGGATGTTATTGGAATACACTTGACTCTATATTTCTTTTTATGGAAACAGATATACACACTTAATGTCAAATAGTTTGGATCTTTTTATGAGCTAATATGATTAGCTAATGTGATTAGTAGAATAAGCAGTCTCTTTCCATCTTAGTTTGTGTATCTGCCTTCTCCTAGAACTCAACACAAAATGAGCTTCATGATTCACATTTATGCTAACATGGAGACAGAACCACCTTGTGCAAAACAGGTAAAAGCAGGTATAAGATGCCATAAAGGGAAATGAGACTGAATGTGTTCAATTTCGCTTTGTTTGGCTTATCATGTATCATAGAAATGTGCTCCTACATGCAGTAGAAACAAAAACATCCCTTAACACTCTGTTTGAGCAGTTCAAAATCATATTTTTTATGTTGTGCGAGTTTCAGGTGATAAATCCTCTTCAAGATACATCAGGGGTTCACAAAAATGTAAAAAATATGTTCAAAGTTTGAACTGACTCATATTTTTAGCATTCATGGCAAAGAACTGCTTTTCTAGCCTTAATAGGTTTTCAAATGGACTTTGATGTGTTAGTAAATCAGAATTAGCTTTTTCTTTTTAAGCTCCTGTGTCTTATGTAAATGGCTGTGTTGACTTTTAAGGAATTGAATATTCCAGAAAATGTCATGGAACCTAAAACAACGTAACATTCTGATTTTTAGATCTTAAAGGGATATGGTGTTAAATATAGCTTTTGATACCCATCCAACCTGTGCAAAGTTTTCTCTGTACATGTGACTTTCAAATTTGAGAATTTAGTATGTCAGTGAAGGGAAATCTGTATACCTGCTGAAAACAAAATAGAAATAGAAATTCTGAAGGAATTATTGTAATTTACTTAAATAAGAACTGTAAGTAGTCAAAGACTATTAGTGGAATGACAATAGATTTCTTTTGAGACCTTCAAAACCTTTTTACTACCAAAACAGCTGTTATATTCTGAAAGGCAGTCTCTCTTTACAAAAAGCATTATCCAGAACTTTAACTTATTTTCACAAAGAACATTCTACAAAATTAGTGTACCTTTGTTTAAAAATAAGATTCTCCTACCTGAGGTCTGAAATTTATTATTAATGTGAATATTTTAAGCATTTTTAGAAGAAAATAATTTTGTAAAAGATGTAAGTTATGAAAAATACCACAGTGAAGTACAACATTCACAAACTTACTGGAACCTTGTCCTAAAAATGAACTAATTATTGGATCATATGGCAAACTGGTTAAGAAGGATAAGAAATTACTTTATATCATTAAAAACCATATGACTATCCACCTGCGCTTCTAAAACTTTTTCCTGTTACGTTCTGCTATTTTACTTAGAATTTTTGTCCATTACACTATTATTTTAGGTTAAGGAACAATGTGTTTAGACAGTTGCTCATTAAAGTACTAAACAGAAAAGGTAGTAGATTAAGCTTTTCACCCACAATTTATATATTATCTTATAATGTGTGAGAGACAACAGCATAATAAAGATAAATTCTTCATCAGTCTTAGTAACAATAGGGCACTTTTTGCTTTTATGCCTCTCATTTTATTTAAATTCCTTTGTGAAATTATGTAAGTTCTTTGAAATATTGCTTTAAAATATATTTAGTTTTTAACATATTTTAAAAATATGGAAATGTATAACATGTGAAATTTCCCTATCAGCGTTTCCTGTATATTTTCTCCAGCTTTGTCTTGAATTACAGACAGATATTGTACAACTATACCACCCACCCACACAAATTTATTCATTTACACATATTTCTTTTTAGTGCTGTTTTGCAAAATTGGGATATTAATTATACTTCTCTGCAACTTGCTTTACTTACTATTTTTATTTTTTTCTATCTTTTTGCAGCTTTGTGATAATCCCAAGCATTAAGACACATTATAATGTCAGTGGAATAAATTAGACAATACAGTGCCAATTAACTAAGGTTTCCAGAGGCAACTCTTTTTGTTATTGATACAATGCAAATACAAGTTTTTCATGCAGGGCTGCCAGGGCCCTGGAGTAGAAATCTAAATCATAACCAAAACAAACATTATCACCACATAGAAAGTAACAAAAAACATTTCATGTGGGTTTGGAGTATTTGAATAATATTTTAATAATTAGGTTTTAAAGCAGAAACTGACAGCTTTGTCTACTTCACCCATCCTGTGGTGTCAGATGCAGGTTATGGATCTGGCTGACAGGGAAATTGAGGTAGGAAAATAAAATAAACAAAATGATATTATGTACCTGTGCTTTGGTTTAAGGATGATAAAATTATTTAACCTTATGTCCACATTCCTGGAGTGGTTCCTTACCCCTACCTAAGAAAATCCACCTCTTACTTCTTCAACTGTTCAGATCTCAATCAACACAGCTTTTTGTCATTAGCATGCTGGAAATGCATTGTTTTCATGAAATGAATTACTAGTTACATCAAAATGAATATTAGCATGAACTCTCATTGGCCCATAATGTTAAAATATTCAAAATATATGAATTGGCTAAAATAATTTACAGAAAATCCCTACAGTGGCATTATCAAGGTACAAAAATCCAGAGGTGTCTTTGCCTTTGACCTGGTCCAATGCCCATGGCTTGAAGTCTCTTTAGCCCTACATTCAGATGTTGACACAGGAGAATTTCTCATTACCTGATGCTGACTGAAAAAGATAAAAGAACATCACTTATTTTGTCCTTAGAGGACTGAAAGGCAGAGAAGCTACAAATAGAAGTTGTACCTCAAAATTTTTGAAACAATACATATGAACTGTTTTGCATCTGCTGTGGGGGTCTGATGAATGACAATGTATGTAACACATTTGGCTCTGAGACACACAGGATGAAATATAGGTGGAGAGAAGGAATTAATAACCATCACTCATCTCCTTTTTCTGAGGTTACTTTTACCTACCAAAATGAACCTAAAAATTTTACCTGAACAAATTGGCTCAGATAGATTGCAACATTGACTTTATTGTTTGTCCTAGGGCTGCCCCTGGGCTGAACCTAATGAAACTCAGGCGGGTTATATGAAAACTGCAATAGCCTGTATCTCTACACTTTCTGCAACCTGGTTTCTGCACAGAGAAATGCTGCATGTGTTTGCTGTAGGCAAATCTTAAATAAACCATGACCCCACAAGAAGAAGAGAATGATGTGCAGAAATACTTTAGGGAAGGGATAAGATGGCAATTTTGAATGGGAGCCCACAGGGTACAAGTACTCATATTCCATTACCAACTTCAGAAGCTTAATTACTTTGGAAAACCATTTTTCACCTTATTTTAGTAATATGTCAAGCATTTCAGGTGGTCTGCAAAAGCCGTATAGCCCATGGTCTTAGCCTACCTCGTCAAACATCAGGCAGAAACACTTTCTAAACCCATTAAAAAGAGTCAAGCAGGAAATTGTGAGTATATAGTATTAAGGAGATGGACTTGCTATTCTTAAATTTATAGAAAAAAAAATTCTGTATTTTCTTCGTCAATCTCCACTTAATGACAGATTTGTTTTTTATAAAAAGATGCATGACAGATAATACTTATTTAAACTTACAGCGGTAAACACGATGAAATATTCTTGTTTTTATCCAGACATCTGTAAGAATTTCAGAATTATTACCCTTGACAAATTCATGTATGACTTTTTTTGTGGAAATCTTCAACTTTTGTTCTCACTGCTCCCTGTCTTCCCCCACCAACAAACCCTGAATACGTGGGAATTTCTCACAAGCTATTATTTAACTGCATTCCACATGTCCATCAGATGTCCTACACAAGATGGGTTAAATCAAAGCTTTTTCTTTGTGGGAGAAGATAACAACTGTTTTATATTAAATGCATAAAAATTTTTCTCAATACTACAGGGTGATAAAGACAAGAAAAGGCCACTTTAAAAGGGAGCCATTTGAAAAAATAAAATAAGGCAGAAATGCTTCACTTTCCTACCCAATATGGAAATAATTTTGCAAAAACTAAACTCTAATGATGGAATTAAATTTATTTTATATTGAGTAAAAGTTACGTTATGCATGAAGCAACATAAAAATTTTTGGACAACAAAGAGTGATTCAGGACAACATAGTCACTACTGCTCTTGGTGTGGTTTTTAGGGGGTTGCATAATTGGTGAGTTCCTTACCATCACCTCACCTGGGAAGAGAAAGGGGTCAGGGAACTCCATCCCCTACCCAAGGGAAGCCCTGAGGAGTGTGCTGTGAGGAACACTGCACTCCAGCCCAGATACTAAGCTTTTCCTATGGTCTTTGCAAGCCCCATACCTTAGGAGATTCCCTAAGTTCCCACCAGGGCCCTAGGTTTCAAGCAAAAAACTGGGCAGCCATTTGGGCAGACACCAAGCTAGCAGCAGGATTTTTTTTTTCATACCCAGGTGGCACCTAGGACCCCATTGAGACAGAACCATTTACTCTCCTGGAAAGAGGGCTGAAGCCAGGGAGCCAAGTAGTGTAGCTCAGCAGATCACACCCACACAGAGCCCAGCAAGCTAAGATCCACTGACTTGAAATTCTCACTACCAGCACAGAAGCCTGAAGCCAACCTGGGATGCTGTGGCTTGGTGTGGGGAGGGGCGCCTGCCATTACTGAGGCTTGAGTAGGCGGTTTTCCCCTCACAGTGTAAACAAAGCCTCTGGACAGTTAGAACTCATCGGAGTCCACCCACAGCTGGGCAAAACCACTGTAGCCAGACTGCCTCTCTATATTCCTCCTCTCTGGGCAGGGCAACTGTGAAAAGAAGGCAGCAACCCCAGTCAGGGGACTATAGATAAAACTGCCATCTCCCTGGGATAGAGCACCTAGGGAAAGGGACAGCAGTGGGCACAGCTTTAGCAGACTTGAACATTCCTGCCTGCTGGCTCTGAAGAGAGCAGTGGATCTGCCAGCACAGCGTTCAAGCTCTGCTAAGCAACAGACTACCTCCTCAAGTGGGTCCCTGACCCCCAGGCCTCTTGACTGGGAGACACCTCCAAGTACAGTTTGACAAACACCTCACACAGGAGAGATCTAACTGGCATCTGGTGGTTGCCCCTCTGTGACAAAGCTCCCAGAGGAAGGAAGAGGCAACAATCTTTGCTGTGCTGCAGCCTCCACCAGTGATACCCACGCAAACAGGGACTGGAGTGGACCTCCAGCACGCCCCAGCAGACCTGCAACAGAGGGACATGACTGGTAGAAGAAAACCTAACAAACAGAAAGGAATACCATCACCACCAACAAAAAGGACACCCACACAAAAACCTCATCCAAAAGTCACCAACATCAAAAACCAAAGGTAGATAAATTCCTGAATTTGAGGAAAAACCAGCGCAAAAAGCCTGAAAATTCCAAAACCAGAATGCCTCTTCTTCTCCAAAGGATCACAACTTCTCACCAGCAAGAGAACAAAACCGGATGGAGAATGAGTTTGATGAACTGACCAAAGTAGGCTTCAGGAGCTAGGTAATAATAAACTCTTCTGAGCTAAAGGAGCATGTTCTAATCCAATGCAAAGAAGCTGAGGACATTGAAAAAAGGTTAGAGGAATTGCTAACTAGAATAACCAGTATAGAGAAGACCATAAAAGACCTGATGGAGCTGAAAAACACAGCATGAGAACTTCGTGAAGCATACACAAGTGTCAATAGCCAAATTGATCATACAAAGGAAAGGATATCAGAGATTGAAGATCAACTTAATGAAATAAAGCATAAAGACAAGATTAGAGGAAAAAAGAAGGAAAATGAATGAGCAAATCCCCCAAGAAACATAAGACCATGTGAGAAGGCCAAACCTACATTTGCTTGGTGTACCTGAAAGTGACAGCGAGAATGGAACCAAGTGGGAAACACTCTTCAGGGTATTATCTAGGAGAACTTCAGCAACCTAGCAAGACAGGCCAACATTCAAATTCAGGAAATATAGAGATCAAAGATACTCCTTGAAAAAAGGAACTCCAAGACATATAATCATCAGATTCACCAAGGTTGAAATGAAGGAAGTAATGTTAAGGGCAGCCAGAGAGAAAGTCTGGGTTACTCAAAAAGGGAAGCCCATCAGACAAACAGTGGATCTCTATGCAGAAACCCTACAAGCCAGAACTGGCTTGTAGGGTTTATTCAACATTCTTAAAGAAAAGAATTTTCAACCCAGAATTTCTTATCCAACCAAAGTAATCTACATAAGTGAATGAGAAATAAAATTCCTTACAGACAAGCAAATGCTGAGCGATTTTGTCACCACCAGGTCTGCCTTACAAGAGCACCTGAAGGAAGCACTAAATAAGGAGAGGAAAAACCAGTACTAGCCACTGCAGAAACATACCAAAATATAAAGTCCTGAGACACTGTGAAGAAACAGCATGAACTAGCAAAATAAGCAGCTAGCATCATAAGGACAGGATCAGATTCACAGATAACTATATTAACCTTAAATGTAAACAGGCTAAATGCCCCAACTAAGATACACAGACTGGCAAATTGGATAAAAAATCAAGACCTATCCGGTGTGCTATATTCAGGAGACCCATCTCATGAGCAAAGATAACATATAGGCTCACAATAAAGGGATGGAGGAAACCAATGAGAATGCTGACACAATGTACCAGAATCTCTGATCTCTGGGACACAACTAAAGCATTGTATAGAGGGAAATTTATACCACTAAATACCCGCAGTAGAAAGTGGGAAAGGTCTAAAGTCAACAACCTAACATCACAATTGAAAGAACTAAAGAAACAAGAGCAAGCAAATTCAAAAGCTAGCAGAAGACAAGAAATAGCTAAGATCACGGCAGAACTAAAGGAGATAGAGACATGAAAAACCCTTCAAAATATCAATGAATCCAGGAGCTGATATTTGACAAGATTATCAAAATAGATAGACTGCTAGCTAGACTAATGAAGAAGAAAATAGAGAAGAATTAAATAGACACAGTAAAAGTAATAAAAGGGACATCACCACTGATCCCAAAGAAATACCAACTACCATCTGAGAATACTATAAACAGCTCTACACAAATGAACTAAAACATCTACAAGAAATTGATAAATTCCTGGACACACACATCCTCCTGAGACTAAACCAGGAAGAAGTTGAATCCCTGAATAGACCAATAAAAAGTTCTGAAGTTGAGGCAGTAATTACTAGCCTACCAACCAAAAACGGCACAGAATCAGGCAGATTCACAGTCGAATTCTACCAGAGGTACAAAGGGTAGCTGGTACCACTACTTCTAAAACTATTACAAACAATAGAAAAAGAGGGATTCATCCCTAACTCATTATATGAGGCCAGCATCATCCTGATATTAAATCCTGACAGAGACACAACAAAAAAATAAAAATAGAATTTCAGGCCAATATCCCTGATGAACATCGATGCAAAAATCATTAATTAAAATACTGGCAAACCGAATCCAGCAGCCCTTTACAAAGCTTATCCATGATGATCAAGTCTGGTTCATCCCTGAGATGCAAGGCTGATTTAACAAGGGCAAATCAATAACATAATCCATTGCATAAACAGAACCAAAGACAAAAACCACATGATATCTCTATAGATGCAGAAAAGGCCTTCGGTAAAAATTCAACATCCTTTTATGCTAAAAATTCTCAAAAAATTAGGTATTGATGGAATATATCTCAAAATATTAAGAGATATTTATGACAAACCCACACCCAATATCATACTGAATGGGCAAAAGATGGAAGCATTTCATTTGATAACTGGCACAAGACAAAGATGCCCTCTCTCAAAACTCCTATTCAACATAATATTGGAAGTTCTGGCCATGGCAATCAAGCAAGAGAAAGAAATAAAGGATATTCAAATAGGAAGAGAGGAAGTCAAATTGTCTCTGTTTGCAGATGACATGATTGTATATTTAGAAAAACCCATCATCTGAGCCCCAAATCTCCTTAAGCCAATAAGTAACTTCAGCAAAGTCTGAGGATACAAAATCAATGTGCAAAAAATCACAAACATTCCTGCACACCAATTGTAGACAAACAGAGAGCCAAATCATGAGTGAACTCCCATTCACAATTGCTGCAAAGGGAATAAAATACCTGGGAATAAAACTTAAAAGGGATGTGAAGGACCTCTTCAAGGAGAACTGCAAACCACTGCTCAAGGGAACAAGAGAGGACACAAACAAATGGAAAAACATCCCATGCTCATGGATAGGAAGAATCAATATTGTGGAATTGGCCATACTGCACAAAGTAATTCCTAGATTCAGTCCTCTCCCCGTCAAGCTACCACTGACTTTCTTCACAGAATTAGAAAAAAAAAACTACCTTAAATTTCATAAGGAAACAAAAATGAGCCCATATATACAATCCTAAGCAGAAAAAAAATAGCTGCAGGCATCACCTTACCTGACTTCAAACTATAGTACAAGGCCATAGTAACCAAAACAGCATGGTTCTCATACCAAAACAGATGTATCGATTAGTGGAACAGAACAGAGGCCTCAGAAATAATGCCACACATCTACAACCATCTGATCTTTGACAAACCTGACAAAAACAAGCAATGGGGAAAGGATTTCCTAATTAATAAATGGTGTTGGGAAAACTGGCAAGCCATATGCGGAAAACAGAAACTGGACCCCTTCTTTACACCTTTTACAAAAATTAACTCAAGATGG
The DNA here is from genome assembly GCF_000001405.40 of Homo sapiens. NCBI lineage: Eukaryota > Metazoa > Chordata > Mammalia > Primates > Hominidae > Homo > Homo sapiens. The sequence goes on from NC_000024.10 coordinate 14,773,928, forward strand.
AGTAAAGACTTAAACATGAGACTTAAAACCTCTTTTAAGGACCCACAGCATTTCTGAGCATCAACACATTCATCATCAACCCAAAACCATGGAGGCAGAAGGAGGGAAAGCATTTGAAAAACTAGAAGAAAATCTAGGCAGTACCATTTAGGACATAGACATGGACAAAGAAAATACTTCATGACTAAAACACCAAAAGCAATGGCAACAGAAGCCAAAATTGACAACTGGGATCTGATTAAACTAAAAAGCTTCTGCACAGCAAAAGGAACTATTACCAGAGTGAACAGGCAACCTACAGAACGGGAGAACAAATTTGCAATCTATCCATTTCACCAAGGGCTAATATCCAGAATCTAAAAGGAACTTAAACAAATGTACACACACAAAAAATCAAACAACCCATCAAAAATTGGGAGAAGGACATGAACAGACACTTCTCAAAAGAAGACGTAAGTGCAGCCAACAAGCATATGAAAAAAAGCTAATCATCACTTGTCATTAGAGAAATGCAAACCAAAACCACAATGAGATACCATCTCATGCCAGTTAGAATGGCAATCATTAAAAAGTCAGGAAACAACAAGTTCTGGAGAGGATGTGGAGAAGTAGGAATGCTTTTACACTGTTTGTGGGAGTGTAAATTAGTTCATCCATTGTGGAAGACAATGTGGTGATTCCTCAAGGATCTGGAACAAAAAATACCATTTGACCCAGCAATTCCATTACTGGGTATATACCTAAAGGATTATAAATCATTCTACCTTAAAGAACATGCACATGTATGTTTATTGTGGCCCTGTTCACAATAGCAAACACTTGAACCAACCCACATGTCCATCAATGATAGACTACTTAAAGAAATGTGGCACATATACACCAGGGACTACTATGCAGCCATAAAAAAGATGAGTTCATGTCTTTTGCAGGGACATGGATGAAGCTGCAAACTATGTTCTCAGCAAACTAACACAGGAGCAGAAACCAAACACTCTTATGTTCTCAGTCATAAGTGGGAGTTGAACAAGGAGAACACATGGACACAGGAAGGGGAACATCACGCACCCGGGCTTGTCAGGGCTTAGGGGTTAGGGGAGGAATAGCGTCAGGAGAAATACCTATGTAGATGATAGCTTGATGGGTGCAAGAAACCACCATGGCACGGTATATATACCTCTGTAACAAGCCTGCATATTCTGCACATGTATCCCAGAACTTAAAGTATAAGAAAAAAATATGTAAACAAATTATAATAGGAAAATGTCATATTCATATTATGAATATGTACTTCAAATTAGCTGTTGAATAAAATTAATGAAGTCACTTAAAAAATAAAATGCAGGTTATTCTGGAGGGTATTAAATATTTATCAGTAACTATCATTTGTTAAAAACCAGGTATCCCCAATATGTTACTGGATGTGTGAGAAAGAGTTTCTGGAGACGTATTTTGGGGAGTCCACTACAACTGATGAATTTCATCTCTTCTTTGTCTCTCTGTCTCTGACTCTGACACTCTCTGCCTCTCACTGATTGCTTCTCTCTGTCTTTACATACACACACACACACACACCATACACAGAATATTTCAGAAATTCTCAACACACACCACCAGTAAGTAATGCCAACAATTAGATTATAAAACTGGCAGTAATTTTCTTTCAATGCGGCTTTCTATTTCATTATGTCACAAATACCAAAGTAACAGGTGGACAATCAGGATACATTCTGTCATGTTTACATTATGTAATAACTAATCTAAAACAAATGCCCAGTGGAGGGTTTCTTAGCTTTCTGTCAGTTTTTCAAATGTTTTCCCTCTTCCTGCCTCCCTGGTCTCAGGTTGGCGATGCATGTGCTGGTGCTCAGAGATGCTATGGGTCCTTAGAAGGGGTTTTGAGCTGGGGCATAGATGATTATTTCCAAAGCAGTCTGCCAAACCCTCAGTTCCTGTAATTCTACACATTTTCAGGCAATCGAAACACAATGAGAAAGATAGTTTGGGTGGTTCTCGGATTGCAAACTTAGGCAGCCACAGTCTCAACTAGCAATACTAATTTTTCTCATCCTTTCCATTTCTACCCAGTGTATAATTTATATAAATTTCCTCTGCAAACCAAAAAAATGAACTATTCCTTATTTTATGATGTTATGAATGTGTCTGTGTCTTAGACTATAACTGTTGGCATAGAAACCAGCTTATGCTTCTATAACTTTTGTTGTATGATCTTTAAAATTTTGACTTGCTGGTAAATATAAATATAAATATAGAAATAAATATAAATATAAATATATTTGCCTGAGTGTCAAAATTATATATATAAAATGTATGACTGTGTGTATATATACACAAATATTTTATGTAGATTATATATATAATGTAATGTAAAACATATATTACATCATATATTACAGATTAGCTATATATAACATATTTGTTTTATATTTATATTTATATATTATGTAATGTATAATATATATTTTATATAATTATATATATATAATTTCATTAGTTGTATCATTTTCTCCAGTTTGATTTCCAGTGGTGCAGAACATTTTATTCATATTCCTGATACCAGGAAAGGGTGCATATTGACAGTGCAACTCAAGTAAAATATTTAGAAGACACATGGCTATAATTAGTTACTTGCATTTTTCCTGAAAGCTTTTCATGGTATTGCCTATTTAAGAATATCTTGCTTTGCTTTCTGAGCAAATAAACTACACTAGCAGCATTTCTTGAATCTCTTTGATCTGTGTGGTGTGTTGGTGTGGTTTTACACAGGATTTTGCCTATTTTTTTTTAAGTGTGGATATTCCTCCTTTTATCTTTTAACAAATATTGAAATATTTTAAAATTTTTAATACTAGTCTCATTAGGAATGAGAGTTTCCTATAATTTTCCTGGGGTAATGTTATACAATTCATTTCTTAAAAAAATACTTCTTAAATTTTGTTAATGTTCTGATTATTTTTCTGTCATTATTTTGGCACTTTGTATTGTTACATTATGATTCCATATCCTCCTTTGATTCCAGCACTGAGAATTGGTTTTCATTTCTATGAACTCATTACTGAGGTCCTTGTTTCTTTTGAGATATTAAACTTGACCCTGATTTTTTTTCTTCCCTGTGAGAGTGGAAATTATCATTCTTTTCTACTGGTTCAGCAAAAAAGAAATGCTACTTCCTAAAGAATATATTTTTTCTATGATTAAATATGTTTTAGATAAAACAAAAGCTTTTTACATCTGTCCATAAAGTGTAGGTTTTGAAATTCTCATTGGTGATAGCTATGTTTATTTTCTTACCTGACACATCAGCTACCACAGTTAAATTCGGTGAACTATTTCTGTATCACTTACTGATGAAGAAATAAATGGCTGTCTCATGTTGGTAAGTGTATTGCTGTTCCACAATCTGAATATATTTTGCTTAAACCTTGAGGTGTTACCACATGGTAAGGATTTTAAAATCACACTCAGATCATAATAGTAGTTATCTACTTTCAATGTTGTAAAGTCAGATATACCATTGCAAGTTTAAAAACAGAGAGTACTTTGTAGTTTAAGTATCTGATTTACCTTGATAAACACTTTCATCAATTTTGAGAGCATATACAAGCTATATTCTGCTCTTAAATTTTCAAGGTTTGGGGGTGTGGGGGAGAGTGGGAAGGGGAAGGAGGAGAGGGTGAGTGTGAGGGGGGAAGAGGGAGGGAGGAAGAGAGGAAGAGAGAGAGAGATAGACAGAGAGAGACAGAGAGAGAAATTGCCGTGGTTCATGGAGCCATCTAGCTACAAATGTCAGTTTATGAGACCAGACACAATGGCTCATGCCTGTAATCCCAGCACTTTGGGATGTTGAGGCAGGAGGAATACTTGAGCCCAGGAGTTTGAGATCAGATTGGGCAACATAGTGAGACCCCATCTTTTCAAAAAATAAAAAATATAAAAAATTATTCAGGTGTGGTGGTGCCTGCCTGTAGTCCCAACTACTTGAGAGGCTAAGCCTGGAGGATCATTGAGCCCTGGAGTTGGAGGTTGCAGTGAGCTATGATTGCACCACTGCATTCCAGCCTGGGTGACAGCACAAAACCCTGTCTCTGTATAAATAAATAAATAAATAAATAAATAAATAAATAAATAAATAACTATGTATGTTCTTTCCAGCTTTTCATAGTCCCCCAAAGCCTTGCAGCCTTCCAAAACTTGATTTTCTTCTAAATTTCTCAGAAAATTGAGGGGAAAATAGCACTTAGAATTTGACGACAGCTGTCTACATCACCTGGAATCTCTGGCAGAACACCAATTCAGTCTCTTCTTTGAGCTTCACAACGCAGGCATATATTACAATTTTATTAGGTTGAGCACATATGGCCTTTACCCTCAGGAGTTCCTCCATAGTTCCTCCATGCTAATCTCCGTAGAGAGAGGCATTTCTCCACTTTTATTCAAATTAACAGCCCATAAAAGAAAAGACATCTTAAAGGCTGCAGCCTCTCTGGGACTTGCATGGGGCGTCTCCTATTATTGTGCATAATGCTGTGCTGAAATACAGGTCAAATACTCTAACATCCTTTTGCTCATTATATGAACATTATGCATATTGCAGTTTGAAACTAGGAAGAGAGAAGAGCAATATTACAGGCGAACATGAATGCATCAGAATATGATAACTTTAAATTAGAAGAGAAGGCTCTCAATTTTGAATTCTCAGTGTTTCTCTTCTAATACACACAATGATGTCTTTCACATGATTTTAATTTTGATTATTATGGATAAATAATAGATGTATATATGTATGCAGTGTTTTCCCACAGGTGTGAAATGTGTAATAATCAAGTCACAGTAGTTGCAGCATTTATTACGGCAGGTATTTATTCCTTCTCTGTGTTAAGAGCATTCCAGCTCTACTCTTTAGTTATTTTAAAATACACAACAAATTATTTTTATTGAATCACTCTGCTATGCTACCAAATAGTAGATTTTTTTCTTTTTTGAGACAGAGTCTGGCTTTGTCGCCCAGGCTGGAGTGCAGTTTTGTGATCTTAGCTCACTGCCACCTCGATCTCCTGGGCTCAAGCAATCCTTCCACCTTAGCCTCCTGAGTAGCTGAGGTGACAGGCCCATGACACCATGCCCAGCTAATTAGTATCATTTTTAATTTTGTACAGATGAGGTCTCACTGTGTTGCCCAGGCTGGTCTCAAATTCCTGAGCTCAAATGATCCTCCTGCCTTGATCTCCCAATATGCTCATATTTCAGATGTGAAACTCTGCCCAGCTGATAGGAATCTTTCATAGAGTTTCCCAATAACTGAGCTTTCAAAGATTTTGGATAGCGACTGAGATAGTGCAAAGATCTCTCTAAATAACAAGTCTGACCAGGGACCTTGTGTTACTTATATGAATACACTGAGGTTGCTGTCTGTCTCTTTGTTAATGTATAAGCAGAGAATGGTATATTGATGCTTATCAGATTTTCAGTTTAATATTGAAGCATTACAAATTAAAATATAAGGTGTGGGATACATGCAATTTTACTTTAGGGGTATGCAAAACCTGAGGGCCCCCAAAGCAGAAGAAGGCATTCAGCCCCTACTCTGCATTTCCTCCCTCCTGAGTTGCCAGCCAGCCAGCCAGCCTGTCTTACAGATTCCAGACTTGCCAGTTCCCAGATTGCGTGAGTCAATTCCTTAAAATAGATCGATCTAATAAATTTATCCTATATTGGTGAACAAATTTAGCACAGAACTTTGATATATATTAGTACCACTTATTATTTTTAGAAAAGTTGGAATTTGAATAACTTATACCAAAGTTTAATTCGTCATCTGGTGTGTATGTTATAAATGCACACCCACTCACAGAGACCTATTCATGGCCTCACATAAAAATAGGCAATAGATACAGGAAAAGACAGGCAGCCATAGAAGGTCTTAGATAAGAAACCCCATCCTTCGCACACTCACTCAAGAACGTTGTTCCCAACTTCTACATCTTTTGTAGTTTATATCCACTGGGCACCCCTAACATCCATCCACATTCTTTCATTTATCCCATTTGGAAATAAGCATCTGACCTGCACTTTCTCTGCCTGATGTGGCTGTATGTCTTTGTTTCTCTAGCAACCATCTGCTCGTCTTCCAAGAGTCCTCACTGATCACATCTCAACTCCTCTTCACCTATCCTTTCTTAAATCCACTCCACTTCACCAAACTCCTCTTGCCAATTATACAATTGGATCTTAGGCCCCACAAAAGTGGAGCTACTATTCCTAATGTTCCTAAAAAATGACCATTCTGCATTTTCCCTCCAATCTCCACTGCCTCTATTTTTGGAAAAAAATTTCATCTTTGAAAAAGCATTTAAGACCAACTTTTTTTCCCACTCTGGTGGGAAAAGAAATATTGCTGAATGCAGAGGACAACTACATGAATTCATACTACTTGCTCTGGCAATATTCCCAGATCCTTATCCTGGAGCATTTGTGGTAGTTGGGAGGATGGATTTTCTAGCAGTATATAGACTGAATGTGTATGTCCCCCAAAAATTCATATGTTGAAACCTAGTCCTCAACTGTGTAGGTATTTGGAAGTGGGGCTTTGGGAGGTAATAAGGCCATGAGAGTGGAGCCCCATGAGTGGAATTCCTACCATTACAAAAGGGTCCCCAGAATTCCTACCATTACAAAAGGCGCCATTGCAAAAGACACCCTCATCCCTTTTACCATGTGAGGACACAGCGAGAAGGTGCTGTCTATGACCCAGAAAGTGAGTCCTCACCAGCCACTGAATCTGCCTTGATCTTGGACTTCTGGTGTCCAGAACTGTGATCAGTTTTTGTTTTTTACAAACCATGGGTACAGTCTTTTGTTTTAGCAGCCAAAGCAGGTAAGATAGGTGATGCTGGAAAGTAATGGAGATGTCCACAAACACCCTGAATCATGTACTGCTTCCCAACCCCCTGTCCTCCTAGCAGAGACAGCAGGAAAAAGAAGGCTTACTTCCTCCAGATTTGATGCTCTTCTACCCACAGTAATGACAGACAGGTTGCCTTATATTTTTATTGTGTTTGGTTCATCTGATCAATTCACAAATTGCTCAAATGTCAGAAAAATGGGTCAAAGGGCCAGTTTGGATTTCTGTGGTAGAAAAAGAAAATGCAAAAGACTAGATCCTGGTGTATTCCTAGACTGTAAGAAAGTTCTTATTTTACAAAGCCATAAATAAATATGACATTTCTGGTGCCTGAGAATTTGAGGCAGGTAGTACTCCCGTGAAGTAAGATAATGTCTTATGTAAAATAATAAATTCATTCAAAACCATGGGAATCATTGTAACTTTCATTGTCAAGAAAGAAACACATAATTTTGGATGTAGGTGAACACTAATTATTAAAGATGATTGTTCTCAGAACAAGTTTATTCCGATTTGTAGCTACAGCAATCTAAGAGAAAAGCAATACAGCAACCACAACCAATATGAGGCTTCTTATAATCATGTTGGGGTGGGGATGCTTCTTCTCTGTCCTACATCCTGAGAATGACTGAAGGTTTCCTCCTGTCATGCGATCTTCCCTTCATTTGCTATATTCTAGATTTGCTAGTCTAGTGCACTCACTCCAGGAACTCTGTACTTGTACTCAGCATTTACTGGGTGGTGTATATCTGTCACAGGTTATAAGTTTCATGAAAAGCATGTATCATGCCTCCCTTTTTCCTCATGCACGCATGCAGCAAGCCAATTAAGGGCATAAAACACAGCACATAAAGCCCTCCATTGATTGACTTAAATTAATTTATGAACAGTTGCAAGGGTAACTGAGGGCCCACATGGTTTTCATGTATCATTTAAAAAAATTTTAAATAATGTGATTTGATTTTTTATCTATATTCTTATTCTATAGAAATTAATCTATCATATTTCAATAGTAACATGGTTGACATTGAGGTTTAATATAATATGTTGGAACACACATGATACCTTGATTCTGAATCAACACTGTATGTGCAATTTGATGTCTGATGTATGATTTGGGGCAGTTTGAAGACCAGACATTTCTTTGTACTGAGCCTCTCCCATTCCCTGTGTGTGAAGGGAACCGTGGGAATAAATCAGTCTTCAATGGATAGGACAGTTGCCTTTGTCCCTGGAAGGTTTCATCAACTGATCACAGCAGTCTGTTTTTCTGAGTCAAGATGCAACTTCCCCTTGATGTAGGACACTACATATAGTGTAGTGTGCTATTCCATATCTATTGGAATCATCACACATGATCAGTCAGGTTTAATGTCAAGTCAGGTTTAATGTCAAGGGTGTGATAGATAGAAATGGATGCAGATAGTCTTGCAAATTTAGTTGAACCCTCTCCCAGCATCTTCTGCTGGCCTCAGTGACTATCTTCTTGAATAGAATGTTCTGGGAGTAATGATTTGGGACTTCCAAGGATGGATTATAAGGAACTATTAAGCTTCCATTTAGGACATTTGGAGTGCTGATTCTTGTGACATTTCCTTTTGGAACCCATACCTCATGCTGCAAGTGTTCAAGCCCCATGGAGAAGCTATGCATGGTGCTCCAATCAGTAGCTTTTGCTTCATTTCCAGTTGACAACCAGCAGTGCCACCATGTGAGTGACCCATTAAGGACATCCCATCTGATTGAGAACTCCTATCCCTTAGCTAACTCAGGAACTCTCAAGAGAGAACTTCTCAGCTAATCCCAGTCAACTCACAGAATTATGGGAGATCCTCATAAAAGAGTGTTTGAAGCCATACATTATGGGCATGTTTGTTACACAGCAATAGCTAACCATTGTTACACAGCAATAGCTAACCAGAGCAGGCATTGAAACCAGAAGTGAGGATCTCTTTCAACAGAAACCTAAAGTAAGTGGTGTTGGATTTGAGGCCAAATGGTATATGGAAGCTAGAACCTCCATGGGGCGAGACAAAGGGCTTAAAGAACAAGGAAAGAAAATTGGAGGCTGGGGCATTGGAACTGATGAAGAGAACTCTTTGAATGACTGACTCACAACAGTGAGCACTTTTCTCACTATTGGTGAGAGAAGTAACCTTTTGCATTGTGCAACTGCATGCAAACTGGATTTTGTCTTTTGAAATAGAAAGATGGCATCTCAACACATTTGTCATGTGTAGTTCCTAATAAGCTTAATACTTAACATAAAGTTCACAGGCCTGTGTTATTTATAATCTTAGTATAGTATAGTTTACACTGGATGGCAAAAGGTCACATATACAATGACAATAATAGATTCTTTTAAAATTTATTTTGGTTACACTTAAATGTAAATTGTGAACATCATTTCTATTTTCTATTATACCCCATGGCTTTTCTATTGTTTGAGTCATACTAAGTCTATTTTTATTGCATAAATTTTGCAACATATATTCTAACAGGAAAAATAAAATTATAAAACATATGTTTTATATATGTCTTTCCTTTAAACGTGAGATTTTAACTAGGTTTTCTTCTTCTCTGTTACTATGCATATGTCTTTTTATTCTTTGGATCAATATATTCCCACATCCCCTGGAACATTTTTTGGAAAGTTGGCAGTGCTCCTATAAATTCTTTTTAGTCTCTATCTGCCTGACATATATTTAGGTTCCATATATATTTATCATTTTCTACTTAAATATACATATTTCCATTTTTATGCTCATGCTATTCTGCAAATGTCTGATTTTTAAGGATGAGACATGCATTTAAAAAGGACATCTGTATCTTCTTTCAGAATATTTTTTCCTTAATATGTGTTACTTTCATATTTGAAATTTCATACCCACAAACATACACATACAAACATGTGTGCATAATATACATCTCACAGAAATATCCACCACTTTGGGAAAATGTCATTTCTGTTGAAAATGTCTTTACAGCCACAAAATATATATTATTTCTTGGCCTAAGCCACAGATCCTCTGTCACCACTATCAATTCATCCCCAGGGTCTAATCACTTGAAATTAATATTGTTTCTTTGAAGAATTTCAGAATTAATTTTTTTCCTCAAAATTTCATGAACTTGCATGCATTTTTTACCTCAGACCTTGAACACTCTGGACAAATTCCTTTATCCCTGTAAATTTTTTAACTAATTCTAAACAAAATACCTTTGTTCACTTTTCCCCTAAATTTGCTAACTTTCATGCATTTTGTTTTGTGACTTGAAAATGCTCTGGAAACACTTCTTTATGCCCATGATTCTTTAATTCTAAACAAGCTACTTTTATCAATGCTGACAAGGTTGTAGAGAATAGGAAATCCTTATACCATATTGGTGGGAGTGTAAATTCTTTCAACTATTGTGGAATGCCGTGTGATAATTCCTTAAAGAGCTAAAAGCAGAAATACCATTTAACCCAGCAATCCCATAACTGTGTATATACCCAAACAATTAGAAATTGTATCAAAAAGACACATGCGGCCGGGCGCGGTGGCTCACGCCTGTAATCCCAGCACTTTGGGAGGCCGAGGCGGGCGGATCACGAGGTCAGGAGATCGAGACCATCTTGGCTAACACGGTGAAACCCCGTCTCTACTAAAAATACAAAAAATTAGCCGGGCGTGTTGGCGGGCGCCTGTAGTCCCAGCTACTTGGGAGGCTGAGGCAGGAGAATGGCGTGAACCCGGGAGGCGGAGCTTGCAGTGAGCCGAGATTGCGCCACCGCACTCCAACCTGGGAGACACAGCGAGAATCCGTCTCAAAAAAAAAAAAAAAAAGACACATGCATGCATATGTTTATTGTAGCACTATTCACAATAGCTAAGACATGGAATCAACATAAATGTCCCTCAGTGTAGACTGAAGAAAATATGGTACATATACATAATGGAATAATATGCAGCCATAAAAAAGAACAAGATCATGTCCTTTGCAGGAACATGGATGAAGCTGCAGGCCATTATCCTTAGCCAACAAATGCAGGAACAGAGAACCAAATACTGCTTTTTCTCACTTGCAAGTGGGAGCTAAAGATGAAAACACATGGGCACAGAGCAGAGCATAATAGACATTGTGACCTATAACAGGGCAGAGGGTGGGGAGAGGGAGAGGATAAGGAAAAATAAGTATCAGTGTACTAGTCTTAGTACCTGTGCCATGAAATAATCTGTTTAACAAACCCCTATGACAGTAGTTTACCTATATAACAAACCTGCACACATATCCTTGCACCTAAAATAAAAGTTTAAAAAAATACCAGCATCCACTACATGTATGGACAGTTTTCTTGGGTTTCACCTCAGAAAACACTGCTAAAATTCAAGATAAAATTACTTTGATTACATGGGTTAATAATAGCTCTCTGTGTGTGTCTTAGTCCCCTCTCTGTTTCCTATGTGTATTACTTGATTTCTAAATAAACTGTAGAAGCTCCAAGTACTTATTTGAATCTCTACATACAATGGTGCCATGTTATCTAATTTTTCCTTTAGGATGTGTACAAAGACTGTACAAAATATTTGAATTGTGTAATGGTATCCAGTATGGATAATAAAGGATAAGTAAATTTTTGAGAAGTCAGTTAAGTCCGGGCGCGGTGGCTCACGCCTGTAATCCCAGCAGTTTGGGAGGCCAAGCGAGCGAATCACGAGGTCAGGAGATCGAGACCATTCTGGCTAACACGGTGAAACCCCGTCTCTACTAAAAATACAAAACATTAGCCGGGCGCTGTGGCGGCTGCCTGTAGTCCCAGCTACTCAGGAGGCTGAAGCAGGAGAATGGCGTGAACCTGGGAGGCGGAGCTTGTAGTGAGCTGAGATCGCACCGCTGCTCTCCAGCCTGGGCGACAGAGCGAGACTCCGTCTCAAAAAAAAAAAAAAAAAAAAAAAGTCAAAAAATAACAGATGCTGGTGAGGTTGCAAAGAAAAGAGAACACTTACACAATATCGGAGAGAGTGTAAATTAAATCAATCATTGTGGAAAGCAGTATAGTGACTCCTCAAAGAGCTAAAAACGGAACCAAAAAGAAAAAAAGAAAAAAAAGAAAAGTCAGTTGAAATGTAATAGATACATAGATGTCTAATTTTTCAGTTCTGAACTATGGACATTTTTGCAAAGATACATGCTTTTCACTTCAGGAGGTATTTGTCAAGGTCTGGAAAAAATTTTGGCTGCCACAGCTAGATTATGGGAGTGAGTACCACTCGCATTTCAAGGCCAGAGGCCAGAGATACTGTTAAGCCACCCACAAGGCATAGGATAGCCCAGCACATTAAATAATCTTCCATCTACACATGTCAATATTCCTGAGGTTGAGAAACCCAGATCTAGAGTAATATTGATGAGCAGTAAGTATAGGCCGAAGCCTCGTTTTCCATATGGCTGTGATAGATTTTTTAAAATAGTCATTGGAAGAAATAAACCCTCGGTTCTATGGAAGTCATAAGGAATATTCTGCCTGTGTGCTTGTACAACCTTGGCTTGGAGCAGCGGTGGATATAATGCAAGTGGCTTTGCAGAATCACGGGGTTTTCTACAGGTCATTTCATCACCCAGGTATTAAGCTGAGTACTCATTAGTTATTTTTCCTGATACTCTCCCTGCTCCCACCTTCCACCCTCAAGGAGGTCTCAGTGTGTGTTACTCTCCTCTATGTGTCGTTGTGTTCTCGTCCTTTAGCTCCCACTTATAAGTAAAGACATTCAGTATTTGCTCCAGATAGTTGCTGGAGGCTATTATCCTTACAATCTTCTATATTAATTACAATGGGGCATCTCCTGAATTTCAGAGGAATACTTGTTTCCTGATTCCTGATGTATATACTATCAGCATATACATAAATACATAAATACATGGCTGTGAAATCACATAAAGCCTTTACTTCCATACTTGACTTCCTGCAGAACCTCCACATTTCTTATGAGCTTCCATTTTTCTTTCTTCTTGGCATTTATCATTACTTAATGAGAGGTTTCCAAAGTTTAGAGTAGTACATTAATTACCATTTCTCCTCTTCCTCCTCCTGCTCCTCCTCCTCTTCCTCCTCCTCTTCCCTTTCCCCTTACTCTCTTTCTCCCCCACCTTCTCCTCTTTCTTCCTCTTCTTCCTTCATTATTTATTTATTTATTTATTTATTTCTGAGACAGCATTTTGCTCTTTCACCCAGGCTAGAATGCAGTGACACCATCATAGCACAGTGCAGCCTCAACCTCCTAGGCTCAAGCAATCCTCCTGTCTTGGCCCCCCAAAGTGCTGGGAATACAGGCATGTGCCACATGCCAGACTACTTTTTATTTTTATTATCTTTTTTTTAAGAGACAGTCGTGCTCTCTTGACCACGCTGGTTTTGAACTCCTGGGCTCGACCAGTCCTCCTTCCTTGACCTCCCAAAATGCTGAGATTACAAGCATGAGTCACCATGCCTGGCCTTAAATTGTGTATCTTCTAATTGATGTAGACTTTTATGCCCTATTTATTTGTGCTTTGAAGTGAACTGATTCTGAATGTCAGTGCTAGAGCACTGCTTAGTGTTTGGGGGTGGTTAGGCAGATATGCAAGTTCTTAGAGCATAAAGCTGCTCACTGCTCCCAGTAGAGGGGCTGCAACTGTTTGGAGGGTTTTAGAATACTACCATTTGTGAGTTATGTATGAAGTTAGGGAAGCCTGCTACTCCTGATTAGACTGGCAACAACTTTTTGCATTATAAGACAACTGAAATTTCATGTCCAAGCCAGGTGATCTGAGCTACCCCTGTTCATTCCAGATCCAGGGCTGGTGAGGCAAAATGGTATCCCCAAAACAGATGGGTCTCTTTACTGAACTTCTGGGTTATCTCCACCATGTAGAGAAGATATAGAATCATGCATTTATAAACTGTATGGTTGAAGATGGCACCCACAGTTACATTTTTCTCCCAAACTTCCCCGGCCTATCTCAGTTCTTAGATATATTGTCTGAGGATTCCTGATTAGGCATAGAGTAATGAGGAAATTTTCTCCTTAGATGATTATGGCAAGCTGCTATAGGCCTGTTATTTATCCTCAGTTAATATGGATATTCTAGTAGGAGGGCACAGTAAGGTAGGAAGAAATGGTCACTCTGAATTCAAAGTATCTCTTAATTTAGAAGGCAAGTTTACCACTCTGAAAGTACTGAGAGTCTCAAATTTCACGTAAGCATATTTTTGAGCATTTTCTACAAATCCTCATTTCTTCAAATCCCATCCTTTGCAACCTCAAGTTTATCCGGAGGATTCACACTGCCTGCAAGTCCTTCTTGTATGCATTTCTTGTTGTTTCTGTAACAAATTATCTCACCTGTAGTGGCTTAAAACACACACATTTATTATATCGCCATTGTGAAGTTCTGTAGTCTGAGTAGCTTGGATGGTTTCTCTTCATTGTCGACCAAGGCTGAATTCAGTGTGTTGGCAGCAGGGTAGTGTTTCTTCCTCCATATTCCAGGGATGCGTTCACTTCCAGAAACATCTGGGTTGTTGGCTACATTCAGTTCCATCAGGTTGCGGGTCCTGCTTCCTTGCAGGCTATTGATTGGCTGAGGGCAAATTTTGGCTTCTTGAGGATCGAAGCATTCCATGACTCCTGGCCTCCTTCCTCATTCTTCAAAGCACAGCTTTTAATGTTCTGAATCTCTCCAACTACCTTTTCTACCTCTTCTGTCCTTTCCCTTGTCATATGGCTTGTCTGACCTGATTGTTCTGTCACTGTTTTCTTGGTTTTCAGTATCATACAATTGTATTGGACACATTTGGTTATTCTAGGATAATCAGCTTATCTTAACATCAGCTGACTAGTAACCTTAATTGTATCTGCAAAGACCATTCATAACAGTACCTAGATACATGTTTAACTTAATAGCGAGGGGAATAAGAATCTTGAGTGGTGTCTTTATAATTCTGTTTACCACACACCCATCCGGGTGGACAGACTCCTTACAACTGGGTTTGAGTACTCAGAACAATGGCCTTCCATCTTTACTCACCCAGGGAGCTCCTCCAGGGAAAGCTCATCTAAGTAAGATCTCACCATCATTTTCATGCCCTTTCTTTTTTTTTTTTTCTTTGTTGTTTTGAGACAGAGCCTTGTTGTCTCTCCCAGACTGGAGTGAAGTGACATGATCTCGGCCCAGTGCTACCTCCACCTCCCAGGTTCAAGCAGTTCTGCTGTTTCAGCCTCCTGAGTAGCTGGGACTACAGGAGTGTGCCACCACACCTAGCTAATTTTTGTACTTTTAGGAGAGATGAGGTTTCGCCATGTTGGTCAGGCTGATCTCAAACTCCTAACCTCAGGTGATCCACCTGCCTCAGACTACCAAAGTTCTGAAATTATAGTCATGAGCCACTGTGCCCAGCCTCTCCTGATCTTTTGAAGTCCAAGTAATAATCCTCAGGTGGCAGTGCACATAACTGTGGAGAATTAACCACTCCTCTCTGATGTTGCTTGTACCCACCGCAAATAATTTGTCTATTTATTTTTACTTTTATTTTCATTTTTTGAGACAGGGTCTCACTCTGTCACCCAGGCTTGAGTGCTGTGGTGCAATTAGAGCTCACTGCAGCCTCGACCTTCTTGGCTCATGTGATCCTCCCACCTCGGCTTCCCAAGTAGCTGGGACTAAAGGTGCATGCCACCACCCATGGTTAATTTTAATTTTTTTTCATTGATACAGAATCTTGTTCAGGCTTGTCTTAGAACTTTTAGGCTCAAGCAGTTCTTCCATCTCAGACTCCCAAAGTGAGCCACTATGCCTGGCCTATTTGTCCTTTTTAATTTAAAAGACTCAACATGTAGAAATAATTTTATCCCTTCACCTTGTGCATTAAGAGCTTCCTTTTTCTTGCAGATGGCTGAACTGAAGCACCATAAGTGATGAGATGACATTTTGTATTTTTACACACATTCCTGCCCTTTCTCAGATGAGTCTAGGCTTTCATCAGTATTTAAATGCTAACTTACTCTGGCAAGACATTTAGGTCCAGAAAATAGTTTAAAAAAATAACATCTTCACAGAAAGAACCTCCAGATAGTTAAAAATAGGGGAACTTGTGGATACACCATATTCTGAACAATTAGTGTTGCTAAATAAACCACATTATTTTAGGTTTTTCTTCCTGATTTTTTTTTTCTTCCTTGTGTTACTTTAATTCTGGAACATAACTGGGCACTGATAATACTACAGCAGACCCTTATCTCTTTTCTTTATTATGACTGGAAATCGTAATTAGAAAGATGGATAAAAATGGAAAAGCTTAATGACGTATGCATATTTTTATAAGACAGAAATATGGAAAGATACGAGCAATAAAATAATTCAGTTTAGAATAGGAAGGGTTATAAAACACTTTTTAAGCAGAAAAGGAATCAGAGAATGGCACTTTATAATATAGTAATTAAGCCTATTTATTTGATAAAATTCAAATGTCATGTCCTCTTTGTACCTATGAGTGCACATTAACAGTAACCATAAAAAAGAATACTTGGAGCTACAGATATGTGTGTGTGTGTGTGCATCTGCACCTGTGTCTTTGGGTGTGTTCCATCTGATTTGATTTTTCACCATATCTCTATTTTTGCACTCCCAAATGTAAGTATTTAAGTGTTTATTATATAAAATATTTTTGCATTCTTCCTCCCTTCACATGCAGTGATTTACAAATTTCCTATCTGACTATTTCCATCCTGCAAACCCCCAGAATACTGTGGCTGAGGTACTCCTCTTTCTGTTCCCTTCTCTATATAGGTGGAACATCTTCTGGGAACCATCTTCCATCTATAAGTTTCCCATTCACAGAGGTGGCTAAATCTGTAGCATGCATCCATCCATATCCAATAGTGTCTTTACATGGGTGGGTTGGATAATGCAAAACCAAGCTTCAACGTCAATGGTGTGAGAAGTACACAAACACACACACACAAATAAAAACATGCATAATCTCTGTAGATCAGAAGGGGATTGTCCAGAGTTAATATTAATGTACACTCTTAACTACAAAGAGGTCATAACATCCAAATTCCGTTAAGTACATTGACTAAATTACTATATTATAAAGCTCCCATTCTCTAATATCTTTTGTGCTAAAAATATTCCCAAGCCATGTTGAAGATATCTTTCAACAGTTATGTTTCCTAAAAATATGCCTAGATTGTTAAATGTTCACTTCTTCATGTGTTTTTCTGGTTACGATTTTCAGTCATAAAGATGAAAGTGACAAGGGTCTCAGCAGTGTTTTACCTCTAAACCTAATACTGACCCTAACAGAAATTGAAACCTTAAAACTAACCTGTGGCCTTTGACCATTGCTTCTTGATCATTGAGCTGACCCATGACCCTGAACAGAGAATGAGAACTTGAACCCAAATTTTAATCTGGACCCTAACTAATGACTGGATATGAAACCTAATTCTACCCAACCTTGAAAATGAATCTAAATTTAGACTCAAAACCAAACCCAACCCAACACCTACTTTAACTTCAATGTAAAATTTTGAACTCACCCTTGACTTTTGCCAGTAACCCTTGACTCTTGACCCCTGATTTGAACACTGAAGGCATCTACCAAATTCTCTAACCCACAGACTTTTGATCCTAATCCTGACCTTTGACCATTGTCCCTAATAACGAATATAATCCCTTGATCATAATATTGACTTGTGCTCCTACCCTGACATTCAATTAGTGATCTAACCATACCCCAAATTGAACTTGAAGCCAAATCCTAACATGAACCTTTATCAATACCTGAAACCCGTCCTAACCCTTGATCTTTGATCTTTAACCCTCTGTGTTTTGCTCCTTGACTCCTGACTGTGAGATCCCAGCCTGGACTAAAATCCAAACACACACTCAACATCATTCTTGACCAGAATTGTTACCCAAACCTGAACAGGAACCCAAACCCTTACCCTACCCACTTACAAATCTGAACACAAAACCTCTACCTATTCTGAACTTGGGGATTTGAGTGTCTCGGTCCTGTTTGGTAGATGCGGAGTTTGCAGGCCTTCAGTCATGGTGGACACCACAGACTTGAAGAAACTCTCCAATATATTTTTTGGGAAAAAAAGATGCAACCATTTGAGAGCAAGATGTTAAAACATTCATCCTCAATCTCTGTTTGTACAGACTTCAAGGTGAAATACATGTGGTTGGACTTGTGATATTTCCAGCCACAAAATTGTATCATGTAGAGATAATGTAGGTTTCCCTGTCTCTGAAAATGCATTTATTCAACCAGTACTTACTTGCTCCAGAAGTGCACCAGGGACCATTTTAGGCCCCTGGAGGCAGCCATAAGCAAAACTTCCCAGATCCCTACCTATGGAATCTCTGCCTATGGAATGGACATTGTCATAATGGATGTAGATAAGAAATATCCTGGACTCAAATCTGAACTTCAGTCACGCTGGAAGTCCAAACTCCTGCCCAGACATGTTTTCCTATTACTCACAGAGGATAGGTGAGGACTCAGGTTAATTAAGGTGGTTATTTTTGTTGCCAGTTTTATCTAATGTCCTTTGTGGATGATGTGTTTTTCACTTGGAATACCAACATGAGAGACTGGGCCACTTCTCAATTCAGAAATCCACTCAAGGCCAGGCATGGTGGCTCACACTTGTAATCCCAGCACTTTGGGAGCCAAGGTGAGAGGATCGCTTGAGCCAAAGAGTTCGAGCCCATCCTGGGCAACCTGACTAAAGCCTGTCTCTACAAAAAGAAAAAAAAATTAGCTCAGTCTGGTAGCACATGCCTGTAGTCCCAGCTACTCAGGAGGCTTGAGGTGGGAGGATCCCTAATCCCAGGATGTCAAGGCTGCTGTGAGCTATGATTGCACCATTGCACTCCAGCCCAGGAAATTGATCCTGTCTCCAAAAAAAAAAAAAAAAAAAAAAAAAAAAAAAAAAAAAAAATTCAACTACATGTAGAAGAGAGAGAGAGTGTGTGTGTGTGTGTGTGTGTGTGTGTGTGTGTGTGTGTTCATTAGATTTAACTGAGGATTTAAGGAGAAATTTGGAGGCATATTCTCATATGGGAAAAATAGGAAAATAAACCTTCTAAAATCAACATCTAGCCCTTTTGCTGATGACCTTTTGGCTATCCTAACATAAACTTTTCTTCTGAATGCTTCAAATCTCAACTCAGCAAATCCACAATGAGCTATAGGAAATTCACGATCTCTTCTTTTCTTTGGATTTCACCCGCCGCCATTCATGATTTAACAAATAATTCTTTGAAAGGCAGTTCTCTTTCAAAGATGAGTTTTGCTTCTCTGTGTTAAAATAATAAATATGTGTCGCTGTTAAAATAGTTTTGCATACATGAGGGAACTCCTTTAGAAGCTTTATTGGGTTTCTTAGCTGTGCATGCAATTTGAATAATTACTACATAGCAATTCCAGTAACATAGCCAATACATCAGAACCCTCAGGGGAGGCAGCCAGGAACTTTCTTGCAAAATATCCCCCACATCTTCATCCCTCTCTGGAGACCACTGGTAAAATTTACAATCGGTAATAATTTCTACAGACATGGCAACTGAGAATGGTAGAACATTAGTTTTAAAAATCATTTTAATAAAATGGCTTTATAAATATTGAGACTTAATTATTTAATTTGTTCCAGTTAATGAAAGATTTCATTTGGCACAAGACTAGGACAAATTAGAATACGTATAATTTTCTTCATTCCAGACAAACAATTATTTTAATGTCTACTGGTACTTAGACCACAAACTTAATTCATTGATTTCATAGTATTAGAAAATATAGAGTGAGAAAATTGTTAGCAGGGCACAGTGGCTCACGCCGGTAATCCCAGCAGTTTGGGAGGCCGAGACGGGCAGATCACAAGGTCAGGAAATCGAGACCACCCTGGCTAACACGGTGAAACCTCGACTCTACTAAAAAAACAAACAGAGAAAAAAAATATATAGCCGGGGGTGGTGGTGCACTCCTGTAATCCCAGTTGCTCAGGAGGCTGAGTCAGAAGAATGGCCTGAACCCGGGAGGTGGACCTTGCAGTGAGCAGAGATCATGCTGCTTCCCCGCAGTCTGGGTGACAGAGCGAGACCCCATCTCAAAAAAAAAAAAAAAAAAAAAAAAAGTTAGAAGTTGTTGAACAGCTGGATTTGACCTAAAATTACTCCAAGAATGTATCATTTTTTATGCCTCAAGCTGTTTTGTGCAGTTCTATTTTCAACTTCCATAGACAATTGTAATCTTTTATTTTTGTTTTCTTATTAGAGAATGTTTCATGATATGGATGTGAATAATTAAATGAACATCTTTCTATGTACAGCTTGAATTTAAATTAGAACATGATGGAGATTTTTGGATTCCCTTTAATTCCTGTTATAAATTGTATTTCTTTAAACCTGCCCAAAGGGTAACCATCTTTCTGAAACCAATTCATTATTTCCTTCTTTTACTAAATTTTATTTCTACAAAATTAGCACTACCAGCTTAACCTAAAGAATATATTGTCATCTGCTTTTGTTCTTTTATAAATGTCATTCTGTGTTTTTCTTGACCTAGCACTTCCTTTTTCATTGAATGGTATGTTTTTGATATTCAACCATGAAAATTCTTGGAGCTGTAGTTCATTTATGTTCACTGATATGAGAAACCACACCCTATGGTTATTCCACAAGATATTTAACTCTTTCAGAAGCTGGGTATTTGAATTGGCCTTATGTAAACAGTTCAACTGTTAGTATTCTGTGTATATCTTGTTGAAAAAAAATGAAGTTTCTCTACCTAGAAATAGATTTACTGGACTATATTTTATATCCATATTTAGATATGCATCCTGATGTCAAGAACTGTTTAAGTGGTTGAACAGTTTTATTTACCCAAGAACCATATGAAAGTTTCTTGTTCTTACGTTCACTATACTGAGTCCAAAGTTGAATAGAAATGAAATTAGCTATCTTTGATTTGTTCTGTCTTTAGACAAAAGGAGTTTTAAAAAAAATTTTATTTTGAGACAGTCTTACTCTGTTGCCCTGGCTAGAGTGCAGCGGCATGATCTTGTCTCACTGCAACCTCTGCTTCCGGGGTTCAAGCGATTCTCATGCCTCAGCCCCCTGAGTAGCTGCCACTACAGGCGTTCACTACCATGCCTGGCAAATTTTTGTATTTTCAGTAGAGATGGGCTTTCACCATGTTGGCCAGGCTGGTCTCGATTTCCTGACCTGAGGTGATCTGCCTACTTCAGCCTCCAAAAGTTCTGGGATCACAGGTATGAGCCACTGCATCCAGCCAGACAGAAGTCTTCTAATGTTTTATCATTATGTATAATATTTGGAGTAGGATATAAATGAACTATCTTTTTCACATAAATAAATGTTTATCTCCTTAATTTGATAACATGAAACCATAAATTCATTAGAGGTAATTTTTTTTTCATCTTTTAATATTTTCCTTGCTTTGTGTTTAATTTGTTCATGTAGTAAATTAAATAAGTTAACTTTCTAATATCAAGCTTAGTTTGATATTCAGTATACTCTTTAATATCATTTTTGTATTTGTTATATATTAATCATTTTTGTATCTCTGTACTAAATTGGATAGGCTGTAATTTTCCTTATGTTAGGCTTCTCTGGTTTTAGCCTCAACTTAATAGTAGCTGTGTAGAAATAGTAAGAAAACATTTCTGCTCTCTGGGAGAGTTCATATAAAAAATTCCTTAATTAATAGGTGGTAGACTTGCTATTCAGTCCACCCTGGACAGATGATGTCTTTGATGTAGTTAAAAACATCTTTTATTTCCTGCTTGATTTGTGGGCTTTATTACGTATTGATTTCTTATATATATTAATAACAACATGTTTGCCTGTATCTGTCTGTTAACACTTTATTATGTTCTCTTTTTTCATTTGTCTGTTGTCTGTATACATTTTGTTAAACTATTGTAACAAATTATGAGAAATGTAGTAATGTAAAAGAGCAACCATGTAGTATGTCATGGTTCTAAAGGTCAGAATTCTTGGTGCAGTGGAGCCTAGCTTGGTCCTCTTCTTAAGGTCTTCCATGGGTGAAATCAAGAGACTGGCAGGGCTGTATTCCTCTCTGGGGGCTGGAGGGATGAATCTGTTACAACATGTAGATTTTTAAAATCTAAGTATTTGCACTAACTTCTGATTTTACCATATTAGATCCATAGGGTGAATTCCTATTTCTTGATCATTTGAGTCTTAGAGAAGCTTGATTTCCGTCCTACAACATCGTTAGATTATTACAGATTTCTTATCTGCTTTAAACAAGGGGTTTTTCTCTGTTTTTTGTCAAGATTAACATAATATTTTCAACATGTATTATACTTGAGTTGTATATTGTGAGTATATAAGTACACACAATGAACGACTCTTCAGCCTTAAAAAAGGAGTAAATAAGAAATAGGCCGGACGCGGTGGCTCACGCCTGTAATCCCAGCACTTTGGGAGGCCGAGGCGGGCGGATCACGAGGTCAGGAGATCGAGACCATCCTGGCTAACACAGTGAAACCCCGTGTCTACTAAAAATACAAAAAAATTAGCCGGGTGAGGTGGCGGGCGCCTGTAGTCCCAGGTACGCGGGAGGCTGAGGCAGGAGAATGGCGTGAACCCCAGAGGGCGGAGCTTGCAGCGAGCCGTGATGGCGCCACTGCGAGGCTCCATCTAAAAAAAAAAAAAAAAAAAAAGAAAGAAATCATGTAATTGGTGACAACACAGATGTACCTGAAGGACATTATGTGAAGTGAAATGAGCCAGGCACATAAAAACAAACACTGCATGATGAAATGTGAAATCTAAAGAAGTCAAACTCACAGAAACAGAGAGTAGACTTGTAGTTGCTATAGGCTGGAAGTTGTGCACATGGCGAATTTTGGTCAAAGAGCATAAACAGTTTTTTCCTTCCTATAATATTATTTTCTTAGGTTCTAATTTTTGAGCTATTGGGATTTTCACATCATAATTTTTTGGTCTTACTTATGCTTGCATATCTTTTACTACTCTTGAATAATTTTAGTCTTTCTATATCTTTTGGCTTAAAATTTGTCTCAAATTGGTTGCATTTTTCATCTTTGGTTTTGTTACAAACGTGTGATTGTCTGGAATTTTTAATTTATGAGTTCAAAACATTTATGTTTGTTGAATATTAATTTTACTAAGGCTTAGTTTGCCATCTTGTTTGACATGTTCAATTTAGTTACTTCAGAATAAGCATAATATAACTGTATATTTTGTCTTTGAAAACATCAGTTTCCACCTGTCATTTAATAGATATACTTCTACTGGATTTAAAACTATATTCTGTTTTTTGTTCTTACACTGTTGTTGATCATAACTGAGCACAGATACTGCTACTTATTTTCCCAGTTTTTTTTGTTTTTGTTTTTTCTTTTCTTTTTTTTTTTTTTTTAAGGCGGAGTCTTTCTCTGTCCCCCAGGCTGGAGTGCGGTGGCGCGATCTCAGCTCACTGCAAGCTCTATCTCCCGGGTCCACGCTATACTCCTGCCTCAGCCTCCCGAGTACCTGGGACTACAGGTGCCTGCCACCATGCCCGGCTAATTTTTAGCATTTTTAGTAGAGACGGAGTTTCACCATGTTAGCCAGGATGGTCTCGATCTCCTGACCTCGTGATCTGCCGGCCTAGGCCTCCCATACTGCTGGGATTGCAGGCCTGAGCCACTGCACCTGGCCCTTCCCAGTTGTTTTTATAAATTTAGCAACATACTATTGGTTTATACCAATTGTGTCCCATTTCTATATGAAAATCAAAAATATATAGAATACATCAAGGGATTTGTTGACAGATCTGATAATTTCTGTAGCAGTCCTCTAACAAGACAAACATTTTTCAAACATGCATCTCCTTTTAGTCCCACCACTGAATGCCATTTAAGTAGATAGTTCCTAGAATTTAAGTTCTGGGCTGTTATCTATGTATAATTGTTGCATTCTTTTTTACCCATTTTAGCCAAATATAAATTATAAATTATTGATTGTCCCTGCATTTCATATATTTTCCACAATTCTTATCAAAATACTCATATTCTTTCATAGGTGTTTTCTCAAAAATATTTTTGAGTCATTGAAATTTTGTTTAGCAAAATGTTTGAGTCCCTTTTTGATCAATTTTTTGTTTTTACTTTGCCTATACTATTTGTTTCTAAACAAAAAATTTAAATTCACAGTTATTTTTCTTCCAACTTTCAAATATCACTACTGTATCTGCAGATGTTCTGTGCTATCACTGGAAAGTTTAATGTCAGTCTGATTCTTACTCATTCATGACTCAGCTATTTTTTTCTCCGAAGGCTATTATAATTTTGTATTTGTCTTTGACGTCCTTGAATTTCATAGCAATATATCAACTCAGGGCACTCTATGAGCTCATTCAAAATAAAGTTTTTGTTCTGTTTGTCTGTTTTAAGCATATTTTCATTCATTCATCAACTTAGTTCTTTCTGTTTTTTTCTCTCTTACCTATTATTGATATATCTACCAAAACTGCCTTTCTCTCCTTTATTCTTTCCTGGTGTTTCCTATGAATGTTCTTCCATCTGATCTTCCAATTCAGTAATTTGTTCTTCAATTCTCTCTGTTCTAAGATTTATCTTAACTATTATGTTCTTGTTCATCTTTACTATTACTTATTCCATACTTACTATATTTACCAAGTTATCTTTTAATTCTTATTATAATCTACTATTTGAAATATATTACCTTAGGTGATCAAGTGTATTATTTTGTCTTTTGTAATTTCTTCATTGATCTGTTCCAATAATTATATCTTATGTAGAAGAGTTTTCATCTGTTGAGAGAGATAGAGTTTGGTAACTTTTTTAAATATTCAGGTATATAACTTTTTAAAAAAACATTTAGCCTATATCCTCCTTAGGTGGGTGAAAACTCAACCATCAGCCTGTTTGTAATTGTGGATTTGATATGACTTAAGGCCATGCCCAAGTCTATGTTTATTTTACAAGATTAACATTCAAAAATCACTTTTAGGTTACTCTGGTGCACTGAAAACCTGCAAGGAAGGCTTCTTATTTGAAATGTGCCTTTAAACTCTAAATGAACTGGCATTACAAAGAGGCAGCCTCTTTAACATCCTTTCTGGGGGCATGGAGGGGAAGGGGCTGAAGCAGGAAAAGCCCATTGTGGCCATGAGTGACTGGTGGCCCTGTAGGTTTTTAGCCGACTCCTCAATGCATCTGAGTTTCCCCTAGGCTTACCGAAATCCTACTACCTGATGGCTGCTGTAGGGTTCTATGTTGTATGGAGAAGAGAAGATGGAAGGGAGATTAGATAATGATTAACTCAAGACATTTTTGCTAAGAGACAAGAGTGAACCTAAGACTTTTCTTTCAAACTGGCATCGTTGTGTTACCACTTCCACCCTCTGCCAGAAGGTTTAGCCACCCCCATCCGCCATATATACATGGTTCTTCAGGTTGTACTCTCTGCAGAATGGCTTATAGTTTACTGCTTTTATGTTCTGTTATTGCTCTTTCAGTAGATCGATGCCTTCATTTTCTTAGCCTCTGTAGTTTCTCAAATGTAGATTTTTGTGGAGGAAGCAGCATTCTGTTCTATTCACCATCTCAAAAGAAGCATAAATCTTTTTCTTGATTTATTAGTATTTTTCCCAACCCATCAAATAAATCTGTACTTCTACCACCCCCCAGACTTTGCACTGAAGAGGATTGAGAAATGGTGAAACACTTAGCTATTGGATAGCTTTTTTCATTCCCACAGACCTCATCAGTTATTGTTAGCTAATATACCCATTAAGAAAATTACCGAGGAAACACCACATACATCCTTATTAATTCATCACTTGTCAAAATCCTTCTAAGCACCTTTCATCTATTTCTAAAAACATTCCAAATATTTCAGGGACAATTTCCTAATATTTTGGTTTTGAATGTCACATAGTTCATCTATCATCATATATGATAGCTATAACTACAGAAACCAAAATATTAACTAATTCTTAATGACAATTAGGATAATGAAGGATCTATTAGAATTGCTCTGGGTGTCTTTGATTGTCATATGAATTTTTAACCAAAGGCTTGTATGAGTTCCAGAGAGCAAACCCACTACATTTTCCCTGCCCTGACTTCCAGCCCATCACTATGTAGATCCATTGTGGAGCTTTGTTACTCCTTTGTAGTGTATTAAATTCGAGGATATAATATCATCTGATTATGGATGAAAGTAATGGGACACTTACTGCCATGAGAGCCCCTCGTGACAGGTGATAGTTGAACCAGAAGTTTAAAGACCTGTGGCAGACAGGAGGGGGTAAAACAATAGGACGCAGGACCCAGGAATACATTAGGGAAGGCAACAACAGTGAAGGAAGAGCTAGAGTAATTGAAAGGCTGATAAACATATTTGGAGCCAGTTCTTTTTATGCTATCATTAAGATAAAATCAGTAAATCAGTAATCCTTGCCTGGTGGATATTTCTTCTTTGCAAGAAAAATGTTTTAACTAAAGGAAGTCATTTTTGATAATTTGATTTATATACATACATATATCCTCTGTACAAATTGCCTCCAAGCACTTTGGGGACAGGAGAAGAGGGGAAACCTGTGAGATTGATAGATGCTAGATAGATAGATAGATAGGTAGATAGATAGTTAGGTTAGAGATATAAAGATATATTCTCTCTATATATATATTTTTTCTTTGTCTCTCTAAAGACATGATTAGGAAACATTCTCTTGCTATATATAAGTATATATATTATATACATACTTACATATTATATATAATTTATATATAAATGTAATATATATTATTTGTATCATAAATATAAATATATTTTTATATACACATTCTCTCTACAAATAGAACATATCTATCGAGAGAGACATATGCAGTATATGTATATGTGTATGTGTATGTATATCTAAAACAAAGAAACAATATAAACACAAAATCCAAATGTCAAGTGGAAGAAAACTCTAATCAGCTACAAGGGACAATTAGAACATCTGTAAGAATAATATGTGTACTGGATTTAAAATGATAAAGACATTAAAATGCATATATTCATCATGATACCCAGAATAAAACTCACTGTTAATATTACTAGGCAATGATCACATTCTCCTGGATCTTGATCAATAAAAATTATGATTTTTCCTACATTTGGAATAAATACTGAATTTCACAATAACTAAAAAATTGATGATTACAAGTAAAATTCCAGATAATATATGCAGGAAAAACAATAGTATAAGAAAATCATTATTTTGTGAAACCCCAAATTAAGCTAAGTGTGTGAGTCTGTTCTCACACTGCCAAAAGAACTGCCCGAGACTGGCTAATTTATAAAAGAAAGAGGTTTAATTGACTCACAGTTCTGCAAGGCTGGGAAGGCTTCCAGAAACTTTCAATCAAGGCAGAAAGGGAAGCAAACATGTCCTTCTTCACATGGTGCCAGGAGAGAGAAATCAGGTATACATTATAATTTATTCCTCCTGTTTTTTTTTTGTTTGTTTTTTGTTTGTTTATATTTTCCAAAAATAAGAGGCCATATCCAACACAGTGAAGCAAAATGAACAAAGACGTTCAAATACTGAAGTTGAGCATAAATTTGACTTCACAATTTCTGTCAGATGAACCAAAAAAAAAAAAAAAAAAAAAGAGAGAGAGAGAGAAACATTTGATTCTGGGATTTTTATTTCCAGAAAGAGAAAGTTTTTCTCTTTTTCTTCTGATTATTGATTAAGAGTAGTTATGAAGTTGGAGATAAAAGGAGAAGATGGCAATGATTGTTCCTTGTTCTTTCTTTCTGCAGTGGCTGTCAGCTTCACTGATGATATTAAGAATAACACAGCAAAGCCTGACTGCCTCCCTAAAGACAGATACTTCCATTACGTGTGGCGGTACCCTTCACTCCTGAATCTAGAAAATACTACTTGGGCCATGTTAAGTTTATTCTTAAAAGCCTAACATTGTGTAGCTACAGCTGCCCAACAAATCTGCCCAAAGCACTGTTCCCCCAATTGTGAATATGCATACAAATAACTTTTCAGTTTTCATGCCTACTCCTGGATCATACCACCAGACATTCTGATTTGGAGGTCGACTGTGGAGCCTATGCAATTTAAAATTTTACAGACTACCCAAGGTTATGTGAATATATCCCGAGATAGCACAGCCTTCCCAGGCTGTTGGTGCCATAAGGACTTGGAGAGATCACCCTCGCTTACCCACAAACAACTTGCAGGACTAAGAAGAGTGCTTAATGAATATGTGTTCAAAAAATAAAGGAATGCACCTGTGCTTGGAGATACCTGGAGAGCTCTCTCTCTCTCTCTCTTCATCTCCCCTCTGTATCTCTCACTCTTTCTCTGGCTCTCGTTCACTCTTTCTCTCTCTCTCTGATTCATTTGCTATGCCGCTGAGTCATACAGTGAGAAGCAGCTTAAGGTCATTAAAAGGTTGAAGCATCATGGGAAAAAGTGAACATGTTTTCATTTGAATCTCTATTTTTAACTCTTTCTGAACTTGAGACTGTTGCAGTGATAATGAAATAAGCCTATGGTGGTTCTTGGAAATCATTTTAGACACACAAATTTCTAACATATATAGAGATAATATGTAAGATCACATTATATATAAAGTCACATAGAGTAAGTATAATATATAATCATATATAATTATAAAAAATTACATATAAAAGTATATTATATATCATACTTATATATTCATATTATATAAATATATAATATATATTAATTATCTATAATTTTAAATATATTTAAATTTAAATAAATTTAAATTAAAATATAATTTAAATATAAATTATATATGTAATTATATATTATACATTATATTATATATAAAATATATTTCATATTATGGAAATATATTTTATATATTACATATTATATATAATATATAAAATTGTATATTATATAAAAATATATATCATATATAAAATATAATGTATAATTATATATACTTCATTATATAATATGAAATTATTATATGTAATACACACTATATATGGTATATAATATATAACATAATTTAAATATAAATTTTATATAATATATAATTTTATAGAATACATTATATACTATAAGTATATAATTATTTTACATATAATATATTATATATAAAATATAATATAATATGTATTGTATATATTTATATAATATTTTATATATAGAACATAATATAAATTTGTATATGATGTATATCATATAGTATATGTAATTATTATATCTAGTTTATGCTATATTGTATGTAATTATATATAAAATATAATTTTAAATATAAACTCTATATGATATAATTTATATATTATAATATATGATTAGATAATATATAATAAGTATATATACTTAATATATGTGATCTTGTTAAGTATAATACATATATTATATATAATATATATTATATGTATATAAAATATATTAAACTTACCATATATGATCTTGTTTGACATGTCTTTTTGTATAGAAAAGCACTTAAATTACCCCTACTTCAGCAATGAGGATGTTGTGTTTAGGCCAAAAGGCAATATAAACACAACTTGCTATTAAAGTTTTTTCTTAATCATCACTACCACTGAACCATTAATAAGTATTTTCCTGCACAAGATAATAATAGCATCTCACATTTCCATGGTACTTTATAATGCCTGAAGCTCTTCCACATTCATAATTTTGTTCATGTCATAGAAAGAATGAGCTTTAGTAACCTCTTCCATTTAAGGGGATCACAGAATGAGTAAAAGCCTAGGGTGCAGTTAGAAAAGAACTAGGTTTCAGTCATCTAGACATGGTTCTAGGACTCTTGAATGCATGTGTAACTCAGGCTGAAAATCCCGGAAGATACATCCCCATCCCAAGAGCACCTACACAATTTCAATAACCTGGTTACAACTGATGCACTTTGGATATTGCACTCTTCACAAACATCTATCCAAATCTAACATGAACTCACATCAGAACAACTATCGAATCCCCACTCCTACCAAATATTCACGTCTGGTATTACCACCAAAGCCTGAAGCACCCTGACAACATGTGTCCAGATGTTGTTGAATTTTTTCCATCCTGACTGCCTCTCACCGAAAGCCAGAACCAACTTGCTCCTGGATGACTGCAGTGGACTTCTTCCAAAGGCAGCCTCCTGCAGTCACATCCATCAGTGCCTCTTATGGACTTCACAAAACCATAAATTCTATCACATACTGCTATCTTCCCATTCTTATGTCTTGTCATTGTTTTATAATAAATTCCAACATTTTAGTCACTTTTCCAAGTGTGAAGTCATTTATGCCTACCACTGTAATACCATTCTTTCACATTTCCTTAGTCATGATGAGTCAGTTACACTGGGAATCCTTCTGTTCTCCTCACCCTTTAAAGTTCCTTTTGGAACTTTGAAACTTATAATTCTTTTCAGGAATGTTTCCCTCTTAACATCTTGTGGCTGCTTCCCTGTCATCATTTCCTTCCATTTCTACCTTTTCAGAGAGGCTTTGTTTAGAAGAAAATATAGGAGCAAATCTTTGCCAGCTAGGCTTATGAAAAGTTTTCTTACATAGAACACAAAATACAAGAACTGTAAGAGAATGTATTGATTATGAGGACTTCAAGGCACCACGAAGAACTCAGACAAAAAGCTTCAGATTCAGACAAAACATTTGTAACTAATAGAGCAGAGAATTGACTTGCATCTTGAATATATATAAATATCTCCCAACTCAATTGTTAGGCAAGCGCCCTATAGAGCAGCACTCCTGAACATTTTTGACATCAGGGACTGGTTTCACATAAGTCAATTTTCCCATGTCGGTGGATGGTTTCTGGGTGAAAATGTTCCACCTCAAATCACTAGGAATTACATTCTCATCAATAAGCACACAACCTACATCCCTCGCATGTGCCGTCTCAATAGGATTTCCGCTCCTATGAGAATATAATGTCACCACTTAACTAACAGGAGATGGAGCTCAGGCAGTCATTTGGGTGATGAGGATTGGCTGTAAATACAGAGGAAGCTTTGCTAGGTTGCCTGCAACTCCCCTCCTGCTGACCCAGTTCCTAAAAGGCCATGGACCAGGCTTTGGTGGTAATACAAGATGTGAATGTGTGGTAGGAGTGGGGATTCAATGGTTGTTCTGACGTGTGTTCATGTTAGACTTGGATACATGTTTGTGAAGAGTGCAATATCCAACGTGTGTTGGTTGTATCTGGTCCAGTACTGGACCATAGCCTGGGGATTGGGGATCCCTGCTGTAGAGGACAGAATAACAAACCCCTATGTATGTTCACATCCTACGTTTTGTGGCAAGAAGGTCTTAAGTGATGTGATAAAAGACTTTAAGATGGGGACAGCATCCTCAAGTATCTAGGTGAGCTCAATGTAATAGAAATATCCTTATAAAACAGAAACTGAAACTTTGAAACAATAGAAAATCTGAAGGTGAAACAGAGGTCAAATAGAGATTAAGGTGCTGTGCTACTGGCTATTAACGTGGAAGAGGGGTCCATGTGTTGGAAGCCTCTAAAAGGTGGGAGAAACAAGGAAATAGTTCCACAATTGTACGCTGCAGAAGGTACCAGCACTGAAGAAGCATTTTAGACCTCTGATTTCCAAAACTATCAGATACTAAGTATGTGTTGGGTTAAGCCACCAAGTTTGTGTATGTTATGGCAACAACTAAGAAACACATACATCACATTATTTAACCTTTGCTTGTAAACAATTTGTCTCTCCATGCTGGAGGGTGAATCTCCTGATATCAAAGATCCTGTTTGTATTGTTCATTGTCTGTGTCTTCAACACTAAGGACAAAACATGACTAGCATATTTTGAGCATTCATGTAGACCTGTTAAATGAACACATGGAATAATCTCAAATGCCTGCTAAGTATTTTATCTCAATTTCATCTTGTTATATTAAAACCTGTGGTCAGCTGTGGTGGCTCACGCCTGTAATCCCAGCTATCTGGGAGGCCAAGGCGAGAGGATCAAGAGGTTAGGAGATTGAGACTATCCTGACTAACACGGTGAAACCCCGTCTTTACTAAAAATACACACACAAAAAAATTTAGCTGGGCATGGTGGCAGGCGCCTGTAGTGCCAGCTACTCAGGAGACTGAGGCCGGAGAATGACATGAACCCGGGAGGTAGAGGTGCAGTGAGCTGAGCTCATGCCACTGCACTGCAGCCTGGGCAACCATGCGAGACTCTGCCTCAAAAACAAAAACAAAAACAAAAAACAAACAGAAATATTAACAAAAACAAACAACAACAAATAAAAACCTGTGCTTTTTTCCCAACAATTAACTTCAACTCTTAATCATCATTCTTTTGCCTTGGGGGATAATATAAGGTTAATTATATTTTGTAAAACACAAGAGTCATGAACAAAATCTAATGGACCATACATAGCCTCCATGTGCTGTCTACTCATGATGCAGTGTTTCAAATATAAAACATATATATAGTATATATGTATACATACATATATACATTCAACAAGCAAACAATATATATATTACCCTGGAGAACTGCTTTGTTGAAGCCTATAAAAGTTTGTGTGTGGAGCTTATAAAATTGAGTGTGATAAAAGTTGGAAAATTGAGATAAAGTGGAGAATTGTTACTGTGATAGTTGCTTAAAATCTAGTTTTTAGAACAACACTAAGTTTGACCATAGCTGCTCTGGTATGTGATCCATTTAATGTTTTTGCTTTTGTACATTAATTATCAGAGAGATATCTTAGCCTGAGATATTTAAATCTGTTAGTGAATAAAGACTTCCATGCAACACCGAGACAGAGTTATCAAAAATGACAAATCCTTGACAATTATAGTAACAAACTTTAGTACAGTAAGAGATATAATAGGACACTGTAACTGCTCTCAGATCAAACATCCCTCCTGCTTAGAGAAAAAAAAAAATTGCACTTAGTGCAAATAGAATTGCACCAATTTCTCTGATACAGCCTGAAAATTAAGCCAACATTTCAGGTCTTGTAAGAAAAGTTGCTGTCTTCTGGCTTAGAAAAGGCATCCCAGGTAGTGGCTGACCATTAAAAGGAAGATGAGCGTTATGAGGTAGCCATCTTCAAAAAGAAAAATGGCAAAGACTTTACAAAACCTTAATGTTACAATGTATAAAAATAGTATAAATAAGTAAGAACTTAAAGAGACAGAGAGTGCGGTTAAAGCAGCAAGCCAGTAGGACAATTTTAGTGTATAGCTTAAGGTACAATATATGCATAATTTGCCCTTCCTTAATTCTAGAAAATATTGTCTGTCTTCTTCAATAACCTTTCTATTAATGAAACTAAACATTCCACTGGGATTTTAGCTCTTTTTTATGCTGTCATATTTACTTTGCTACTGTATGTGATTACAACTAACTTCTAATTTGTCTAATATATGTGATATTTTATCTAGTATTTCATTCATTTAATATGAATTTTAATTAATCTAATATAATATTGTAAAAGTCTTTTTCTTATATGTATTTTATAGTGCCTTTTATATGTGTTTTATCTCCATACTTTGATGGTGAAAACTTACTTTCAATTCAAGTGTTTTAAAATACTCTCATTAAAAACAAATGGAAATATAAATGAAAAAAAAACATTTCTGTAACTTTTCAAAGTATATATGGAAATGCACTCAACTGTGGCAACATTTTCCCCCAGGTTTAGCATATTGCTTGGATGATTATGGCTACTTCATACATGTTTGTTGAATGAGAATTTTTCATAAATTTTATAGTGTATGTAAAAGCTATGGTATGTTTTTTGTCTTGTCTTTCTCTTTTGGCTTTAAACACATAGTGGCTAAACACAGAGCAGGCTGAATAAATACATCCCCCCTTTATGCAAAATTATTCACTAATAAATGGTATCTAGTTCATTCTTTAAAATACCATAAGAGAACACATAATATCTCTTTACCATTTGCAAAATTTTGAAGTCAGAGTCTAATTTGACCAGCAGTCGATTTTACCCTTTGGACTCGTTTAATTTATTTGAAGAACATTTATTTGTTCCTCATGTGTGCAGGTGAAGCAAAACTAAAGAGCATGGCTTCTGATCTTCATGGAAGCAGGCTAGTAGGCAGCTATTTTTTGTTTGCTTTTTGAGATGGAGTTTTTTTTTCTTGTCACTCAGGCTGGAATGCAATGGCATGATCTCCGCACACTACAATTTCTCCTCCCAGGTCCAAGTGATTCTCATGCATCAGATCCCCGAGTAGCTGGGGTTACAGGCATGCACCACCACACCCAGCTAATTTTTGCCTTTTTAGTAGAGATTGGGTTTCACCATGTTGGCCAGGCAGACCTTGACCTCCTGACCTCAGGTGAACTGCCTGCCTTGGCAACCATTTTTGAACATATTCCACATGAGGCACCATGCTGTTTCTTGTACATTGTCCAGTTGAGTTCCTCAGCTTTCTATGTGAGGACTACTATTCTCCTCCCTTTTTCACATGTAAAGAAAGCTGGGCTTTGAAATCTTAAATAACATGTTTGAGGCCTTACAATAGATTACACCCCAAAGGTGTCAGACTGAATCCATTGAATCAATAACTCTGACAGCAATTACAAAGCAAATGACCTTTGTGTAACATGGTATATTCTATAACAGAAATTCATTGAATGCCATTTAGTGTGCTGAGACAATACAGATAATCACACAGGACACTTCTGGAAAGAGGTCTACATTGGTAGAAAGACTTGGCCAGGTCCTACCTGATTATGTAGGTGACTCCTGCAGAAGATGCAGAGCCTGCCCTTCAGGTCACACTGACCTTTCAAGTGGTGCTGTGTCCATGAGCTAGCCATGCAGCTTTTTTATATGGCCATAGCCACAGGAAGGGATGCTCAGGCAAGGTGTTCAAGGCAATTAAAGGCTGCAGAGGCCACCTTAGATCTTGAGGACTTCATATAAAAAAGCAAGCATTTCAAAATCCAAGGCATATTCTGGAAGTAGTTAGCAAGTATAGTGGTGGATTTGCAAGCTCAAGAACATAAGTAGGGCATCCCTTGAGAAGGTCACATGGGCCCACACAGGATGACCCTTGGATTCCCAGTAATGAATTTGTGTGTCCAGTACACTCATTATATTGTGTGTGAATGTGATTGCTAAAAAAGAAGATATAAATTGTGAACAAAATATAAACAGTTATTAGCAATAAAACATGAACATTTCCTATAACCACCTCCTTTGAGATAATCACTCTCCACTGTTTGAATTCCTTCCACATTTTATTTTTTAATAAAATAAATGGGCCACGCAAAGTGGCTCATGCTGGTAATCCCAGCACTTCAGGAGACAGAGGC
This sequence comes from Homo sapiens, assembly GCF_000001405.40. Taxonomy (NCBI): domain Eukaryota; kingdom Metazoa; phylum Chordata; class Mammalia; order Primates; family Hominidae; genus Homo; species Homo sapiens. Next base: position 14,809,250 of record NC_000024.10, read on the forward strand.
AGGTGGATCACTTGAGGTCGGAAGTTTGAGACCAGCCTGGACAACATGGCAACGTCTCTGCAAAAAATACAAAAATTAGCCCACACGTGGTGGCACATGCCTGTAATCCCACCTATTTGGGGGACTGAGGCAGGAGAATTGCTTGAATCCAGGAGGTGGTGGTTGTAGTGACCCAAGATTGTGCCACTGCACTTCAGCCTGGTCGAGGCTCTGTGGCAAAAAAACAAAAAACAAAAAACAAAACAAAACAAAACCCTAAAAAATATAATAAAATACAATAAAAAGTATTTAGCAGCCCACTATTTTTTTTTTTTTTCAGATGGAGTCTCACTCCGTCACCGAGGCTGGAGTGCAGTCACATGATCTTTTCTCACGGCAACCTCTGCCACCCAGGTTCAAGCAATTATCCTGCCTCAGCCTCCCAAGTAGCTGGGATTACAGGCAGCCCACTATTTTTATTGAGACACCATAGATGTGTTCCTGTCTCCATGCATGTAAATACTCCTTAACACTTCATGCAAACAAACAGCATCCCATAATATGGATGCAGGCAAGAGAATCCACTCAAGTCACTGATTTGTGAACACTGAGCTTGCTGCTATTGTTTGTTTTTAAAATTACAATCCATGTGAATTGCAGAGCCTTGGGTGGTTATTTTTATGCATCAGAATAAAGATTTTCATAGAAAAACCATTCAAAGCATTAGGACTCCTAGGTCAGAAGTCTCCAATTTTAATTTTCCTGGGTTTTACTCATCCTCTTACATTGGACAGCATCATGATTATTTTGATAGTGCAGAAATTCAGAGAAAGCTGAAAGGACATAAAACCCAAGTGGGTAGGTCCTGGAGGACTGTGGTTCTCATCTCAGGCACTAGGATGCAGACCCAGGGAGGAACAAGATGTACAAGCTTTTTGAAAAATAAAACCAAAAGGATGTGACAGCCAATTGAATGAGAGTCATAGCAAATCTGGAGATATATTTAAGGAGAAACTGCTCAGTTAAAAAGATTCAAAGTTGTCTGGGTGTGATGGCTCATGCCTGTAATCCCAGCAGATCACTTGAGCTCAGGAGTTTGAGACCAACCTGGCCAACATGGCAAAACCAGATCTCTACTGAAAATATAAAAATTAGTCAGGCATGGTGGTGTGCGCCTATAATCCCAGCTGCTCGGGAGGCTGAGGCAAGATAATCACTTGAATTTGGGACATAGAGGTTACAGTGGGCCGAAATCATGGCACTGCACTCCATCCTGGGCAACAGAGTGAGAGAGTCTATCTAAAAAAAAAAAAGACTCAAAGTTGACTCAAAGAGAATTGTTTCCAGGCAGGCCATTCTCAAATTTTCATTTCCATGAAACTCATATATCAATTATCTTCAAGTTTTGATATATTATTGTTTATTAAGCAAACTGTATTTATTATTTTATATTTTGCTCAGAAAATATCCATCTTGGTTTTTTTTATTTTATGTAATTGAAACTAAAGCACTTAAAAAAGCTTATGCAGCTTCATTATAGATACATGTAGGTGGACATTACCTACTTTATGAAAATGATGCAAGGAATCTGAATAAGAGTTTGTGGGCCCCAGAGTTTGGAAATCTGTGGTATAAATACCATGTGTCTGTTATAATTGTCTTAGATTTTCTCTATGGACTTTGGAAACTAAATTTTGGCTCTGTGAAATAATGATATGATAACATGATACAATAGGAAAATAGTCTGCTAGTACTCATTCCATTTTTAAGTAAAGTAAAAACTAAAAATCAAAGGCACTGAATTTCAACCAGCCTTACCTATCAAGCTACAGAATTTGAGTGCAGGACGTCACGTTCCCTCCCATCCAGCACACTCTGTATATGTATGTGCTCCTGTGTTGAATCCTACACAATTTAAAACAGAAAACTGAAGCCTCACCTTTTAATAAATTGACTATGAATGATTTCCTATAACCATCAAAGATTAGTTTTTAATCTATTTGACTGATTTTTATTTTTTATACCTCTGCCTTCATTCTCACCAGATTTCTCTTTGACCACAGTTGTGTGACCTAAAACAAATTCTGTTTGTTCTCACTGAATAATTTTTATTTAAACTTTTCCTGTTTGGTGTCACTTCTTTAGTTTAAAGGTGCACATATGTGTGTCTGTGTACATATACATTCATACCCATACATTCATATATATGGTTATATATGCATATTGTATGTATGCGCCAGCTACAGGTAAATGACACACACGGAAATGGTCAAAGATATTTAACTTCTCTATTCACATAATTATCTTCTGGTTACTTGTCTCCAAAAAATGCCTAGTGTGTTTATACGAGGAATGATCTCATAAAAGAAAGTGGATTATGGCTTTAATGTCATATAACAATGTCTTTTGTTAATTAAAAGGCCAACAATATCTGACCCCATTTGGTTCCTTACCATTGACTTGGAGGGCATGCAGAAACAAAAGACCTGCAATTATTCTCCTAAGCCTTGTGATATAATTCAAAAGGAGAGGAAACATCTACATTATTATTTATAATAAAAAGTGGAAACTTTTCTATTCTACCAACAATATTAAGCCCAACTAGAAATCCTCATGTTTATATGATACTCATTTTAGTCAACATGCAGAAGGAAAAACTGATTCCTGTTTTACGGCACCTTTACCATGAAACATGTTTTTAAATAACCACACTAACTGAATGTATTAGTCTGTTCTCATGATGTTAATAAAGATATTCCTGAGACTGGGTAATTTATAAAGAAAACAGATTTAATGGATTCACAGTTTCACATCGATGGGGAGGCCTAACAATCATGGCAGAAAGTAAAAGAGGAGCAAAGTCATGTCTTACGTGGTGGCAGGCAAGAGAGCATGTGCAGGGGAACTGTCCTTCATAAAATCATCAAATCTTGACTATGAAAATAGCATGGGAAAAATTCACGCCCAAGATTAAGTTACCTCCTGGTGGGTCCCTACCACTATGGGATCTACAATTCAAGATGAGATTTGCCTGGGGACACAGCAAAATCATATCACTGAAAATATTGATTGATATTTCTTGTGTGTATATTTTTGTTGTCGATGTTCCTTCCAGAGCCCTGGATGAAACTTGGCATCAATGTAGCCATTAACATGCATTAATTCTACATGATCTCTTTTGCATCTTTCTTTTGTTGTTCAGTTGGTAGAGGAGAGGTTGCTGATTTACAAGCTTCATTTTAGGGAGAGTAAAACTTAAAAGCCAAAATTTCATCAGCTAACAGGCTTAGAGTATGGAGCCTAAAGGACCTGTCGATGAAGGAGGTTATTCGTTGCATATCTGTGGTTTTAGACAATCAAGGGGGTTGTTTTTTTCATTCACCTGGAATGTGTATTTAAAGTTAAGTGATCTACCTGAGAGCTGAGTTCTCAAGAAGAGCACTCATCTTTGATATTATGCATGGCTCTCTCCAAGTTGATGAGGTACCATCATTTTGCTCTCTACAATCAGGAGGCAAAACCCAGTGATTTAGGTGTGCAGGATTCCTAAAATATTAATTTTAACTTGCTACAAAAAATAGCAGGGTTTCTGGTGTCTGAAAACTTTTGAGAAATCACACCATTAGAATATTGTTAAGATCACTCTTTATTTGCACTTAAGAAGATAACTTTGTCAGGAAAATTTTCTTTCTTCCTATCTTCCTTCCTTCCTTCCCTCCTTCCTTCCTTCCTTCCTTCCTCCCTCCTTCCCTCCTTCCCTTCCCTCCCACCTTCCCTCTCCCTGCTCCATCACATAATATAGCTATAATGTGCTGCCTTTTCCTCTCCTCCAGTGTTATTGATAGGAAAAACTGGCCAGGTACTGATGAATAAAGAAAAAGACAAATTTATAGTGAGATCTGATTGTCACAGATCAGGTGCCTTATGAAAACAGGTCATTTTCTTCTTCAAACAATAACTTTCTGAGCTCAGAATTTCATGACAATAAGCCCACATGCTTCTTAAGTCTCATTTATATAAAATGTGATTTAGACCTCAGAACACTGTAACTGCCCAACAGACTCATCTTTACTACACAGATAGAGCTGATTAGTCAAGATAGAAGAATTGCAATAAACAGTTTAATTCCTACAGAGCTGGCTAAATAAGTGATTGGAGTTTTATTATTACCTAAATCAGCCTTCCCCAAAATTCGAAGGCTTGAGTTTTTCAAGGATAGTTTGGCATTTAGGGGCTAGGGAATGAGTGCTGCTGGATTGGTTGGGATGCAATTATAGTGTTTTGGAAAACAACCCTGGTGCACTAAGTCACCCTCTACATGGGGATACAGAGATGTTAATGGTCCCAGTGGGACCAATCAATTGTCGCAAATAAAAGCCTGAAAAGGCATCTCAAAAGGCCAATCTGTACTATTCTTATCACCTGAGTAACAACAATTCAAGATGAGATTTGGGTGGGGACACAGCCAAATCATATCACCGAAAATATCTATTGATATTTCTTGTGTGTATATTTTTGTGGTTGTTGTTCCTTCCAGAGCCCTGGATGAAATTTGGCAACAATGTATCCATTAACATGCATTAATTCTACATGATCTCTTTTGCATCTTTCTTTTGTTATTCAATTGAAAGAGGAGAGGTTGCTGATTTACAAGCTTCATTTCAGGGAGAGTAAAACTTAAAAGCCAAAATTTCATCAGCTAACATGCTTAGAGTATGGAGCCTAAAGGACCTGTCAGTGAAAGGTCCTGTCACATGAAATTTACCTACATAATAAACCTATAGTTGTACCCCCAAACCTAAAATAAAAGGTTTTTAAAGGCCAATTTTAGTTTCTAGTGATTGGGGAAGTTGCAGATCTTGTCACCTATGGAATTGTGTCTGGAGTTTGTTCCTTCTGGTGGGTTCATGGTCTCACTGACTTCAGGAACCAAGTTTCCACTCGACCCAGGAAGTCCACCTGGCTTCACATACCAATAGAAGGTGTCTCCTCTAAACTGGACACCCCAAATGCTATTGGGAATTGGGTGATGACCGCTCTACCTACTTCCTGATGGATAGGGGCAAAGAAGTGGCCCTGCAGTTGTAATGTCCTTCAGAGGGGAACTCTCTAGCCCAGTCTTGGAGCCACAAGGTCGATTCAGGGGTCCTCAGTAGAAGTTGTGAGTTGAGCTCATTTGGGGTTCCATTTGTAAGACCATCTGTAGCTTGATGGCCTCGATCCTGGAGGAAACAAATTTGACAAGGAGATTAAAAATACAGGGCCCAAATGCAAGTAATAGCAAGATGGCTGTCACAGGACCTAGAAAGGGGAGAAGCCATGTCACTCAACTTCAGATGTTGGTATAAGAGTTTGAGAGGCATTGTCTGATTTCACAAGTCTTTTCCTGTAAACACTGGATGGCATCTCATATTATCCCTGACTGGTTAATATAAAAACAACACTCTTCCCCTAAGAAGGTGCAGAGTCCTCCTTTCTCAGCAGTGAGGAGGTCTAGGCCTCAGTAGTTTTGGAGAGTCACTGCTGCCAAAGAGTCTACTTGGGATTGCAGTGTAAGGAAAGATTTTGTTATTTCTTGAAAACTGTCTGAGAAATACTTTTAGAGTGTGTGATAGGTAGTAGGATAATGGAGTAGATAAACTGGCTATTCTGTTTCCTGTATCAGTGGCCATTCCTAAAACTATAAGTAGGGTTATTAGTTGCATGGCCCTGCACTGACGAACTTGAACTTTAAGGGGCACTGATAGGGTCTGATTTCCTGGGGAAATGTCAGTGTTGGGACTTAGGAAGACTAAGTTCCAGGTGCCTGTCCAGGTGGGGAGGCAGACGTAGGTTCAAGTTCCACATAAGAAGAACATGCCTTGGCTGAGTAGACAGAACTGGTTGTATATGTTAAAAAGGCTTGTGATAATAATAATAACTCATATTATTTTCATTTTCCCATACTCCTAGAGTACTTGCCAAGGTACCTCCAGAGAATAGCTGAAAAGGAGTGTTGGGAGAAAACTGAGTGGCTCCCTGTGTTCTATTTTCCCATTGGAGAAAAAACCGTTTTGTATCTACTAGGAACCATTCAAGACAGTGATAGAAAGAGGGAATGAGAAGGCTTTCATTAGTGGTGGGGATGCTGCTGCAAGGGGTCCAGGGATGAATGGTCATGCAGGGAGAATGTTTGCCATTACAACACCCAGACTGTTAAGCAGGTAGGAGGTGATAATTTTTGGAGGCCCTGAGAAGCAGACAAGCCATCTGAATGGAGCTGTATGGGTGACTCACAAGTTGCTATGATCTGTTGGTGGTTGAAGTTGTAGAGTATTATTACACTGATGGCATTGTAGGTTTCCAGGGGCAGGCCTGATAACAGATTGCACTGGATGCATAAAGAGGCTTGAAAAGTTAAGATGGTATTCGTGGTTACAGGGCCATATATGGGCTTTTCATTGCTAGTGTAATAGGTGAAAGTGGAAATGTAAGAGTGTAAAAGCTGGATTCCATGTCCTGTTAGGGTATTCTTGGTAAGCTTTGTGATAACCCAAATCTAGGAATTATTTCATGAATTAGGACTTTAACCACTTCCTGAGCATTCTCTGTCTTGCAGGGGAAGGCTTCTATCAAATTTCTAAAGATATCAGCACAGACCAACAAGTATTGAAATCCCTTTAACTTAGGCATAGGCATGAACTCTAAATACCAGTCCTGCCCAGGATAGTGCCCTATTCTTTCTTCTCCCAGAGGGGCCTTATGATAGACCATGGGGTTTTTTCTTTGGCACACATCACAGGCTTTGACTACTTGTCAGATGATCTAGAGGAGACATGTCCTTGTAAATAGGGATTTGGCTATTTGATGAGTGTTCTCAATACACATATGGAGAGTTTGGTGGAGGCTTTTAAGTATTTTCCACTGGCTGGCTTCAGGTATGAGTACCTTTCCCTTTTCTGTCATTAACCACCCCTAGCATAGAAAACTATACCCCCGTGAAATTTTCCATTCTGTTTCATTTGGGGAATACTGGGGCTTAATCTCTTGGAGAGGGTTGTTCCATACCAAGGGTCCTTCCACAGGTACTTCTAATGGGAGGTTCCGCCTGGTAGCAATTTTGGCCTCAGAGTCTGCCTGACAGTTTCTACCTTTTCTCCTTCATCTTTTTAATGGCTTTGGCAGCACAAGACTGCCACCCCCTTGGTTTTTGCACTGTGTGCAATAACTCCATGATTTCCTTGTGGCATTTAATGGGGGTTCCCCCAGAAGTTAGGAACTCCCTTTTTCTTCATATTGTAGCATTGGCTTGTAGGGTTAGATAAGCATAGTTTCTACCTATATACACATTTATTATTTTTGCTTTTCCCATTTCTAAGGCTCGGGTAAGCACCAGTAGTTCTGCTAACTGGGTGCTGATCCCTGGGTGAAGAGGGTTACTTTTCAAATACTGTTACATCACTATGGCATAACCTGCCCCTTCATCTCCCATTCTCCACAAACGAACTTCCATCGTTCTATAGGTTAAGGTCAGGATTAGCTAAGGGGACTTCTTAGAGATCCTCTTGGGTGACACAGTCTGGGCTACAATTTGTTGGCAGTCATGCTAGATCGGTCCCATGCTATGGGAGAAAAGTCGCAGGGTTGAGGGCTGCACATGTGCATACTTGAAGCAAAGTCTCAAGGAGTAGCACCTGGTATCTAAGCAGGTGGTTATCTGATAGCCATAAACTTCCTTTGGCACCTAGTGTGCCATTTACATCATGAGTAGTCCAGACAGTGAGATCCTTTCCTTGTATTATTTTGATAGCCTCTGACACTAAGATGGCCACCACTGCAACTACCCGTTAACAGTGAGGCCAGCCTTTTGCTACTACATAAATTTCCTTACTTAGGTATGCTGCTGGTTGTGGGGACACTTAGTGCGTCTGAATAAGGACTCCAAGAGCTATTTCCACTCTTTCTGTGATGTATAAAAATAATTTTTTTCATGTACGAAGGCTTAAGGCTACAGCTTGTACTAGGGCCTGCTTTAAGGTTTTGAAAACTGTTTCTGCCTCTGGTTTCCATTCCACTAGATGAGTATTTGCCCTCTGGGTGTCCTTGATTAAAGTATAGAGTGGCCTGGCCATCTCGCCGTATCCAGGGATCCATAGTTGGCAAAACTGGTGATCCCAAGGAACGTCTGCAACTGTTTAAATTTCTTAGGGCAAAGGATAAGCCAGTATGGGCTGCATTTATTCTTTGCTGAGGGTTCCTCTGGTTAAAATTAGGCCTGGATATTTGAATTGTTGTAGGCAGAGCTGGCCTTCAATTAGATGCCTTTTACCATTGATTAGCTAGAAACTTCAAGAGATCTATAGTAGACTGCTGGCATGTGGCTTCCAAACTGGTAGCGAAAAGTAAATCATCCACATTCTCAAGGACCAGTGTACCTGGACTTGAGAAGTGACCTAGATCTGGGATAGCACCTGACCAAACAGATGAGGGCTATCCCTAAATGCTTGAGGTAAGACCGTCCATGTAAGTTGGGATGTGTGGTCTGTGGGATCCTCAAAGGTAAAGAGAAACTAGGAGTTAGAGTGCAGGGGAATGGAGAAGAAGGCATCCTTGAGGTCCAGAACAGTGAACAATTCTTTTTCCTCTGTTGAGAGTGTAGAGGTATAGGTCTTGGGTGCACCTGGATATAGATGAATTTCTGCCTCATTGATGAATCTAAGATCTTGCACTAGTCTCCACTAACAATTCGGTTTTTGTACTCCTAGAATTGGAGTGTTGTAGAGACTGCTGCATTTTCTTGCTAAGCCTTGAGATTTTAGATGTCTAACAATATCCTATAATTGTTTATGAGCTTCAGACCTTAAGGGATATTGCCTTTGATAAGGAAAATTGGTGGGGTCTTTCAGCCTGATTTGGACAGGGCCAACATTTTTTGCCCTTCCGAACTGTCCTTACAATGCCCAGACTCCAGGGTTGATTCCCTCCTCAAGCAGTGGACAACAGATAAGTGACTTGTTCCCCATATTCATATGGATAATAGCTCCAGCTTTGGCTAATATGTCCCTTCCTAATAAGGGTGTGGGACTTTGAGGCATAACAAGAAAGGCATGTGAAAAGAGCAAAGTCTCCCAATTACAACTGAGGAGCTGGGAGAAATGCCTGGTTACAGGCTGCCCCAGGATTCCTCAGATGGTAATGGACCTTCAGAGCAGCCATCTGTGGCAGGATATTAACACTGAGAAGGCCACATCCATGTCCAGAAGGAAGTCAATGTCCTGGTCCTCAATGGTTAAATGTACCTGGGGCTCAGTGAGGGGGACAAAATGAGCTGGTGCTTTCCACAGGCACCCTCAGTCCTGCTGTTGGATCACCTGGTTGGGGACTGCTGGTCCTGAGAACCTTTGTCCTCTGGGGCAGTGTGCTTTCCAGTGATGACCTTGGCATAGTGGACATGGCCAAGGGGGTGACTTGTTTCTCACTGGACAATCTTTTCTAAGGTGTCCTTGAAAACCACACTAATAACAACCCCTACCAGGTAATTGGTCTGATCCATTTTCTGTCCTCTCTGAAGCACCAAGGTTTGTTTGACTGAGGGCCATGACTGTGGCCTTTCACTGATCTCCCTTTTCCTTTTGGGCCTGTTCCTCTTGGTCTCTATTATAGAACACCAAATTTGCCAGGTTTAATAATGCCTCCAGATTTTGTTCGGGGCCAGGGCTCACTTTTGGAGCTTTATCCTGATATCTGCAGCTGATTGGATATGTGTTAGGATCAATTGACCCTCGAGGGAGTTGGTTGACAGGGGAATATATTTTCTTAAGGCCTCTTGTAGCTGCTCAAGGAAGGCAGTAGGATTATTTTCCTTTCCCTGAGTTATGGTGGACATCATTGATTAATTCATGGGCTTTTTCCTATTCTCCTTAGTCCTTCTAGAACACAGGTCAACAGATGTTTGTGACTCCAGTCCCCACGATCTGAGTCTAGATCCCAGTGGGGATCCATATGGGTTACAGCTTGCTGACCAGTAGGGAATTTGTCCCTTTCTTCGGCTGTTATTCTATCATTTACTTAACTAAAATACCAGATCTCCAAACACTCAGGCTGTAGCTAAAGCCACTTTATTTTCACTAAAGGCCAGGGTTTGATCTAACAATAGCATGATATCTTTCCAAGTGAAGTCAAATATTTGCCCTGGACCCTGTAGGACATCTATATACCTATTCAGGACTATCTGAAAACATCCCCAGGTCTACCTTATCTGCTTTAAATTGGAGAGGGAGAAGGGGACATGTACCTAGGTTCAGTCAAATTCCCCTCCCCTGACAGCTTGAAGGGGACATAAGCCATAGCCTGGGGGTGTTTGTGGTCCCTTGGATATTTCTTTGCTTGTTCCCCTTCTGGGTGGGGGAGACTAGAGGAGGCTTATTACTGATAGGAAAGGGAGCTGTATAGATGGTAGGATATGAAGCTAAACTGAGAGGTCCTCCTGTGGAATGTAAATTTCAAGCTTTGCCTTGTTGTGGATTATCCTTCAATGAAAAGAAAGCTTAGACATAAGATATTTCACTCAATTTGCCTTCTCTCTTACAGGTCAAAGGACAGTATGGCATTCTAATTTATACTTCCCTCAGGTGGTCATTTTTCCCATCAGAGAGAGAATATTGAGGCCAGGCCATAGTGCAGAAAAAAAAATAAGCCACTTCTATTTCAGTGTTTGCAGATCAAATTGTTCCCAATGGCTTAGGATGCATTTCAAGGGTGAGCTTGTTGATGCCTGAGTGATTCCCATCTAAAAGAAAAAAACAAATGTGGTTTTGGTTTGCCTTTTTTCCTTGCCCAAGATCCTGCAACAGTCCCTGGACCCTGATGTTCCGAATAGTTGTGCTCGCCAAAGCAGCAGCAGAAACACTAGTTTTCCTCCTAGATCATAAGGAGGACCAATAAATGTCGGATTTAGTAGCCCTTACCAACACATTCTTGAAAATCAACACCCTTGCCTTTCCTCTTAGACCACAAAGAGGACTGAGAAAAATCAGATTTAGTGGCCCTTAGTGATGCATCCTTAAAAATCTGTAAGAGTCCTAAGCATTCTCCTCTTAGTATTGGGACCTTATCCTTGTCCTATAAAGATGATATGCATCAAAATGGAGTGGAGGGCCATACCCTTAGGGAGGGAAGGGATCTCCAGGGTTGGAAGAGTGACACCTTTTGTCCTCACTTCTCATCAATGAAAAGGAAGGATATAATTTCTGAGGCTCCCCTTATCCTAGCTTCAGGAATAGCCTTTGTTAGGCCTGCTAGTCTGAGGAGGGTTGATAAATTCCAGATCATCCCCCTCCCAACAAAGCTTCAGGTGAAAACTATGTTTTTCTGATAGGGGAGCCTGGGTACCTAAAGAAGGAACAGAGTCCCACAGTTTATACCATAAATCATTTATAGGAGAAACTAGAAGATCACCAGGGACAGGGAGTTGTTTTTAGACACAGGGCTACCTTCAGAGAAGAGAGGCAGTAGGAAAGGTTGTCTTACAGGCGTTAGGACCCAGAAGGCAAGGGTCACGATAGATAGGATAGATGGGCGAGTCTCGCTTGTGCAACATAACTTTGAAAGTTATGCTCATGGCTGCAGGGTCAACCAACTTTTTGTTGGGACCCTGGAGCTGAATGACTTTCCTCTCTGTCAACCCTTGGCTCAGCCAAGAAATGCAGGAAAAATGGAAGCTGGTTCCAGGCAAATCAATGCTCCCAACTCCAAAGATTCAGTGGTTGTTAGAGAGCCCTTTCCCAGAAAGCCTGACACCTGAGTCTTTAGTCCAGCAGCCACGCTAGTTGCTTTTAACTGGTCAACAGGTGCCTGGTATTTAGTCCCCGAATTCTAAAGAAAAATAGGACAGAATAGCAAGTGAAAAGGGTCCAGCGGTACTCACCACATGGCAATATCCTGGATGAGCCACTAGATGTGTCCAGAGTTGGTTCCTGCCAGTGGGTTCGTGGTCTTGCTGACTTCATGAATGAAGCTGCTGACCTTCACTGTGAGTGTTACAGATCTTAAAGGTGGCATGGACTCAAAGAGTGAGCAGCAGCAAGATTTACTGTGAAGAGTGAAAGAACAAAGCTTCCACAGAATGGAAGAGGACCCTAGTGGGTTGCCACTGCTGGCTGAGTTGGCCAACTTTTATTTTCTTATTTGTCCCATCCCATGTTGTCTGTCTGTCCTATCAGAATGCCCTTTTTACAATCCTCCTTGTGATTAACTACTTTTAGGTTATTATAGAGTGCAGATTTGTGCATTTTACAGAGTGCTGATTGGTGCATTTTACAATCCTCTTGCTAGCTACAGAGTGCTGATTGGTGTTTTTACAGAGCACTGATTGTTGCATTTTACAATCCCCTTACTAACTACAGAGCGCTGATTGGTGCATTTTACAATCCTCGCTAAAGAGTGCTTATTGGTGTGCTTTACAATTCTCTTGTAAGACTGAAAAGTTCTCCAAGTCCCCACTCGACCCAGGATGTCCACCTAGGTTCACCTTTCAGATAATGTTTGGTAATTATTTAACTAAGCCAACATCTTAGCAGAATTCAGGCATCTGTCATTTTTCTAACCTGCTGGTCTTTCATTAGTTTTACAAAGGTTGTTTAGTTTTAAGAAGGGCTATTATCATTTAAACTATAAGTTCAATTTCTCCCAAAGTTAGCTTGGCCTATGCTCAGCAATGATCATTGTAGTATGGTGGTGAAAGACAAGATGGTGTTGGTTAGGTCAGATCTCTTTCACTGTCATAATTTTCTCACAGTTACAAGTTTTGCAAAGGTGGTTTCAAGATGAAAGGAGTATACTCTTGTAAAGAGCGTAAAATTATTTCAGTCATTCTGTACCTGAAACAGGCACTCCCCCTTTTTGATAGTTTAAATTTAAAAAGAAAATTAATAATCCCTGGATGTTGCAGTAAATGAAAATTCCAATGCAGAAACTGTGAAAACACATGCTTCAAAACACCACATTCTTTTGTTAAACTTCAGAGATGCAAGCATTGCCATTTCCCTTGGCAAGCTTACAGAATATTTGGAGGAAATTCTGAACCTCAAAGATCAATCCATCCAGTAGGATGCTGTTTGAATAACTAAGATTTTTGAACACAAGGGACATTCATTAGCCTGCTATTGGAAAGGTTACAAAAACCCTTGTTTTGTAAGGGAGGAAGGGATTGTGGTGGAAGAAAGGCCAGTGATTCACAGCATGTTGAAAATCTTCACGATCCTCTGCAGAAACAAAATAAGCCAACAGATCATTCTGCAGAATTGTGAAAGAGAGAACAGTGAGTTAAGAAAAGATGTGCTGAAGACAGAATCATTCTGTTAGAAAATTACTCGTGCCTTAAAAATTAATTACCTCTCTCTTTAATAGGGGACGAAAGCATTGCCCTGTGGTATTAGAGGGCACCCACACTGACATTATTCATCATTGTCATATGTACCCTGAATGAAAGGATTTCTTCTCCCAGGCAAAGCCTGATGCTCTTTATGAACAAACCGTGTCAAAGATTTAGTGATGGAGACTGGTGTTGCAGAACATTTTTGGCATAAAGCACTAATTAGTAATCACTAATTAAATGGTGGGGGGCTTGCGTAATGTCTGAACATACCCACTAATCACAGCTAATCTCACATCAAGTTTCTCTGAACTTTAAAGAAATCACATTGGTAGGATGTGTCTTAAGTAAGACCAACCTCACAGTTGCAATACTGCCTCTCCTTGAAGCTGCAGGCAATGGTGACTCCTGATTTAGGCTTGGAATTTATTGTCATTGTAGGAAAAAAAAAATCTTATGACTTTCTTTGAAGCCTGGCCATTTCCTCCTTTCCAGCTCAGAGCATTTTTCCAATTGTTCACGAAACCTAATGGAAGAAAATCTGGTTAACTCTACTGGTATGCAGCCTCATCCTCTACTCTTTTTGTTTTAAAAGTAGAAGCCAACACTCAGTCTCTCATTGGAATGCTGTCAACTTTGGTTAGGAATATGCTTTGAAGTAGTTGGTTTGGATTTATGTTATTTTAGGGCTTAAAGCAGTCTGTCATCATACAAACAAGCCCCTCCCTTATGTGACACTGTTGTTCATAAAAGGCATCAGACTTTGCTCGGGAGAAATGCTCAACTAAGGACAGGAAAATGGTAAAAAACAACAACGCAAGAAACCTTCCCCAAATACTCAACTATAATATTTGTTCCTTACATACAATTTCTTTTTTTGAAGATCTACGTCATTAACTCATTTGAAGGGACATTTAGTACGTAATTTATCATAGGAGTCTGTTGTGTTTAAAGAAAAATGTGCACACAAATGGTACCTTGAACCTCGTAAAATTTACAATGACTTCTGGGATTGCTTCATGTTATTAATATTTTAGATTCATTTTGTCTTCTATTAGCCACATATATACCCAAAGATGACAAGGTATCATAATGTCAACTTAACAATAATCATTGTTTATGTAATTATTTCTGCCACAAAAATTTTTCTCTAGTTTTTTCTTTAATTTCCTGTAATTTCCACTAACACTGTAGATGCATTTTTCCTTCTACATTAGCCACATATATACCCAAAGATGACATGGTATCATAAGGTGAATGTAAACAATAATCATTATTTGTATAATTATTTCTGCCACAAAAATTGTTCTCCAGGTTTTTCTCTAATTTCCTATAATTTCCACTAACATTTTAGATTTATTTTGCCTTCTACATTAGCCATATATACCTAAAGATGACATGGTATCATAATGTCAACCTAAACAATAACTATTATCTATGTAATTATTTCTGCCACAAAAAATTTTCTACAGTTTTTCCTCTAATTTGTGGGGGACAGGGTTGTGGAGAGAGAGAATGAAGAAGGCAAGCTATGAGATAACTTTTCAAATGGTGGGGATGTGTACACAATTTTTTTGACCAACAAAAATGTCCTGTGTTCTTCTGTAGGGTTTTTAAGTACCGGTGACCAGGCAGCAAAAGGCAACTATGGGCTCCTGGATCAGATTCAAGCACTGAGGTGGATTGAGGAGAATGTCGGAGCCTTTGGCGGGGACCCCAAGAGAGTGACTATCTTTGGCTCGGGGGCTGGGGCCTCCTGTGTCAGCCTGTTGACCCTGTCCCACTACTCAGAAGGTAATAATGGTGTCCCCGGGGTGGGTGGGCAAATGCCCTGAACCAAGAAATGAATAGTCAGAGTTCATAGCTGAGATTCATGTCCAGGTTGCCAGAAGTCACTGTGGAAATTGCAACAGAAAATGCCCAAAAGACAAAATGAACCCATCTTCATATATTTTAACTCAGCTTTTTTTCCATTTGCTCTGTCACTCAGGCTGGAGTGCAGAGGCATGATCATAGCTCATTGCAGCCTCCAACTCCTGAGCTTAAGCCTTCTCCAATCTCAACCTGCTGAATACCTGGGACTAATGGTTAAATTTTAATTTTTATTTTTATAGAGAAGTGGTCTTGCTATGTTTGCTCAGGGTGGTCTCAAACTCCTAGCCTCAAGTGATCCTCCTCCCTTGGCCTCTCAAACTGCTGAGGTGACAGAATTGAGCCACCATGCTTGGTTAGCAATATCTCCTCATTTAAGTGTGTGACAATTAGGTGTCGGTTACAATGATAGGAAAAAAATAACTGCTTTAGAAGGGCGGACACTATTGTTTCTTTTGACAGTCTCACTGTATTTGAACATTTGAAATTTTATTAACTTCTAGCTACAATTTGGTAAGAGTAATATGGAAGAGAGACAGTACGTCAATAAGGAAGAGAAATAGTATGTCAATATTGCAGATTTATAGATTTTTAATCAACTGGGCTTTTAACCACGTGTTTTTTTAAAAGACACTTCTCTAATTCACATTAATTCTTTAAATCTTCTGGAAACATTAGGAACATGGCTGGTGCATTCATAGAGAAGTAGATTCTACCCATAGGAATAGTGTCTCTCTCCCTGACTCTGTCTCCCTCCCTCTCTCTCTTCCCCTTTCACTCTCCTCTTTCCCTCTCTCTTCCTGTCTCTCCCTCTCTATGTCCTCTCACTTTCTCTCTGTCTCTCTCTCTGTTTTCCTCTGTCTCTCGCCCTTCCTCTCTCCCCTCCTTCCACTGTCTCTCCTCGATCTCCCTCTCCCTCACACTATCCTCTCACCTCTTTCTCCTTTTCTCCCCTTCTCTCTTTGTCTCTCTTCCTCTCTCTCCCTCTCCAGTTCCCCAGTTTCTTCCTCACTGTCTCTCTTCCTCTCTCACTTCCCCCCCTTCACACTCTGTCTCTCTCCCTTTATTTCTTTCTCTCTGTCTCCCTTTTTCTCCCTCTGTCTCTTTCCCTTTCTTCCTCTCCTGCAAACATGACTTTCAGCAAAGGACCACCTTACTGGTCAGTTCAGCATGAGGCACTTGGAAGTGTCCACAGTTTCCTTTATCTCTCTCTCTCTAACACACTTTTAGGAAGAACCTCCCTGCTGGGCCAGTCAGCATGACATCCTCTACTTGTCCCCGTGGGAGCTCCAAACCCTCCCTGGGGCCCTGCTAATAACCTGGAAAAAGCTGCTGTTGGCAAAATAGGGGAAGGGGAAACCGCAGAAACACACTCACATCATGTTACCTCAATCAGACATGCACTTGTATGTGGTAGTTAGCATAGGCAACCACACCCAACCAGATGTGCACTTGGGCCTCTAAGTAGTAATTGCTCATGCTGCCTAAGTGGTGGTCAGCATAGACAGCCACACCCCTGAGCCCTGCCAGAGCACCTGAGGCTCACTCAATGCAATTCCCTGATGCTAATGCAAGAGGGAGGCTCTCTGCAGTATCAGATGAAACTTCAAAGAGAAGTCCACAGGAATTTGTGGCAATTGGTTCTGGAAGCTGGATCACCAATTCTTGGCTGTGGCCTAAAAGGAGAAAGCAGGAAAATCTGCAGAACAGATCCAGCCCTCTGTTACCTGGCCAGGTACAAATGAATATTCATAATAGCCATCTCAGTCATCAACACAGCATTGTGATATGTTCTGTGTCATTGGTAGGCTTCAGAATGGCACCACACTGACTGGACCATTTACATCTGAAGTACTCAAAATCTTAATGGAATTTTTCTTTCTTTTCTTTTTTTTTTTTTTTTTTTGAGACGGAGTCTCACTCTGTCACTCAGGCAGGAGTGCAGCATCATGATCTTCACTCATGTCAACCTCTGTCTCCCAGTTTTAAAATGATTGTCCTGCGTCAGCTTCCCAAGTAGCTGGGCTTACAGGTGACCATCACCATGCCCAGCTAATTTTTCTATTTTTAGTAGAGATGGTTTTTTACCATATTGGCCAAGCTGGTCTCAAACTTCTTGACCTGATGTGATCCGCCTGCCTCAGCCTCTGGAATTGTTATTTATTAAAGTTATCAGCTGGGTAAGGTGGCTCATGCCTGTTATCCCAGCAGTTTGGGAAGCTGAGTGGGGAGTATGGCTTGAGCCCAGGAGTTTGAGCCCAGCCTGTGCAACTTAGTGAGACCACATTTATACAAAAATAAATAAATAAAAACAAGCCAGGGCTGGTGGTGGACGCCTGTGGTCTCAGTTGCTTGGGAGGCTGAGGAGGGAGGATCACTTGAGCCAGGGAGGTCAAGTCTTCAGTGAGCTCTGAAGGTGTCACTGCACTTCACCCTGGGTGGCAGAGAGAGACCCTGTCTAAACATAAAGAAATAAAATTAAAAAAATACCTTTCTTTAAAGTAACTGCAGGACTTTCTTCACTTCCTGCACCATCTGAACAAGTTTCTAGATCACTATGCTCCTCAGTGTCTTCTTTAGCAAGATAGGACAGATGAGGATTTCCTAAAATCCTCCAAACTCTGAATTCCTTGAGTTCGTAGTTCATAATGTTTTGCCCAGGAGACCAAATGACTTTTGACCTCAAACTAGTGCTAATAACAGGGAAGAGGAAAGGCTCATATTTGTAGTAACTTTATTTTAAAAACAGGAACAATGAATAATCTGATGAACCATTTGGCATAGAGATTTCTATGGCATTTTTGAAAATACATAGATATTCACATTTCTCAGTTGATATGACAGTTGTAGATTTAGAAAGCAGTCAGAACCAACTTCAGGAGTAATGAAACACATGTAAGCCACACTAATTAGAGGAAAGTGTTAATTATTTAAGTCAGCAGGTTGGAAGTTATTATTTGCTGCAAAAATACCTTTTTGTTGGTCATTTATGCAAGGCAGTGCTTCTAAACAGCCCATCAGTATTATCAAGAATTTTGAAAAATATGAGCCCGGCACTGTGGCTCCTGCCTATCCTCCCAGTACTTTGGGAGGCTGAGGTGTGAGGATTGCTTGAGTCCAGGAATTCAAGAACAACCTGGGCAACAAAGCAAAACCTTATCTCTGCAAAACATTACAAAAATTAGCCAGGTGTGGTGGTGCACACCTGTAGTCCCAGCTACTTGGGATGTTGAAGTGGGAGGATCAGTTGGGCCTGGATGGCAGAGGCTGCAGCAAGCCAAGATCATGCCACTGCACTCCAGCCTGGGTAGCAGAGAGACACTCTGTCTGAAATAAAGATAAAGATAAAAATACCCAAATTGTTGGCCTTAGGAATTCTAGTCTAATGAAGGCAAAGTACCTGTGGAAAGAGACAGTTTTATGAAGATATTCACCCCAGTATTATTATCATAGCAAAGAATGAAATGGAAAAGCTACAAGATCAAAAGGAGATGAAAGTTATTAGAAACCATATGCAATAACTCAAAAGAATAATAATTTACCTAAGATATTCAACAGCTGGAAAAATGCAGTGTAGACAACTATATAAATATTGGGCTCAGCTATTCAAAACAATGTTTGAATGGAAGAGAAAGATGTAAGAAAGAATTATGTTAATTCCCAACATACTCATTTTGCTAAGGTGAGTTTTGCTTTAATGTTTGACTTATGGGTGATTTTTTTTCATTATCCAAGTTTTTTAGTGTCATCAGGAGTTATATTACTTTCCTAACATACAAATAACTGTTTTATATATGTTACTTATATATATGTGTGTGTGTATATATATATGTGTGTGTGTATATATATGTGTGTGTGTATATATATGTGTGTGTATATATATGTGAGTATATATATATATACACACAAAAATATGCTGCTACCTAGATTATTGCCAGTAGTTATAAGAAGGGTAGGAAAGGAACATCTCAGAGCATTTTTATCTAATTCTGAATGTTTTAACTAATGAAAGTATCCAACAGATTACATATTGACATTTTTTTCTTTTGGACATTTTAAAATAATCTTCAGAGCCAAGTACTCAAGTCAATACTTGTACATTTCTGACAGAAATGTTTCCAAGATGGCTTTGCTGACATAATGGTTAAAGCCATATTGGTTTCAAGTTGCAGTCCTGTGTGTCATCTTTGGGCAATCCTTTAGTCTTTAAAAATCATATCTTCCTGATGACAATCACATTTTCCTCATATTTGATTGCTTCCATGACATGAAAAATCAACACGGCATCTGGACTTACAGCTGAATGCTTTATTCTTTAGTGCCTGACTCAGTCTGGGATTTACAGAAACGTCAGGAAGTGATCGTAAATGGAATGCTGTGATTTTTACGGCCTGCCGTCTCTTGTCCTGTTATGATTAAAAATACAGATTTTATACTTCTGGACATTCATGTAGTAGACTGAGCTGATGGAGAATTTTAAGCTATACAGAATTTTACTCCTAAAATTGCCCATGCTTTTTCAAGTTTCTCACCAAGTGGAGAATTTTTCCTATGTGGCAAAAAAATAAAAAAAAAAACAAAAACAAAAACAAAACAAAACAAAAAAATCTCTGAGTTACCAGTGGATATAGTTTTGAAGAAAATGACAAAAAATACTTGTTAGTTGGGTACCTGGTTGAGGATTAGGCATAGCTAAGCTAATGCATTTACATTAATTCCCAAACCGTAATATCTTCATTAGACGCAGGGTAGAAATGCATTTCTAAATTAGCACTCTGAAATTCATTCAACTGGATTTATTTTTTCCCATAATGAAGAGACACCTGGATTTGTTTGTGAGACAAGATAGCCTTTGATCTTTTACTAGTTTAAGGCCTGTTTTTTTGTTTGTTTATTTTCCCCTTTGGAAATGGGAATGTAGTTGCTGTTGCATTTTTATGTATGGCATCTGAAGGTAAGGAAGCAAAAATGACACTAAATTGTGGAAGAAAAAAAGAAATCACATGTATTTTACCAGTGCACGAAAAGCCTCAATGTGGTTTCATTTCCTTAAACTCGTGTGTGTGTGTGTGTGTGTGTAGAATAACATTCCCTAAAATGAATGTTCAGGGGGAGGGAATCAAAATGAAAATGGGTAAAAGAGCCCTCTGACAGAGCTGAATGCTACTACATCCAGAAATTCACATGCTTGCGAAACAATCACAGCCTTCATTGCTCAGTAAAAGCTGTTTCTGTCCTGCAGGTTTTCATTTGCATGTCCGCAATTTTGCACCTGCAGGTCTCTTCCAGAAGGCCATCATTCAGAGCGGCACTGCCCTGTCCAGCTGGGCAGTGAACTACCAGCCGGCCAAGTACACTCGGATATTGGCAGACAAGGTCGGCTGCAACATGCTGGACACCACGGACATGGTAGAATGTCTGAAGAACAAGAACTACAAGGAGCTCATCCAGCAGACCATCACCCCGGCCACCTACCACATAGCCTTTGGGCCGGTGATCGACGGCGACGTCATCCCAGACGACCCCCAGATCCTGATGGAGCAAGGCGAGTTCCTCAACTACGACATCATGCTGGGCGTCAACCAAGGGGAAGGCCTGAAGTTCGTGGACGGCATCGTGGATAACGAGGACGGTGTGACGCCCAACGACTTTGACTTCTCCGTGTCCAACTTCGTGGACAACCTTTACGGCTACCCTGAAGGGAAAGACACTTTGCGGGAGACTATCAAGTTCATGTACACAGACTGGGCCGATAAGGAAAACCCGGAGACGCGGCGGAAAACCCTGGTGGCTCTCTTTACTGACCATCAGTGGGTGGCCCCCGCCGTGGCCACCGCCGACCTGCACGCGCAGTACGGCTCCCCCACCTACTTCTATGCCTTCTATCATCACTGCCAAAGCGAAATGAAGCCCAGCTGGGCAGATTCGGCCCATGGCGATGAAGTCCCCTATGTCTTCGGCATCCCCATGATCGGTCCCACAGAGCTCTTCAGTTGTAATTTCTCCAAGAACGACGTCATGCTCAGTGCCGTGGTGATGACCTACTGGACGAACTTCGCCAAAACTGGGTACGTTCTTCTTCATGTTGGGGTATCACTGTCCTCTTCGCTTGTTTGGTTCCTCAGTATAAGTGTTGCTTCTACCGGCATGTGCAGGAGCACACATGCATGCACACATATACACATACAGACACAAGCTTACACACACAGCAATAACAGGCAGCTTCTCCCCCATCATCTGTGAGAACTCAAATTTTCTTTATTACCAAAGTGTTTTACTCCTAAAACACTTTAGTGTCAAACCAGATTTTTACTAGATTTCTAATTGCCCATTAGAAATTCTAGAATTCCTACTTGCAGGTGCAGGACTTACACATATATAATGGTTTTGTTAACAGCTGATCACTTTTGTTTTTGTTCTTACTGTTGTTGAAGAGACACAGTCTCACTCTGCTGTCCAGGCTGGTGTGCAGTGATACAACATAGCACACTACAGCCTTGAACTCCTAGGCTCAAGCCATTCTCCTGCCTCAGCCTCCTGAGTAGCTTGGATTACAGGTGACTGCCATGGCTGGCTAATGTTTATTTTTTTTATTTTTTTGTAGAGACAAGTTCTCACTCTGTTGTCTAGGCTGGAGTGCAATGGTGCAAGCATAGCTCACGGTGGCCTAGAAATCATGGATTTATTTGATCCTCACATCTCAGCATCTCAAGCAGCTGGGACTACAGACATGCACCACCATGCCCTTGCATGGATTTTTGTAGAGACAGGGTTTCCTATGTTGCCCAAGCTGTTCTGAAACTCCTGGTCTCAACGGATCCTCCCTCCTCACCCTTCTGAATAGCTGGGACTACAGGTGAATGCCACCATACCCAGCTAATTTTAAAATTTATTTTGTTAGAAACAGGATTTTGCTATGTCACCTGAGCTACCACTTGGGGAATTGTTTAGATTGCCTGACCATATGAATACAAACAATTGTCACAATATTTATAGAGAAATATAAATAAATATTCCTATATATATTTAACATATATAGAGAGAAAAGAACTATTCCCATATGTATAATATATATATTATATATATATTTGCATTTGTATATATATACACATAAATACCAGTATATTTCTGTGTATATACATATACAAATAGTAATATATATATACTATATATGCATATACAATATATAATATAGAAATACAAACAACTACAAATATATACATACTATATATACAAGTACAAATTTATGTACATATACATATATATTTGTATTTCCTTTGCTGTATAAATAGATAGAGAGCAAAGAAAAATATATGATATTTATATTATATTGTTATATGTCATGCATATATAAACACATACACACACATATGTCACAGGAAAGCTCATTTATTGACCTAAATATAGTAGAAAATATACAAAAAACACACATACAACAGAGACTGCCAATATTCTACTGAGTGGATTCTCTTCAAACCATGGGAGAAAAGAAACAAAAGCATCCTAAATAGGTCCAAATATTGTGGCATCTTTTAATTTTCTCCTGTCTAATAATGTAACTATGGAAATCAATGGAGTATCATTCTGTTCTACCTGTGTGTGCCACCATCATCCACCCTGAGTTTCTTTAAACTGAATAGAAGAGCAACATGTGCATGTCACCCAGGGAGGGTCAATCTTCCCATGTGGAATGAGGCTCTCAGACTGCAGTGGCCCTGCCACGCATGAGCTGTACACAGTAATTCTGATAAGATCAGAGGACACGATTTTTGTTTGTTTGTTTGGTTGGTTGGTTTTTTTGGCAAACATATAGCATGTTAGCATGTTTTTGAAGTGGAAAATGTATCATCTGGATATCAACTTTCCAAAATCAGACTGTGTAGATTTGGTCTGAGAATGGCTACCAGGAGGAGAACAGAGGAGGGACCAACAGTTGTTGGAGATGCTCGTCTATCACTGAAAGGTTCTTTCCTGCATGAAGAAATGATTTAAATCAAATTCATATTTTTTTTCTAAGTAAACCTTGTTTATTAGTTAGCTTGGGCTGCTGTTACCAGAGTGCCAAAATCTGTATGGCTGTGCCGGGCAGAGTGGCTTATGCCTGTAACCCCAGCACTTTGGGAGGCCAAGGCCGGAGGACTGCCTAAGGAGGTCAAGAGTTTAAGACAACCCTGGGCAACATAGTGAGAGTCTGTCTCTACAAAACAAATGATGCCCCACAAGCCGCAAAAACCAGCAAGTTTTTATTAGGGATTTTCAAAAGGGGAGGGAGTGTGCAAATAGGTGTGGGTCACAGACATCAAGTACTTTACAAGGTAATGGAATATCACAAGGCAAATGGAGGCAGGGTGAGATCACAGGACCACGGCAGCGGGGCGAAATTAAAATTGCTAATGAAGTTTCGAGCACCATTGTCATTGACAACATCTTATCAGGAGACAGGGTTTTGAGAGCAACTGGTCTGACCAAATATTTATTAGGCAGGAATTTCCTCTTCCTAATAAGCCTGGGAGCGCTATGGGAGACTGGGGTCTATTTCACCCCTACGGCCTCAACCATAAGAGATGGGCTCACCTAGGGGGGCTGTTTATAGGCCTATACTTCCAGGCGAGTATTCTCTTTCCCAGGGATGTTCCTTGCTGAGAAAAAGAATTCAGCAATATTTTTCCCATTTGCTTTTGAAAGAAGAGAAATATGGCTCTGTTCCGTCTGGCTCACTGGCAGTCAGAGTTTAAGGTTATCTCTCTTATTCCCTGAACAATTGCTGTTATCCTGTTCTTTTTTCAAGGTGCCCAGATTTCATATTGTTTAAACGCACATGTTCTACAATTTGTGCAGTTAATGCAATTATTACATGGTCTTGAGGCAACATACATCCTCATCAGCTGACAGGATTAAGAAATTAAAGTAAAGACAACATAGGAAATCACAAGCGTATTGATTGGGGAAGTGATAAGTGCCCATGAAATCTTTACAATTTATGTTTAGAGATTGCAGTAAAGGCAGGCATAAGAAATTATAAAAATATTAATTTGGGGAACAAATAAATGTCCATGAAATCTTCAGAATCCATGTTCTTCTGCCATGGCTTCAGCCAGTCCCTCCGTTTGGTGTCCCTGACTTCCCACAACACTCAGTATTAGGGTGGGAGTGATCCAATGTCCCAGGTGCCATCTGTTACCCCTTTCTTTGACTAGGAAAGGGAATTCCCTGACCCCTTGCACTTCCCAGGTGAGGCGATGCCTCGCCCTGCTTCAGCTCACACTTGGTGCGCTGCACCCACTGTCCTGTGACCACTGTCCGACACTCCCCAGTGAGATGAACCCGGTACCTCAGTTGGAAATGCAGAAATCACCCGTCTTCTACATCGCTCATGCTGGGAGCTGTAGACTGGAGCTGTTCCTATGCAGCCATCTTGGCTCCACCTACCAGTCTTCATATATTTTATAGAACCATTAAAACAATAGTGAAATCTAAATAATGCTGTTAAATTCTCATTAACTCCTCCTGACTCCCAAAGGCTATGATACTGAGGCTGGCTATGTCACTATTAAAAAAAAAAAAAAAGAAAAAAAAAGATACGAAAAGATAAAGGAAGTTAAATCATTTTATGAGGTGACTATTATCATGACTGGCATCAAATGGATGCTTTTACCAAGATATCATGAAAGTCTGAAAGAGCCGTGAGAATACCAGTGATCTCTCTGTTACTGAGTGCTTTTTAATGCCATGAATCTATTTCTTAAAGTCACCTGGTTTAGAGCCTGTGATTTCCACCCTGCATTTAGGGAGTACATTCACATTGCCATTTATGGTCTGTGTTGAGGGTGCTTCTAGCTTTTGTGAAGGCCCTGACATCACCGGAAGAGAGGAGGAAGGAAAAACCACTAGAACCACCAGAGCAGAGATTCTCTGATGCTACTCAAATTAAAAACTTCAGATAGAGAGTTCACTGAGGTAATGAGAGCCTGAATGTCAGTCTGTCTGAAGTCTCTATTTTTGTTTCTTCCATCCATAGGAAACATCCCTGAAATAACAGAGTGTATTAATGCAGTGAGTTCTTTTGTTTCATTAGAAATGTATTAGAATGACTCAAATGATTCATCAAGGAAGTTACTCAGAACTTACATGTCATGTGAAATGCATGATGTGGATTCAAATATAAATGTTTTAAGTGATCACACTTGTTTGGCAGCCCTATAAGAGAAAGAAATGAGGAATTTCACTGTTGCTAGTTATTTGCTTATTGTAAACTGGATGGTGGCCTGATCCCTCCAGGGCAGAGAAAGATTCCCTGGTCGTCAGGTGCAGAGAACAAATGAAACTGATACCTGTAAGGAGAAAACATGGGATGTATCTCATCTGCTGTCATGGTGTGACCTGGCAAGTTTAACACCATTCTACAGAGCACACACTCAGACAATGACTCACAGAAAAGGAGAGGGTATTTCTGCATATCCTCACTGTTCCCTTCCAGCACTGGAGGTGACAAGAGGAAACAAGAATAGCTCCCAGCGTGTCTGTCAGTACACAGTGCTGTGGAGAGAGGATCACATTGTGCCAAGACATACTTCCCCACTCTCAGTGGTCATCATGTCATGTGTTTTAAACCTGCAGGCATAGCACAGTCTCCTGATGACAAATGTTTGTGGAGATGAAGTGGATGGTGCCTGGATGCTTCTTTACAGACATCTCAAAGCAGATGGTTCTGATTCTTACTATGAGTTTAAAAGTACATATACCTGGTATGCATATACCTTTGGAATTTGGATGATCACAGAAAAATGATGTTGGAATGTGCATGTCAGGAAAAATTAGGAAGGGAGGATGAAGGGACTGAAGGAAGGAGAGTTGTGATGAAGGAAAGAAGGGAAGGAGGGAGGAAGGAGGGAGGAGGGGTGGGAGGGAAAGAAGAGAGAGAGAGGAAGGGAGGGAAAGAAGGAAGGAAGAAGGAAGGGAGGGAATCAAGAAAGGAGTAAAGGAAGGGAGGAAGTAAGGAAAGAAAGAGGGAAGAGGGAGAAGAGAAATGAAAGATGTAAGAAGGGAAGGAAGGTGAAAGGAAGGAAGGGAGGAAGGAAGGGAGGAAGGAAGGAAGAAAAGAAGGAAGCAAAGAAAAGAAAGTGAGAGAAAAGAAAGAGAGGAAGGGAGGAGGAAGAAAGAAGAGAGGAAGGAAGGAAAGAGAGATTAGGGAGAGAGGCAAGGATAAAAATGGATGGAGACAAAAAAGAAGGAAGGGAGAGAGGAAGGAAGGAAGAGAGGGAGAAAAAAGAGGGAATGGAGGAGGAGAGGAAGAAAGGATTGAGGGAAGGGAGGGATGGGTAAGGGAAAGAAGAAAAACAGGGAAAGGGAGGGTGAGAGATAAAAGAGGGAAGGGAGTAGGGGAGGAAGGAAAGAAGGAGGGAGGGAGGGACAATTGGATCCTTGCTTACAAATCATGTCACCTGTATATTTTCATGTTAATATTAGGTAAGAGGGCCCTCCCATCTTAGAAAGGCAGATTCAGCAAGCACACACAGTAGAAATGAGAAGAAAGTTGCTGCAGAAGCTCTAAACCATGAAAGCCTTGATCAAGACAGGATGTTGAAATCAGTGAATGTCAGGGCCTCAAATAATCCTTGCTATTTTTTAATTATTATTTTGAATAGGGAAGCAAGTGCCCAGGCCTGTGCCTGAGGGGGATTCTCCCCTGTAGCAAGGAGGTGTTTCAATGTTAGTCCAGGTCACGGGACTAAAATCATGCTTGAAGAGAACTGAGTAAGCCCAAACATGCAAAGCCATTGTAGAAATAAGGTAGATTAAAACCATTTTTGTAAATGAGAAGCACCATCAAGCAAAAGTGAAAACTAACTCTGAGGTTTGAAAGGGGCTCTAGAGAATTAAACTTATTTTCCTCTAAAATTATTTGGGAAATAGGAGAAAAGGGGTTTGTCTAAGCTGATCAATAAAATGCAGGTGCCCATTGATCCAGGATTCTCTCATTTTGAGCTCTATGTGGAAAGAGATCGGCAAAAAGGAGTGGGGGAACCTTGGTCTTTTTTTTTTTTTTCTTCCGAGACAGAGTCTTTCTGTGTCACACAGGCTGGAGTGTGGTGGTGCGATCTCATGTGATATCAGCTCACTGCAACCTCCGCCTCTGGGTTCAAGCAATTATCCTGTCTCAGCATCCCAAGTAGCTGGGATTACAAGCTCCCATCAGTGTACCCAGCTAATTTTATTTTTAGTAGAAACAGGGTTTCACCATGTTGTCCTGGTCTCAAACTTCTGACCTCATGATCTGTGCACCCCAGCCTCTCTAAGTGCTGGGATTATAGGCTTGAGCCACTGCGCCCAGCCAAATCTTGGTCTTTTTATAAGATATGACAAAGAGCAGTGCTTTAAAGTAATCAAACAATACATTATAATATGTAATAGAAGAAGTTGTGTGCTATTGGAAGTCAGAAATGGGAAAAGAGTTTTGTAATGGAAAATCAGATCAACATGTATTTTCATTTTTTATGTTGTTGCACTGAGTCTGAGGCTTGTACATCAGATTGATTTCTATCTTTTTTGCATCAGACACCATCACTGCTGTTGAATGTTCTCTATTCTATCGATAATTTATATTCAACCATTGCTAAATCTGTTGAGGAAAAAAGAAGTCCCAATGAAGTGTTTAGCAGGGATTGGTTACAGAGAGTTGCAGCATAATTCTAGTTGTAAAGGTGACCTTTAGTACCAAAAAGGGATTTTAAGCTGAATGAATGAACATCCTCCCCTGGTGTGGTGGAGGAGTCACTGAATGTATAATAAACTAGTTTGCTAACAATGTTTTGGATATAAGGAAAACCTGTACTACTTAAAGGAACAGCTGAGAGTGTTCATGGATATTTTTAGAGAGATCATAGTACTATATCCATCTCTAGCTAAAGAAATGAACAAGACCTTAGAAATGCACTTGAGTCTCTCCTGCCAAGATTACATCTCAAATAGAACAGGTGGAAATGGCTGTGTTAGGTGCTAGGGGATAAGGAGGAAGACAGGCATTGAGTCTTTTACTAGAGACACCAACTAGTGTTTCTATCCTCAGTCATTACAATCTTTAATTTTACTCACAGGAATTTAAACATTTCTTATGCTGAATAAAAACTAAAAAAATAAAACACTGATATCACACATCTAGACCTCACTGTCTGCAGGGTTTGGTAAGGGAGAATGACGTGGGCTGTCATAATCTCCACAAGCTTATCAGTGCTTAAGAATTCTGGCTATGCATCCCTGAGATCTTTAATAGACAGATTACATCGGGCAGCAGCTCACTTATCTGGATTTCCCAAATCCTCTCCTTTATTCTTCAAGAATACATGTTTTTTATTTATTTTTTAAAGAACAGAATAAATGTTTTTTCTTTACCTTTCGAATATACCCTGAATCCTTCAAAAATTGCCTAATAGTCAACATGAACAGAATACTCCTTTTCCTAGATTCTCACTGCTTAGTAGATGAGATAGCCACACATCTAATAGACCCAATTTAGAAAAATTGGATCCATGAAAAAAACGAGGAATCTTCACTTCCATTTGTTTCTTTAGAACACTAAAAATTAATAACAAATATTAGTACGAAGTTTTTCCTAAAATATTTATTCATTTATTTTTCTTTCAACACACATTAAGTAAAAATTTTATAATTATTTCAGAAGGCTTAAAGAAGCAAAAGAAACATGAGATGATAAAATGAATCCAGTGTTTTTTCAAAGCCGTATCAAAATGTATGCATAACAAATAAAAAGCAGTAGACTTTTCAAATATATTTTTTATGAATAAATATGAGATCTCATGGTATTCAAACTTATGTGATTTTATATATATATTTGTTTTCACCCTCTTAGTAACGTGAAAGCACGGCAGTTAGTGTGCATTCAAGTAAAAGGTAGAGGTCAACATTCTTTTTCTTCTCTATTACATTATACATCTTATATCTGTATCTATAGATAGATATACATGTACACATATGTACATATGTTATACATACATATATATACTGCATATAGTATATGGTTAGTATACAGTATAAACTCTGGTACACAGTATACTTATATATAGTATGTAATATACAGTATACCATTATATACTCTATAATGTACATAATATAGAATTATAGTATGTACTATGATACACAGTATATCACTCCATCACTCCCTAGTTCCCCCTCCCTTGCAATATTGTAGGTGTTCTAATTTTTATATTGGAAGAGAAGGGATAATATTTCCTGAATTCTTACCATATGTCAGACATTTTGTCATTATCTTTCAACCTTCATCACGTGTCTCCAAGCCTGATATTCTTATTCTCTATGTAGATGGGTAAGTTAAGGCCAACAGTGGCTGGAAAATTTGCTCAATATTTCACAGCTGTTAATGAGCCAGAGCTTCAGAAATTTGAATACAGGGACATTATTTCCTTTACGACCACCACAGACTCAGATTGAGGGGAGAAAATCTTCCTTTATCACATGTGGCATCTCTGAGTCAAGTATATTGTTCAAATCCTGCACAATATCTGACAATGACTAGACATATGCTCTTCCTTGGTCCTGTAGCCTTCTGCCATACAGGTCAATATGCAATGGTTGGAGGCAACTTCACAAAAGTCCCCCTAAGGAGGAGTTACCTGGAGGATGGACTTTAGATTACACCTGGAACCATTGATCAGGATGTTGCAACTCCCTGCCTGCCTGGGTCTGCACATTACATCTCAATGCTGAGTACTAACCATTAGATGACATTTTACCATGCACAATCTCAATTTTTTGTAACAATTAAACCTTAAGATGTAATTGGTTTTATAGCTTACTTTATCAACCATAAGGAAAGGTAGAAATGAGAATTTGGTATATTTGTTTTTTGAAGGGGAAGTGTTATCTTAAAAGGGTTAGTTGCAAAGATGTTTAAAGGCTCTATGCTTTATGAATTATCTCCAAATTTTTATGATTCTCCTTCTACCTCTGCCCACTTGTGCAAATAATAATAAGATAATTCTTCAGTGTATAGCTTCCAAGCACAATTTAGCATCTGCAGCAGCCCTCAGCTTGTTTCTGGGTGTCTTATTTATACTAAATATGTTAACCTTGGCGTAAATATATGTACCATTTTAACAAACTTCTTACAGCTGCTGTAATGTGCTTTCATCTTTTCTGGACTCTGTCTTCAAAAATTGTCCACGTGTGTATGTATTTCACTTTCAAATAGAGAGCAAACAAATGATGCATGTGTTGACTTGCAGCTTTTAATTATAAATCCTATTTTATTTTGAGTGTTAATATCAATTTTCATTGCTGTAACTGCAATATCTGTTCATTTACTTCAAATGCAATTATTGAGTAAGAAAGAGAATGCCCACTTGTTGAAAAATTCTTAATCAGAATTTCTCAGCCTGAGTACTGTTAACATTTGGGTCCAGATAACTTCTTTGCTGTGGGGGTCTCTCCAGTGCACCAGAGGGTGTTTAGTAGCATCCCTAACCTCCACCCTTCATAGGAACTGCCCTCTGTCTACAAAAACCAAAAATGTCTCCAGACCTTCCCAAATACCCCTCTGGGGCAAATCACTCCTGGATGAGTTTTGCAGTTCAGAAACAGTGAAACTTGAAATACTGAAATTTTTCCCAGAGACACTTAGTTTTCCTTTATTTTTGAAGATCATTTGATGCATTAAAAAATAGTAAACATGTTATAAAAATTGAATAATGATGCTGTCAGGATTTATATTTAAAAGAAAAATAAGAGCAATTTTTAAAGGAAAAGACAACATGATAGACATGCCTAGGATGAAAGCAGAATGTACCTTTGCTGCTTGGGTATTTTGTGCTCATTGATAAATATATATGAAGAGCAGATTGTAACTTCCTGATTTATTGGTTTAAGATAATTTCATATCACATGTGGAAGAATATGACCTTTCTTTTTTTCTTCCTTCTATCCCCAGTGATCCAAACCAACCAGTTCCTCAGGATACCAAGTTCATTCATACAAAACCCAATCGCTTTGAAGAAGTGGCCTGGTCCAAGTATAATCCCAAAGACCAGCTCTATCTGCATATTGGCTTGAAACCCAGAGTGAGAGATCACTACCGGGCAACGAAAGTGGCTTTCTGGTTGGAATTGGTTCCTCATTTGCACAACTTGAACGAGATATTCCAGTATGTTTCAACAACCACAAAGGTTCCTCCACCAGACATGACATCATTTCCCTATGGCACCCGGCGATCTCCCGCCAAGATATGGCCAACCACCAAACGCCCAGCAATCACTCCTGCCAACAATCCCAAACACTCTAAGGACCCTCACAAAACAGGGCCCGAGGACACAACTGTCCTCATTGAAACCAAACGAGATTATTCCACCGAATTAAGTGTCACCATTGCCGTCGGGGCGTCGCTCCTCTTCCTCAACATCTTAGCCTTTGCGGCGCTGTACTACAAAAAGGACAAGAGGCGCCATGAGACTCACAGGCACCCCAGTCCCCAGAGAAACACCACAAATGATATCACTCACATCCAGAACGAAGAGATCATGTCTCTGCAGATGAAGCAGCTGGAACACGATCACGAGTGTGAGTCGCTGCAGGCACACGACACGCTGAGGCTCACCTGCCCTCCAGACTACACCCTCACGCTGCGCCGGTCGCCGGATGACATCCCATTTATGACGCCAAACACCATCACCATGATTCCAAACACATTGATGGGGATGCAGCCTTTACACACTTTTAAAACCTTCAGTGGAGGACAAAACAGTACAAATTTACCCCACGGACATTCCACCACTAGAGTATAGCTTTTCCCTATTTCCCCTCCTATCCCTCTGCCCCTACTGCTCAGCAATGTAAAAGAGACAAATAAGGAGAAAGAAAATCTCCAAACCAGGAATGTTTTTGTGCCACTGACTTTAGATAAAAATGCAAAAGGGCAGTCATCCTGTCCCAGCAGACCCTTCTCATTGGCATTTTCCAGTATTGTGAGATCAATTTCTGACCATATGAAATGTGAAAAGTATATGTTTCTGTTACAATACTGCTTTAAGATCTAAACCATGCCAACAGATGTTTCGTGTGACTAGGACATCACCATTTCAAGGAACTGTGTGTTTCCAACATCATGGTAGCAGCACACACTTCCAAAGCTCAGCCAGGGACACTTAATATTTTTTAATTACAATGGAAATTTAAACATTTTTATGTGGGCTACACAATGGATGGCTCTTCTTAAGTGAAGAAAGACTCTATAGGCTTTTACACAGCACATGAAGCAGTAATCCAGAAAGAAGGAAATGCAGAATTTTATTATCAAAGTAAGCGAATTGACTGTGCAGAAAAATTGTAGGGTTCTGTGGAAGGAGGTATTCTGCCAGCCTGAACTATATTTAAGAAACTTTGTAAAAAATAAAAATGTATATAGCTGTGAGCTCAAACAAAAACTGCAGACAAACAAAAAAGAGAAAAGCTTTTATTTGTGTTTTCAGTTTGAAAGAACTTTTAGCAAGGTTGTGCTTTCAAACACATATTAGTCCTACCACCTTAGTTCCTCTACAGCAAAAGAGGCTTTTCTTCTTAATTACATGTAAACAAAGACATGGGATTTTCTGACGTAAGATTTTCATTTGTAGGAATATGTGATGTCAAATGGAAGACTCAGAAGTTTTGTGTGGCCTATTTCTCCCTGTCAGGTTGCACAGATGCATGTAGAGCATTCTTAGGAGACCATTGTTTTAGAAAACTTTGATTTGTACATGTTAGTTTTCATGAAATTGCAACACAGAGATAGGTCCTAAAAGTGGAATGTATTTAAAACTTGTTGAATTAGACACACACACACAGACACACACAAAGAATCAGCAGAGAAAACAAAATACAAGTCCTGTTCTGTAGTTCTTGCCCTTTGAATATATTTGGGAAGAGTTGCTTCCTATTTCAGGACCCTGCCAAAAAAGAAGAAAGCTTGCCTTTGGTGGGGCTATGCCCCTTGGAGTAAATACAGCTCTGTGTTCCCTAGCAGCTGCCGGAGGATTTGGCTGATGAAGTACCTGCTCAGCTTAGCTAATCAGATTAAAGGAAGACATGTATGTCTTTTGTTTAAGCACCTAGTCCCTTATGTATCAGTAAACAGGTTTTTAAAAATCTTTTATGTCATTTATAGGATAAAACATATGCTTGTCTGAAAATATCACCTTTTGTGGATTTATCTGATCACCAAATAATAAATATTAAGAAGAATGGGGGAAAAAGGATAGAATATTAAAACTGCTTTGCATAGGTTTTTGGGGAAATTAGGATATCTTCACTGACAAGACACTGAATGGAATTTATTCACCCATTTTAAATTGGTTACTTGGGGATCAGAGATTTGTCTCTCCAACAGCTTGTGGTTTTCTTATTACTCATTTTCAGGAAAGTTTGTAGTATTACAAGGCAGAAGGAAACACAGTAGCAATGGTTGCTCTATATTTTGTCTTTCAAAGATTACTGCATTACCAAGAAACAGTAGCCAAAGATGTTTGAAGATCATGTCCCTTAGCTGCATTGTGGGTTATTCTAGAAATCCAATGTTAAATGCCTCTACTAAAGTGGGGATTCCCCATAAAAATTGTCCAGCTACCTGACTCTTTTGCAATAACAACTTTGATTACTGAATCCATACACTCAAACTATAGTGATATATCAGTGTTTGGGAGTGACCTCTAGAAAAAAGAAAACTGTTTTTAGAAATACATAAAATCACTTCCAAATCCTGTTGCTTATGTTGGGTTAAATTTGAAAGCAATTCTCTATATATAAATATGTGAAATATTATGATCTGAACTTAGCACACATGAAGCAACATTTCTTTGCTACACAGAGGTGTCTTGGAAAGATTTCATTCCCAATTCATTTTTCATAGATCTATAATCAGGCAATTTCTGCAAGCAATGTATGACCCCACCTGAGCAACCACAAATAGGCTCTCCATGAAACTGCAAAGGAACTGATGTGTGGCATCCATGCTGGTTTTGTCTGTCTATAATATGAATTCAAGTATCTGTTCATATTTCCAATTGTCTCCTGCTAGCAATATGTGCCACAACATGACAGTCTTGTGACATCTTAAGGAAAAGAAGAGTTCCTGTTAAATGAATAGCTTTAGCTTTTACAGGGGATTATGATTAAAAGTGATTTAGTACATCTTACATGATATCTCATTTCTACGTGAAAAGAAGTTATAGAATCTTCATAGAGTTCCATGAGAAAAATATACTTGCTATTTATAGAAAACGAGAAAAAAGAAAAAAATGAGAAACAAGTAAGAAAAAATCCTTTCCTAGGCTTTTCCTTGATCTTCAGAGGCACACAGGGTTTAATGGTTCCTTAGGTTATTATTTTGAGGTTTTGTTCTTTCTTTTGCCTTAAGTAATGACAGAAGATATATATGGCCAGACACATATGTATAAACTTTTCAGCAGCATTTTAATAATAAAATATCACACTATTTTCTAATGCTTTGTACAAACAATTATGCATCTGTTCTTTCTTGGTAGGTGGAATATTTTATTTACTTTTGCCATTCTTTGAATGCCTTTTTCTTTGTAAATGCTACATGGTAGCTCTCACATAGGCTACAAATGGATAAATACATTTGGTAATGGGATGGTTTCTTTAGCTTTGGCCAGCTGCACAGTTGAGGAGGCTCTGCTGGCCTGATTTTGGAAAACCAAGCCCTGTTTGGTGAAGCTCCTGAGATGACACTGCCTGAAAATGAGTATTTGGTTGTGTTATTTCTACCACTGTTCATTCTTGTGTCTCTGTGTTTTGATTTGTGTTCAACAAACTGATGCCTTAATGGTTTCAAATAGAAAGCCTTAGGTGAGTAAACCTTCTAGTGACAGTAAGAAATTCTACTGAATGAAACTCCAGAGGCAGAAAATCATTGTCATTCCAATGGGAGCTCAATTGTCAATTCCTTCCTGTGCATTCAGCCATCACGAACTTATTTCACATTCACAGTAGCTCTAAGGGGCAGGCACCTGCATTACTCCCCTTTCATAATGGAAGATGTTCTGACTTTGAAACATGCCCCCTTGGACAGGAAAATTTGATGGATAACAGGATAGCATATCCTCATATCCCAATCTTTCACCAAGAAGTTATACAGCAAACACTTGTAAGTCAAGGTCTTGCATGATAATCTTTGCTAAGTAGCAAGTAAAGAAATATAGCAAGGACCCAGACTCTTTGGAATATGTGAACTAAATCCTTCAGATGTTGTTGGCCTCAATCATGTTGTGAAGGCACACAGGAGAATACATACACACACATATGCATATATGTATATATGTACATGTATGTGTACATTATATATGAGTATACATGTACCTATCCTATATATGTATGTATGTATAGAGTCACAGACTGCATAATGTTTTGGACAAATATAGATCACATATATGATGATAGTGTCTTGAGATTAAAATACCATGTTTTTATTGTACCTTTTCAGTGTTCAGATATGTTTAGACAAACAAATGCTTATCATTGTGTTACAGTTGCCTAAGGTCTTCTCTCCAGTCACATGCTGTACAGGTTTGTAGACTGGAAGAACTAGGCTATACCATAGAGCCTAGGTGTGCTATAGGCTACACATCGGTTTTGTGTAAGTATACTACATGATGTTTGCACAATGATGAAATTGCCTAACGAAACTTTTCTCAGAAACCTATTGATACATGACTGTGTATGTTTACATTATATATACTGTATATGCACACATGCATATATGCATATATATGTTATACATTTACATATGTACATGGATATCACATACTTTAAATTCCTGAAGATGTCATTTTCATTAAATACATATGCACACACACTCATAAACACACACAGACTCATATATACACACAAATCTATAACACATTTGTGCTCACATATACATTCCTCTGTGTGTGTGTGTGTATTACATTACTGCTTTTTATCTGTGAAATCACATTCTGCAGTTTCATTTACTGTGATCAACTATGATCTAAAAATATATGAGTACTTCAATAAGATATTTTGAAAGAAACCACATTCACATAACATTTATGACATTATAATTGTTCTATTTTATTAGCTATTGTTCATCTCTTACTCCATCTACTTTATAAATTAAGCTTCATAATAAGTGTGTATATTTAATAAAATATATAGTATATAAAGGGTTTGGTACTATCTGTGGTTTCAGGTATCCACTGGGAGTCTTGGAATGCATTCTTTTTGGAAAAGGAGCGTTACACTATATACTTACATATAGACACAGATGCATATATACACATACATAATTTACATATATAGACATATTCGCAGATATGAATGTACTTAAATCTCTAAGAATGGCACTTTTATTAAATGTACACAAATAAACATGTATACACATACATATATATATATATATATATACACACACACACACATTTAACTGAATGTCATCTTCAGGCATTCAAAGCCTAATTTTTAGCAAATTTCAGCTGGAGGGAGAATCACTCTTGTTTTGACTATTTTATGCATTCTTGTTCATTTTGAATAACTCAAGGAATGCTAAAAATTATATGCATCCATTCAGTGAAACTTTACTGAATATCTTCACTGCCTCAGGCCCTGTGCTGGGCTGGTGTTAAAATTGAAGAACAAACTTCTCACACCACAAAACTTGAGGGGAAGGCAGAGAAACACAGAAGCAAGGAGAGGCAAGGGGTGCTGGAGATGGCACCCATGTTAATAAGGGGTGCTAATAAATGTCTGGACACTGCCCTTAACCTAGTCTGGGAAGATCAGGAATACATTCTGTCTGAAGAAACCCCTAAGCCAGGTCTTTCCAACTCTGTAGAAAAAATACTAGTGGGTGGTGTGTTGTGGGGAGGATAGAATTACACATCTTTGAAGTAAGAAGACAGACGAAGACATAGGAAGACATGGCTCCTGCATCATGGGTGAAAAATATAAGGTGTTTTTTAGAAAGGTGTGAAAAATGAGACAGAAAGAAATTGGCTGATAAAAAACCTCCAACAAATGAGACAGAAAGGAACTGGCTGATAAAAAAACCTCCAACTGCAAGACAGGGAGTTTGGGCTTTGTCCTGAAGTCAATTGAGAGACACCAAATGATTGCACCAAAGTGGATTATGAGTGTATTTAGTTGAGACATTTAGCAGTAATTCTCAAAAGTTCACATGCTTAGGAATACACGGGATGTCAACTTAAAGTACAGATCCTTACTGAATTGTGGTTTGGTGAACCTGTGTCTGAATTTCCAAGACGATCTCTAAGTGATGCACTTGTTGCTCATTCTCAATTAACCCCAACTTATTTAGGTTGCAAAGGATGGAGAACTGTTCACTTTAGAAGTAACCATGAGGATAATCTGCATTGGAATGAGAGGGTTCTGGATGCAAGGACAACATTAAAGAGCCAGAGCAATCAGAAATTAATTACTGTCCTCTTTTTAAGGGTGATGGAGACCGTAATAAGACAAGAAGTAAAAAAGAAAAAAAAAACGATAAGAAATGCATCTTATAGCTGCATGTACCAGAACTGATAAAGCGTAGTCATCAAAAACCACCTGGAACCACATTTGTCCTTAAGCTTTTGTTTAGGAACTTGTTTCAACAGAGAGAGGAGAATGATGAGATACCTTGGAGAGAGTTTCAGACAGGCTGGTCAAGGGTTTGGGCTTAGACTGGGTTGTTTTATAAGTGCTAAGAGGGCCAAAAACTTGTTCCTGCATTGGTTACTGTCATGATAATGGGGATGTCAATATCCTTTAGCAAGAAAGTGACAGGACCAGAGAATGACTAGCATTGTCTTCAGTAAAAATAAGCAGTGGAAGAGAAGGGGATTTGGGGTCATTTTCAGTGTTTCCAGACTGTTCATGTTTCTGGCTTGTCCCATGCTGGCCGTGGGCTGCCTTCATCTAATGAGGAAGTTCGTTCAATTATTTTTATGTGCAGCCAGATGCACCTTGACTTAGCAATTAATTATCAGGCTAATTCTAGCAGCCAGATATAAGGGCTGTTTTTTGTTGTTTCTCAGAACTTCCAGGAAATATATGCATATGTCACATCTCCTAGGCCACCTGGTTCAAAAAAAAAAAAAGTTATGCTAAGGAAGTAAAAGTGATACTTTCTCTGCAAAATCTTATTAATATATTGAAAGAAATTGAGATATAAAAAAGGTCCACTGTACCTCTACCTTTCTCTAAAATGATCATACATGTAAATTCTTAGAACACCCACAAATAATCTGGTTTCCTCTACTGGCAAAAGAATTAGAAAAAAAAAAATGAGAAAAATTAGCCAGGAGAAAACCCTGCCTGAAATTAACAGGTGACATTCATTAAAGTGGAATGTTCCAACTAGTTCTCAAAGTCACTGATTCCTAAAAGGGCCGGAGAGGGAGTCCTTGGAGACTAAGACAAATTGCCAACAGCCATAGCTGGAAGGTTACAAAAAAGAAAAATCTTTCTCACCCCCGGGCCCTAAACACAAGAACTTGGACTCAGCAGAAAGGAAGTGGGAAGATGCATTTCTGGCACACCAAAATATAAACCTAACAACTCCTGTAAAAACTGAGAAATCAGATGGTGCCCAATTTATAATATTAGAGCCACTATTACGCTTCAGTGGTACAATTGGTCAAACTGGTTTCTTGTGGGCTCAGATGTTAGCTTCATTTTTATGCAACACCTGTTTCTACAAGTATATACGTTATGATCACAGCTTTCAAACTAACATGCTTGGCCTGCCTGGGTTATTGGATGTTATTTCTAGTATTTAAAGAGCAATTACAGTTTTTAGATTATAATAATAGAAAAGCACATAACAATTTATAAGTATATGCATTACCTACAGACAAACTTTTCAAATAAATGTTTAAGAGATTTTGTAAAAGCATTGATTCAACCATTTACAGAGCAATCACTTGTTTCAAGTTTTAAAACTTTCAGATAATCATCAAAATGTATTGTTCTGCGTAAGTTATATGCATTAAGTCATTTAATCCTTTTACTAGTTCCAGGGTGCAGACTCTCATTTTACAGATGAGGAAACTGGGGTACAGAAAATTAAATAAATTGCTCAAGGTTGCAGACTTAGAACATAAAATTTATAGCGTTCACAATCATATTGTTTTGTTTTTAAGAGCATGTGCTTGTCAACTATTCTCTAAAAAACCTGGTTATTGCAGAAATATATGCCTCCCTGTAGACATTTTGGGGAAGAAAAAAATCACTATAATCTGTTTGTAGAGAACATTGATAGCTTTATATCTTAAAAACTTGTCATGTACACACACACAAACACACACACACACATAAACACAGAGAAGGTTGAGAGTGCTTATAGAATCTTGTAGAGTGCCCATTTAAAACAGTTTCTCAGTTTTGCCTATGATTTTATTTTACTTGTGCTTATTTTGCTTTGTGCTCATTTTTTGGCTGAAATGGCACTTTAAAACCCTGGTTTTGCTTGCATCTCACCTGAATGCACATGGACTGCATGGAACTTGAAAAATTAAGGTTAGAGAATACAAAGAAGATACAGGCGCATGGAAACATTGTGAATAATGCTTAGCATAGAAGAAGGCAGGCTTGGATTGCTACAGAATGTACACCAAAATGCATTAACTAGGACTGGCTTTCAAAAGCAGCACTCTTTGCTGAAACCCCAGGACACCTGCTCCTAGCCAATGATGTCCATGATCTGCTTAACTTGTGTGACTAGTGCACACACTTTGTGAAATATGTGGCTATTTTTATCATCCCACTATCCCCAATGAATTTTGTCATCCCCGTCACACCACAGGAAAAACCCCTTTTCTCCAGACTTGGGCAATTGGAGAATCTGTTATCTCCCTATCTGACTGCTTCAGAATCTCCTTCCTCTGTCCTCAAATACCATTAGAAGAACATTCAGCAGCGGACCCAGGACAGATCCCCACCTCTAAACCCAACTACTTTGGTTTAATGTTGTCATTTAGGAAGAGTGATTCCACCTTAAAGATGTATCAAATATTTAAGTAAGAATACATTTAAGTGTGAATATTTCATATTCTTAAGTTTTAAATGTGCAGTATTTTTCATCCTGTCCCTCCCTGCCTCTGAAATCTAAATTTCTATATGCTGGCTTGCTCCTGAAAGAAAAAGAAATTTAGCAGGATACACCGTCACTGTTTATACCATTTAGTCACAGTTTTCTTATAAACCTAAGTGGGACCCATTATATAACACGTTTTAACTTTGTTCTTCCAACCCAGGGAATTGTTTTTCAAACCCAATTAAGTGTGTCTTCTGCACTAGCAGAAACAAAGTACAAACTAATGTTTTAAGATGTGTCTCTCTTAATTTAGGGGTATATATAAAATACTTTGTAATATGGAGAGCTAACATTTTGCAATCTCTATTAACTATTAGAGTAACCTAGGAAAATAAGAATTTACAACATGTTAGCACACAAGTATTTCAAATTATGTTTGTCTTTTATGAACCATGTATGCTGGAGAAAAAAAATACTAACATTTCCTTTTGTAAAAATAAGAGTAAGCTGACAGTTATTTAAATGGTCCCTGGAAATACTATTCCAATGTCAGGCCTATAGGAGGAATGCATGGTTTTGTCTTCTCACATTTTGAAGCAATGGGCTGCAACTTCAAAATTATGCTATTAATATAGGTGTTTACTATACAAAAAAACAGAGAAAATATGGCATTCACTTGTGAGACATGTAAATTAAATCTCACAGTTACCTCTGTCCTCTGCAGTTTTGACCCCTTGGAATTTCACGAAAAGTAATTTAATTGAACAAGCATTCACATTGCTGCCAGAACTTATAGAGCCTATGGATTATCATCTTGGTTTCTAGTCCAAGATGCTATACAAAGCCTTTTATTTAATTATCTCATTTACCATGACATATTTTATCACCTATTTAAATTGACAAAAATATCAGAACCACATAATGCAATATTTCTATTAAAAAGCAGCATCAATTTGACTTTTATTATATCAATCCACCATATAATTACTATAAGCAGATACCACAACAAGTCCTTTAACAAATAAATAGTGTACAATTTGAGTCTATCCTGGTTTTATTCTTCATAGATGGGCAACTATTCATACAATTGTACCCTGTAGCAGTTGTCCTGAATTAATCGGACTTGGGACAATAGCTCAATTTCCTACCCTTTTTAAGTTATTGATCTTATTTCCTATCTTAATGGAGAGGCAGATCATGTATTTTTTGCATTTTTTTATTTTTTTGTTTCCTTTTTTAGGGTTAGAAGCTATGTATGATATTAAACCTTTTTTTCTCATTTCCTTCCTTCCTTCCTTCCTTGCTTCCTTCCTTTTCTTTCTTTCTTTTTTTTGTGAGAAAAATTCTCTCTCTGTTGGGCAGGCTGAAGTGCAGTTGTGCAATCATGGGGGAGGGCAGTGTTGCAATCTTGGAGGAGTGTGGTGTTGCAATCTTGGCTTACTGCAACTTCCACCTCCCAGGTTCAAGGGATTTTCCCACCTTAGCCTCCCGAGTAGCTGGGATTACAGGCACATGCCATCAGGCATGGCAATTTTTTGTATTTTTTTGTAGAGATGGGTTTTCACCATGTTGGCCAGGCTGGTCTTGAACTCCTAACCTCAAGTGATTTTCCACCTTCTACCTCCCAAAGTGCTGGGATTGCAGGTGTGAACCATAGTGCTTGGCCTTTTTCTTATTTTCTTCTGCATTGATATAGTCTGTGGCTACTCAGTAAGAAAAACTCAGTTTTCCTTACAAAAGAATAATAATAGTAGAAGTGATGATGGTGATGATGATGATGGTGGTGATGATGAGGATGAGGATGAAGATGAGGATATAGATCAATGACAGCCCCTGACAATAAAAATAAAAATGGAAATCAGAATGAACATGTTTAAAGTATAGATGAAGGTGGAGACACTTGACAATGTGAAATTGGGAAGCACTGAGGAAGTTGGATCAAGTGAAAGGCAAGACAACATGATCTGGAAGAAACTATATAACCCAGAGAGGAAGAGGAAGGGAAAGGCAGAAAAAGGGAAGGGAGCATTCTTGGCAGTCTGATCATGAAGGATTCCTGGTTGTCCTAAAATTCCCCATTACAGGGCACATTGTCTACATAGCAACCCTTGTCTGATGAGTCTCTTT
Organism: Homo sapiens; assembly: GCF_000001405.40. Lineage (NCBI taxonomy): Eukaryota > Metazoa > Chordata > Mammalia > Primates > Hominidae > Homo > Homo sapiens. The sequence continues at coordinate 14,851,651 of NC_000024.10, forward strand.
TCCTTGCAATCAAAAATCCAAGATAAGCCATCAGTATTGACAAAAAACTTATTGATGACTCGAGAGCTGGTTTGGATGTTGGTAGATTTTACAACTCTTCCTTCCCTTAGATTTTATCCCTCTTTCTGCAAGGTGTTTAGGCACTTTATCAAGAATATTGTTAGCTCTGGTAAAAGGCATGTGAGAGAAGAGATTAAAAATATGTGAAATAATAGGAGTATTCCATCTCTTCAGTAGACATAGCACATCTTTTTTTGAACAAATCTCCTTTAAACAAGTCTTCCTCTAAACAACTCTCACTGGCTGTTCTAATTCCATGATCTTCCCACCTATGTCTATCTCCACTGGGCTTCAGAACATTTTCTTCATTCTATCACATATCACATTTGTGATGAGAATCCTTATGTTTATTTCTGAGTTGCAATAACAAAATCACTGGAGACAGTGGGGGCGGTGGCTCATGCTTATAATCCTACCACTTTGGGAGGCTGAGGCAGGTGAATCCCTTGAGGTCAGGAGTTCGAGAGAAGCCTGGCCAACATGGTGAAACCGCATCTCTACTAAATATACAAAAATTAGCCAGACTTGGTGGTCCACGACTATAATTCCAATTACTCAGGAGAGCGAGGCAGGAGGATCCCTTGAACCTGGAAGGCAGAGGTTGCAGTGAGCTGAGATCACACCACTTCACTCCAGCTTGGGGAACGGAGCAAGACTGCCATCTCAGGGGAAAAAAAAAAAAAAACAAAAAAGCCTGAGATGTTAGTTGCGTGTGGGGATGTGGGGTGCACCTGTTACACTTCATTACTAATCAAAATCTGCATTTTTAGTGATTAGTCCCCAAGACAAATGGATTGTTAAAATGACATGAAGACAAGGAAGTTCTTTCTTCTTTTCTTGTAATAGCAAATCCAGTTAGAAACAATAGGTAGGGCTGGGCGTGGTGGCTCAATCCTGTAATCCCAGCACTTTGGGAGGCCAAGGTGGGTGGATCACAAGGTCAGCAGTTTGAGACCAGTCTGGTCAACATGGTGAAACTCCATCTGTACTAAAAATACAAAAATCAGCTGGGCACAGTGGCAGGCACCTGTAGTCCCACCTACTCAGGAGCCTGAGGAAGGAGAATTGCTTGAACCCAGAAGGTGGAGGTTGCAGTGAGCTGAGATCACCCCACTGCACTCCAGGCTGGGCAACAGACCGAGACTCCATCTAAAAAATTAAAGCAACAACAGCAACAACACCATAAGGTAGCTTCTTCCACCCAAGTGATTTGGATTGGACCATACTGTTAATTTATTGGAATGTCAGCGACGTATCAGCAGCACTCTGAAAAGACAAGCACCCAACAGAAAGCCTAATGCACCTTGAGTTCTGAATAAACACCTCTTAAGTGCAAATGAAAAAGATGTGTATTTATTGCTCACCCACTGCAAAGATAGCAATATAAAAAGATCAATTGAAATTATAGTTTTAAAATGGGAAATATTTACGCAGAATGCCTATTTGTAGTATGCATTATCTGAATCTAAAACCAGCTGCTAGCCTCCCTACTTTGTAGAGTCTACAAACACCATGAGATCTGTAGTGTGCCCAGCTGGGTAAGGGTTAAAAATGCATCTCATAGCACCTGCTCAATGATCCTTTATTTAGAACTGAGCTAATGTGGGAAACTACTTTCCAGCCTAAAACATGAAATATAAATGCAGTGTTTCTTGGTGGAATGGATGATGATATTAACAGCTGGTCTTTCCTAAGATGTGCCTCCTGAGGACTAAATGATAAGTCATTTTCTGGAAGAACTGTAAATAAAGGCAGCATATTTGAGGTTATATATTTTTATTATGTAATTATATGTTGATAATAAAAATAAATAAGTAAAAGGAAAGTCTTTCTTTCTCAACATTGGGAATAAATCCATGCTCAACCTAGGAAGGGAAAGACTTGGAGTACTATGCCAAAGGGCTTTGTTACATTCACCAGTAAAGTGTGCATCTAAATAATAGCAAAACACCAAGAATCAGTTGGCTTGCGTTATTCTCCACTAGCAGTGGAAGCTCAAGTTACCCTACAGTAAGCCCCTAATCTCTACATGCTTATCTGCTCACCAGGGAGAGTGTTTGGCCAGCTTGCACCACGGGGTCCAGTTAAACAGCCTCACCCTATACTTTGTGATATTTCTTTTGTGCCTTTTCTTTTTAATGAGAAATGGAGGCTCTCCCTGGAGACAAGGTAACGGATCACCGAAATCCACTTTCCTGGTCGATATCCAAGTTACTATCAAGGCCATATTGTGATGTGGATAGACAAAAATATTTCCATGAATTTTGTGAATTGTATTTTTTACTAGTTTGGTATGTAGAGAAAGATATCCTTCCATCTTTATTCTTTCTTTCTCCCTTCACACTTACTTCTTTACTATTTGTTCCTCTTCCTCATAAACATCCTAACAATCTCCCTGTGAAGATGAAGAGATAACATTGGGGAATATATCATTATGCCAATTTTCTAAGTGTTTTATGAAACACAAAGTTACTGGAATTTTTTCAAGATTTTATCAGTAAGAAGTCTTAATATATATTCATGTATAATAGTAAGTAAAATAGAAGGACATACAGTATTCTAGTCTTGTACTGACCACTATATGCATGTGTGTGTGTGTGCACATGCATATGTGTGTGAAAAAACTCATATACATGATACACAGATACATATTATATGCATGCATATCCAGGGTAGCTGTGTTTATACACTTACGTACACTCAAAAATAATTGTAAATAAAGCTCTTTAGAGCATACAGACTTTTCTTTTGAAACAACAATTGCATATTTATTCTGACTGATGCTTGCAAATGCTACAAACAATATTTCAAAATGAACCTTTACTTTCCTTGGGATTTTTGGGATGATTTTTGATAAGCACAATCTTTTTCCTTTTTTAACTTTGAAAAATTAAACTTCTTATTTTATAATCCTTTAGGTTGACAGAAAAGTTGCAAAGGTAGTACAGGTTTTTCCCATATATGTTGCATCCAGATTCTCCTATATTGTAATTATATATTGACAAATAATACTCTATATATTTATGGAGTACTACTTGATGTGATATATGCTTTCAGTATGGACCCATTGAACAAAGCTAATTAACATATCCCTCACCCAAAAACGTATTATTTATCACTCCTGTTTAGCCAAAATTTTGTATCCTTGGATTATTACCACCCCATTCCTCTTATCCATGCCCCTGGAAAGCACCAATTTACTCTCTGTTTCTCTGAGCTGGGCTTTTTCATAGACGCTATATATGAGTGAGATCATGCAGTGTCCATCTTTCTGTGTCTGGCTTATCTCATTTAGCATAACATCCTGCATGTTGTCGCAAATGGCAGGATTTCCTTCTTTTTAAAGTTGGGATAGTATTCCATTATGTAGCTATACCATATTTCCTTTAGCCGTTCATCTGTTGATATTGTTCATTTCAAAGTAAAGTAAGCCTACACTAATTAGGAAAAACGACACTTGGGATGTGTGATGAATCTTTTAATATTAGCATCTTATTGACATATCTATTGACATGAATGATGGCATTCTGCTTCTATCGAAGACATTAGTTCACACCTATGTAGCAAACCCTACATGTTCATGTTATTCTCCAATCCTCATAAGAGCCATTACTTCTGAATGTAAAAAATATATAAAAAATATATATACTATATGTATACATAGTAAGAGTATATATAATATACAAATATATATACTATATAAATATATGTGCCATGTAAGTATATATGTGTATTTTATAGCATTATATAAACATATATACTATATAGTATCTAAATATATTATATATACTATATACAGTATCTAAATATACTATATATAATCTGTACATAGTGCTTAAATACTGTGTATGTGTGTGCATATAGTATATTATCTATATATTGTATAGTATATATATATAATATGTATATATAAAATTATGGTCAATTTGCCACAATCCAGTTACACTTACATCTATACTGTCTCTTGAAAGATAAACCAATGGACAACTTCCACTTTCTACTTTAGATACTGTTTTTATTGCCTAAGATTTTACACACACATGCACACTCTCAGGAATACATTATGTATGGCTAAGGATGTGTGTAAAACAAATGATATAAATGTATAGTATGTGGTTCACACACACAAACGCAATACATGCATCCTTGTATGTGTGTATCTATACATAACCATAATCTTGCAAATGACATAAACTGAATATGCTGCTAAGATTAATTGTGCTAAAATCTGCCTCTATAATAGAAAATTTTTCTGCCATAAAGAAAACAAAACAATGTTTTAATGAGTGGTCCCTGAGGTATACACAATAGGTAACAGAGCATACAGTTTCTAAGAGTTTTATGAAACACAGTTACTGGATTTTTTCCCAATTTTCTTGATCAGTAGGAAGCATTTAGATATATTCACTAAGCTAGGTGCGGTGGCTCACACATGCCTGCAGTCCAAGCTACTCGAGAGGCTGAGGCAGGAGAATCGCTTGAACCCAGAAGGCAGAGGTTGCCGTGAGCTGAGATTGCACCACCGCACTCCAGCCTGGTGACAGAGTGAGACTCCATCTCAAAAAAAAAAAAAAAAAAAAAAAAAAGATATACTCATTTTATTATATGTTTGTTTTCCTAAGCCATTAAAGATGCTTTAAATGAAGTGTATAAGTAGCCTTTGAAAAATGTGTCAATATAAGCAAAGTACACAATGAGTCCCTCATCCATTCACTTCTTTTATTGGGAGACAACATTTTGTGATAGGTGAGAAAAGTTCACATCTGAAGCCAGCCTGATATAAATTCCAAGCTCCCCCTTACCAGCTGTTTAAACATTAATAAATGATTTACTTTCTTCCTCTTTTCCCTCACAGGGCTTTAGGATTAGAATATCACTAATACATGAATCTCAGGACTTAAAACTAAACATTTAAAAAGAATATCATTAATATCATACACCTGATATGAATACTATAAATAGATTTTGGTATCCCTATTTATCTACCACATATCTATTCATATCATCGGAAAGAAGTATTGCAGGAGATTAAAAAAACAAATCAAATAACAGAAAAAAATAACAAATAAAATAACGCAACCATGTTCCATGAAGCAACGTGAGTGTCCAAGTAGATAGAGCTATCCACTCTGCATCAAGAGAGGCAGCAAGAATTTCAGGTGGAAATGGGGAAGGCTGAATGAATAGTGGAGGGTGTGAGTAGGGAGTGTGTTGAAATAAGAAATGACAACCCAAGTGTCAAGACTTCTCATTCACCTTCTGAAAGCCCAGTTAAGGCTCTTCTCACTGTCATGCATAAGTGAGTTGAGCTGCATGGCAGATGAACTTACTTTCAAGACAAAGAGTCTATAGTTTTGAAAAATTCCTTCCAGGTCCATGAATGTTTCTTTCCCATTCCATTTCCTAGAGGAAACAGAGGCACCAACCCAACCAGGATTTTACCATCAATCAGCAGGGAAATAGAATATTTGACACCAGTATATGAATACAAATTTTGTTAATATCCTTGGATTCATAGAAGGTCCTCTGGGAGGAAGGGAGATGAGAAATTCCAAAATATTTCATTGGAAATTTTCAGCATCTCAAACTAGCAATTTCTACTGTGTTGTACATACATTAGAGAATGATTATATTTAGTGCTCATAAAACTGATCCTAGGAAAACATGATAATCATTTCAAAATGATGGGAAGAGGCATACACAAATATATTAGTTTCAACTTCAGCTCTTTATATTGCATGGGAGACCTCGAATTGGAACATGTTTGGGTTTTTTGCTTGTTTGTTTTTCTTTTTTTCTTCTTCTTTTTCTTTTTTTTTTTCAAAGAATGTGTTTTATTTTATTTTTAAAATTTCAATAGATTCAAAGAAAGAAAACAATTTGTGTTTTCTTTCAAGATTTGTGTCCCTGTCCAAATCTTGTATCCAGTTGGAGGAGAGGCCTAGTGGAAGATGATTGGATTGTGGGTAGATTTCACTCTTGTTGCTCTCATGATAGTGAGTGAGTTCTTATGGGATCCAATGGTTCAAAAGGGTGTGGCACTTCAAAATTCACTCTCTCTTTCCTGCCACTGTAGGAAGAAGATGCTTGCTCCCCCTTCACCTCCTGGCGTGATTGTAAGTTTCCTGAGTCCTCCTAGACATGATTCCTGTTATGCCTGAAGAACTCTGAGTCAATTAAACCTCTTTTTTTAATACATTACTCAGTCTCAGGTAGTTCTTAAAGCAGTGTGAAAATAACTAATACAGAAAACCACTCAATTCCCCTTCAGGCTAGGACTTTAAGCTTGTCTCTTGTCTCTGGAGCAAGAACTGCCCCTGAAATTCCAACTCTGTGATTCCGATCATTGTAGATAATCCCATTCCTGTCCCAACAATTATTGAATGTAGTAACTCCTAATTCTTTTTGAGAATCATGGACTTGGTCATTGCTGCATTCCATATATTTCTTTACTTTATCTCCCTTTTAGAAGTAAAGATGTTACAGTGGTGATGGTGGAGATAGTGGTGGTGGTAATAGTGAAAAGAAGAGATAATGGAAACAGAAAATTGCCATGGCTGGGCATGGAGGCTCACACCAGTAATCCCAACAGTTTGGTAGGCCAAAACAGGATGATCACTTGAGCCCAGGAGTTCAAGAACTTCCTGGGCAATATAGCAAGACCTTATCTCTACAAACAATTTTTAAAAGTAGCCAAGGATGGCTACGCACACCTGTAGCCCAGCCACTTGGGAGGCTGAGACAGAAAGATTTCTTGAGCCCAGGACTTGGAGGCTACAGTGAGCTATGATCATCCTACTCTACTCCAGCCTGGCTGACAGAGCAAGAAGGTTTCAATAACAACAATGAAAATAGAAAAGTAAAGAGAAAAATCACCATAAAAACCCTACTCTATTAACTACAGTCACCATCTATTGGTGGTTGACAAAATTATTGGGTGAAACTTGGAGAAAAAATATTAATAAAATACTGATTACTTAAAAAATATATATCTGAAGAGAGCTTTTAGTTACAAAAGTGGGCTTAGATTTCAAAAATGACTTTCACAAAATATACTTTAAGTCATGGATATCTAAAAATCACAAATAGTCAAGAAAATTTTCTAAGAACTTTACTGACTTTGAAAGTGGTTATTGGAAGTCATAGCTTTGCAATGTGGAGATTCAATGGCACGATTGTGAGAACTTCAAAACCAATAATATGCTTTGCAAGTATTTGTACTGAATCAAAGATTCAAGGGCAATTTCAAATGATATATTTGTCACAAACCAGACATACAGGGTAGAAATTGTTTCAAAATACGTAATAGCTTGTTAAAGGTACTATTACTGATACCAAGGAAAATGAAGTTTTCTACTTTTTAAACAGAGATTGGAAATATAGAAAATAATGCAAAGTAAAGCAGACAAAAAATATTCACACTTCCTTATAAGTGAATGATAAATCATATGTACCAATTGCCCACTTTTTGGTCTGGCTTGGCGGGGCCTCATCCCCTTGGAGCCCAGCAAGCAAATATCCACTGGCTTTAAATACTTGTTGCCAGCACACCAGCCTGAACTCAACCTGAGACTCATGAGCTTGGTTGGGGGAGAGGCATCAGCCATTGGTGAGGCTTGAGTAGGCAGTTTTACCCTCACAGTGTAAACAAAGCCTCAGGGAAGTTCAAACTGTGGGGAGCCCATCACAGCTAAGTGAAGCCACTGCAGTGAGACTGCTTCTCTAGATTTCTGCTCTCTGGGCAGGGCATCTCAGAAAATATGGCTGCAGCCCCATTCTGGAACTTATAGATAAAACCCCCATCTCCCTGGAACCGAACACCTGGGAGAAGGGGTGGTTGTGGATGCAGCTTCAGCAAACTTAAAATGTCCCTGCCTGACAGCCCTGAAGAGAGCACTGGATCTCCCTGCACAGTGCTCAAGCTCTGCTAAGGGACAGACTGCCTCCTCAACTGGATCCCTGACCCTCGTGTATAGAGACTGGGAGACACCTCCCAGTAGGGGCTGACAGACACCTCACACAGCAGAGATCTGGCTAGCATCTGGTGAGTGCCTTGCGGGGACAAAACTTCCAGAGGAAGGAACAAGCAGCAATCTTTGCTGTTCTGTAGCCTCCACAAGTGATACCCAGGAAAAGAGGGTCTGGAGTAAACCTCCAGCAAATGCCAGCAGACCTGCAGCAGACAGGCCAGACTGGTAGAAGGAAAACAAACAAACAGAAAATAATATCATCAATATCAACAAAAAGGATGCTCACACAAAAACCCCATCTGAAAGTCACCAACATCAAAAACCAAAGGTAGAAAAATTCATGCAGATGATGAAAAATCAGTGCAAAAAGCCGGAAAATTCCAAAACAAGAATGCCTCTTCTCCTCCAAAGGATCACAAAAAGCTAGAAGATACTGGTGGCCAATATTCATCATTCTTAAATAAAATAATTTTTGACTCAGAATTTCATATCCAGCCAAACTAAGCTTCATAAGCAAAGGAGAAATAAAATCTTTTACAGAAAAGCAAATGCTGAGAGATTTTGTCACCCCAGACCTGCCTTACAAGAGCTCCTGAAGGAAACACTAAATATGGAAAGTAACAACTAGTATCAGCCACTGCAAAACTTACCAAATTGTAAAGATCATCCACACTATGAAGACACTGCAATGGGCAAAATAAGCAGCTAGTATCATAATGACAGGATCAAAATCACACATAACAATATGAACCTTAAATGTAAACAGGCTAAATGCCCCAGTTAGAAGACACAGGATGACAAATTCAAAAGTGTCAAGACCATCAGTGTGCTGTATTTAGGAGACCCATCTCATGAGTAAAGACACATAAAAAGGCTAAAAATAAAGGGATGGAGGAATATTTACCAAGCAAATAGAAAGCAAAAAAAACAGGAGTTGCAAACCTAGTCCCTGATAAAACAGACTTTAAACCAACAAAGTTCAAATGAGACAAATAGGGGCATTACATAACAGTAAAGGGACCAATGCAACAAGAAGAGCTAACTATCCAAAATATATATGAACCCAATTACAGGAGCACCCAGATTTGCAAAGCAAGTTCTTAGAGACCTTAAAAGTGACTTAGACTCCTACACAATAATAGTGGGAGACTTTAATATCCCACTGTCAATATTAGAGAGATCAATAAGAGAGAAGATTAACAAGGATATCCAGAACTGGAACTCAGCTCTGGGTCAAGCGGACCTAGTAGACATCTATAGAACTCTCCACCTGAAATCAACAGAATATACATTCTTCTCAGAACCACATTGAACTTATTCTAAAATGGACCACATATTTAGAAGTAAAAGACTTCTTAGCAAATGCAAAGGCAGCAGAAAACATAACAAGCAGTTTCCCAGACCACGGTGCAATCAAATTAGAACTCAGAATTAAGAAACTCAAAACCGGGAGGGCAGCCAAGATGGCGAAATAGGAACAGCGTGAGCGACGCAGAAGACAGGTGATTTCTGCATTTCCATCTGAGGTATTGGGTTCATCTCACTAGGGAGTGCCAGACTGTGGGTGCAGCACACCATGCAGAAGCAGAAGCAGGGCCAGGCATTGCCTCACTCAGGAAGTGCAAGGGGTCAGGGAGTGTCCTTTCCTAGTCAAAGAAAGGGGTGACAGACGGCACCTGGAAAATCGGGTCACTCCCAACCTAATACTGTGTTTTCCAATGGGCTTAAAAACCTGGCACCAGGAGACTATATCCTGCAACAGGCTGGTAGGGTCCTCCGCCCACGGAGTCTCGCTGATTGCTAGCACACTAGCCTGAGATCAAACTGCAAGGTGGCAGCGAGGCTGGGGGAGGGGCACCAGCCATTGCCCAGGCTTGCTTAGGTAAACAAAGCAGCCGGGAAGCTCGAACTTGGTGGAGCCCACCACAGCTCAAGGAGGCCTGCCTGCCTCTGTAGGCTCCACCTCTGGGGGCAGGGCACAGAAAAACAAAAAGACAGCAGTAACCTCTGCAGACTTAAATGTCCCCGGCTGACAGCTTTGAAAAGAGCAGTGGTTCTCCCAGCATGCATCTGGAGATCTGAGAATGGGCAGACTTCCTCCTCAAGTGGGTCCTTGACCCATGACCCCTGAGCAGCCTAACTGGAAGGCACCCCCCAGTAAGGGCAGACTGACACCTCACACAGCCGGGTACTCCTCTGAGACAAAACTTCCAGAGGAACAATCAGACAGCAGCATTCACGGTTCATGAAAATCCGCTGATCTGAAGCCACCGCTGCTGATAATCAGGCAAACAGGCTCTGGAGTGGACCTCTAGCAAACTCCAACAGAGCTGCAGCTGAGGCTCCTGTCTGTTAGAAGGAAAACTAACAAACAGAAGAAAGGATATCCACACCAAAAAACCCATCTGTACATCACCATCATTAAAGATCAAAAGTAGATAAAACCACAAAGATGGGGAAAAAACAGAGCAGAAAAACTGGAAACTCCAAAAAGCAGAACACCTCTCCTCCTCCAAAGGAATACAGTTCCTCACCAGCAATGGAACAAAGCTGGACGGAGAAAGACTCTGGTGAGATGAGAGAAGAAGGCTTCAGATGATCAAACTACTCTGAGCTACAGGACAAAATTCAAACCAAAGGAAAGAAGTTAAAAACTTTGAAAAAAATGTAGATGAATGTATAACTAGAATAACCAATATAGAGAAGCGCTTAAAGGAGCTGATGGAGCTGAAAGCCAAGGCTTGAGAACTACAGGAAGAATGCAGAAGCCTCAGGAGCCAATGTGATAAACTGGAAGAAAAGGTATCAGTGATGGATGACGAAATGAATGAAATGAAGGGAGAAGGGAAGTTTAGAGAAAAAAGAATAAAAAGAAATGAACAAAGCCTCCAAGAAATATGGGACTATGTGAAAAGACCAAATCTACGTCTGATTGGTGTATCTGAAAGTGACGGGAGAATGGAACCAAGTTGGAAAACACTCTGAAGGATATTATCCAGGAGAACTTCCCCAATCTAGCAAGGCAGGCCAACATTCAGATTCAGGAAATACAGAGAATGCCATAAACATACTCCTTGAGAAGAGCAACTCCAAGACGCATAATTGTCAGATTCACCAAAGTTGAAATGAAGGAAAAAATGTTAAGGGCAGCCACAGAGAAAGGTCGGGTTACCCACAAAGGGAAGCCCATCAGACTAACAGCTGATCTCTCAGCAGAAACTCTACAAGCCAGAAGAGAGTGGGGGCCAACATTCAACATTCTTAAAGAAAAGAAGTTTCAACCCAGAATTTCACATCCAGCCAAATTAAGCTTCATAAGTGAAGGAGAAATAAAATACTTTACAGACAAGCAAATGCTAAGAGATTTTGTCACCACCAGGCCTGCCCTAAAAGAGCTCCTGAAGGAAGCACTAAACATGGAAAGGAACAACTGGTACCAGCCACTGCAAACTCATGCCAAAATGTAAAGACCATCAAGACTAGGAGGAAACTGCATCAACTAATGAACAAAATAACCAGCTAACATCATAATGACAGGATCAAATTCACACATAACAATATTAAATTTAAATGTAAATGGACTAAATGCTCCAATTAAAAGACACAGACTGGCAAATTGGATGAAGAGTCCAGACCCATTAGTGTGCTGTATTCAGGAATCACATCTCACTTGCAGAGACACACAAGGGCTCAAACTTAAAGGACGTAGGAACATCTACCAAGCAAATGGAAGATAAAAAACGGCAAGGGTTGCAATCCTAGTCTCTGATAAAACAGACTTTAAACCAACAAAGATTAGAAGAGACAAAGAAGGCCATTACATAATGGTAAAGGGATCAATTCAACAAGAAGAGCCATCTATCCTAAATATAGATGAACCCAATACAGGAGCACCCAGATTCATAAAGCAAGTCCTGAGTGACCTACAAACAGACTTAGACTCCCACACAATAATAATGGGAGACTTTAACACCCCAATGTCAACATCAGACAGATCAAGGAGACAGAAATTTAACAAGGATACCCAGGAATTGAACTCAGCTCTGCACCAAGGGGACCTAATAGATGTCTACAGAACTCTCCATCCCAAATCAACAGACTATACATTTTTTTTCAGCACCACACCTATTCCAAAATTGACCACATAGTTGGAAGTAAAGCTCTCCTCAGCAAATGTAAAAGAACAGAAATTATAACAAACTGTCTCTCTGACCACGGTGCAATCAAACTAGCACTCAGGATTAAGAAACTCACTCAAAACCACTCAGCTACATGGAAACTGAACAATCTGCTCCTCATTGACTACTGGGTACATAATGAAATGAAAGCAGAAATAAAGATGTTCTTTGCAACCAGCGAGAACAAAGACACAATATACCAGAATCTCTGGGACACATTCAAAGCTGTGTGTAGAGGGAAAATTATAGCATTAAATGCCCACAACAGAAAGCAGGAAAGATCCAAAATTGACACCCTAACATCACAATTAAAAGAACTAGAAAAGCAAGAACAAACATTCAAAAGCTAGCAGAAGGCAAGAAATAACTAAAATCAGAGCATAACTGAAAGAAATAGGACAAAAAAAAACTCTTCAAAAAATTAATGAATCCAGGAGCTGGTTTTTTGAAAGGATCAACAAAATTAATAGACCACTAGCCAGACTAAAAAAGAAAAAAAGAGAGAAGAATCAAATAGATGCAATAAAAAATGATAAAAGGGATATCACTATCAATCCCATAGAAATACAAACTACCATCAGGTAATACTATGAACACCTCTATACAAATAAACTAGAAAATCTAGAAGAAATGGATAAATTCCTCAAAAAATACAACTTCCCAATACTAAACCAGGAAGAAGTTGAATCTCTGAATAGACCAATAACAGGCTCTGAAATTGTGGCAATAATCAGTAGCTTACCAACCAAAAAGAGTCCAGGACCACATAGATTCACAGCCGAGTTCTATGAGAGGTACAAGGAGGAACTGGTAACATTCCTTCTGAAACTATTCCAATCAATAGAAGCGGAGGGAATCCTCCCTAACTCATTTCATGAGGCCAGCGTCATCCTGATAACAAAGCTGGGCAAAGAAAATTTTATATCAATATCCTTGATGAACATTGATGCAAAAATCCTCAATAAAATACTGGCAAACTGAATCCAGCAGCACATCAAAAAGCTTACCCATCATGATCAAGTCAGCTTCATCCCTGGGATGCAAGGCTGGTTCAATATACACAAATCAATAAATGTAATCAAGCATATAAACAGAACCAAAGACAAAAACCACATTATTATCTCAATAGATGCAGAAAAGGCCTTTGACAAAATTCAAAAACTCTTCATGCTAAAAACTCTGAATAAATTAGGTATTGATGGGACGTATCTCAAAATAATAACAGCTATCTATGACAAACCCACAGCCAATACCATACTGAATGGGCAAAAACTGGAAGCATTCCCTCTGAAAACTGGCACAAGACAGGGATGCCCTCTCTCACCACTCCTATTCAACATAGTGTTGGAACTTCTTGCCAGGGCAATTAGGCAGAAGAAGAAAATAAAGGGTATTCAATTAGGAAAAGAGGAAGACAAATTGTCCCTGTTTGCAGATGACATGATGGCATATCTAGAAAACCCCATTGTCTCAGCCCCAAATCTCCTTAAGCTGATAAGCAACTTCAGCAAAGTCTCAGGATACAAAATCAATGTGCAAAAGTCACAAGCATTTTTATACACCAATAACAGACAAACAGGAGCCAAATCATGAGTGAACTCCCATTCATAATTGCTTGAAAGAGAATAAAATATCTAGGAATCCAACTTACAAGGGATGTGAAGGACCACTTCAAGGAGAACTACAAACCACTGCTCAATGAAATAAAAGAGGATACAAACAAATGGAAGAACATTCCATGCTCATGGGTAGGAAGAATCAATATCGTGAAAATGACCATACTGCCCAAGGGAATTTATAGACTCAATGCCATCCCCATCAAGCTACCAATGACTTTCTTCACAGAATTGGAAAAATCTATTTTAAAGTTCATATGGAACCAAAAAAGAGCCCACATCACCAAGTCAATCCTAAGCCAAAAGAACAAAGCTGGAGGCATCACGCTACCTGACTTTAAACTATACTACAAGGCTACAGTAACCAAAACAGCACATGGTACTGGTACCAAAACAGAGATATAGATCAATGGAACAGAAAAGAGCCCTCAGAAATAATGCCACATATCTACAACTATCTGATCTTTGACAAAACTGAGAAAAACAAGCAATGGGGAAAGGATTCCCTATTTAATAAATGTGTGGGGAAAACTGGTTAGCCATATATAGAAAGCTGAAACTGGATCACTTCCTTACACCTTATACAAAAATTAATTCAAGATGGATTAAAGATTGAAACATTAGACCTAAAACCATAAAAACCCTAGAAGAAAACCTAGGCATTACAATTCAGGACATAGTCATGGGCAAGGACTTCATGTCTAAAACACAAAAAGTAATGGCAACAGAAGCCAAAATTGACAAATGGGATCTAATTAAGCTAAAGAGCTTCTGCACAGCACAAGAAACTACCGTCAGAGTGAACAGGCACCTATAAAATGGGAGAAAATTTTCGCAACCTACTCATCTGACAAAGGGCTAATATCCAGAATGTACAATGAACTCAAACAAATTTACAAGAAAAAAACAAGACAACCCTATCAAAAAGTAGGCAAAGGACATGAACAGACACTTCTCAAAAGAAGCCATTTATGCAGCCAAAAAACACATGAAAAAAAATGCTCACCATCACTGACCATCAGAGAAATGCAAATCAAAACCTCAATGAGATACCATCTCACACCAGTTAGAATGGCAATCAATAAAAAATCAGGAAACAACAGGTACTGGAGAGGTTGTGGAGAAATAGGAACACTTTTACACTGTTGGTGGGACTGTAAACTAGTTCAACCATTGTGGAAGTCAGTGTGGCTATTCTTCAGGGATCTAGAACTAGAAA
Organism: Homo sapiens; assembly: GCF_000001405.40. Lineage (NCBI taxonomy): Eukaryota > Metazoa > Chordata > Mammalia > Primates > Hominidae > Homo > Homo sapiens. The sequence continues at coordinate 14,866,694 of NC_000024.10, forward strand.
TACCATTTGGCCCAGACACCCCGTTACTGGGTATATACCCAAAGGACTATAAATCATGCTGCTATAAAGACACATGCCCATGTATGTTTATTGCAGCACTATTAACAATAGCAAAGACTTGGAACCAACCCAAATGTCTAACAATGATAGACTGGATTAAGAAAATGTGGCACATATACACCATGGTATACCATGCAACCATAAAAAATGATGAGTTCATGTCCTTTGTAGGGACATGGATGAAATTGGAAATCATTATTCTCAGTAATCTATCGCAAGGACAAAAAACCAAACACCGCATGTTCTCACTCATAGGTGGGAATTCAACAATGAGAACACATGGACACAGGAAGGGGAACATCACACACCGCGTCCTGGAGACAAATAACAAGTTCTGAAATTGAGGCAGTAATTAATAGCCTACAGAAAAAAAAAAAAAATCTAGGACTGGATGGATTCACTTTAGAATTCTACCAGAGGTACAAATAGTAGTTGGTACCATTCTTTCTGAAACTATTCCAAACAATAGAAAAAGAGGGACCCTACCTAACTCATTTTATGAGTCCAGCATCATCCTGATACTAAAAACTGGAAAAGACAAAACAAAAAAAGAAAATTTCAGGCCAATATCACTGGTGAACATTGACGTGAAAATCATCAATAAAATACTGGCAAACCAAATCCAGTAGCTTGTCAAAAAGATTATCCAACACTGTCAGTTCAGCTTCATCTCAGGAATGCAAGGCTGGTTCAATATACACAAATCAATAAACATAATCCACCACATAAACAGAACCAATGACAAAAAACACATAATTATCTCAACAGATGCAGAAAAGGCCTTTGACAAAGTTCAACATCCCTTCATGCTAAAAACTCTCAATAAACTAGGTTTTTATGGTATGTATCTGAAAATAATAAGAGCCATTTATGACAAACCCATAGCAAATATCATACTTAATTGGCAAAAACTGGAAACAATTACTTTGAAAAACAGCACAAGAAAAGAAAGCCCTCTCTCACCACTGCTATTCAACGTAGTATAGGAATTTCTGGCCAGGACAACGAGGTAAGAGAGAGAAATGAAGAGTATTCAATTAAGAAAATAAAAAGTCAAATTGTCTCTGTTTGCAGATGACATGATTGTATATGTAGAAATCCTCATTATCTCAGCCCAAAGTCTCCTTAAGCTGACAAGCAAGTCTCAGGATACAAAATCAATGTGAAAAAATCACAAGCATTCCTATACACTAATAACAGATAATCAGAAAGCCAAATCATGAGTCAGCTCCCATTCACTATTGCTATAAAGGAATAAAATATCTAGGAATACAACTCACAAGGGATGTGAAGGACTTCTTCAAGGAGAACTACAAACCACTGCTCAAGGAATTAAGAGAGGACAAAAACAAATGGAAAAACATTACATGCTCATGGATAGGAAGAATCAAATCATGAAAATGGCCATACTGCCCAAAGTAATTTATAGATCCAATGCTATCACCATCAAGCAACCATGACTTTCTTCACAGAATTAGAAAAAACTATTGTAAACTTCACAGGGAACCAAAAAAGAGCCCACCTAGCCAAGAATACCCTAAGCAAAAAGAACAAAGCTGGAGGTATCAAGCTACCTGACTTCAAACTATACTACAAAGCTACAGTAACGAAAACAGCAAGGTACTTGTACCAAAACAGATATATAGACCAAAGGAACAGAACAGAGTTCTCAGAAATAATACCACACATCTACAGCCATCTGATCTTTGACAAACTTGACAAAAATAAGGAATGGAGAAAGGATTCCTTATTTAATAAATGGTGTTGAATGCCAAGTTTGTACTGCAGATTCTGGCCAAGAAACAGATGAAAGAAGTAAGCAGATTCAGGTATTTTGCCTGACAGAGCAGCTAAGGGACTGCATGGCTTAGCACAGCTGATGAGAGTGCAGCTGCAGCAGCCTCAGTAAGCCAAAGATGCTCACATTTATTTTTGTGTAGATCTGGGGACAAAGGCCTGGAGCCAATGCAATTTGTAATTAACATGGTTGACCCCCCAAGTAGAGGGCAGTCCTGTGCACGAATGATCAAAGGTTGGTTTCTGGAGACATAAGTAAATCAATTTATCTGATAAGTTCCTTTACATTCCCTTGTTAACTACCCTTTACCCTAAAGAGAATTTAGCTGTCATCAGCTAAATTTAACTCCAGAATTTAGCTTCTGTCATCAGCTAAATTCTCTTCTGAGGTTTTTCAAAACCTCCTGGCCTTCCAAGAAGGTTTGTGTCTTTCCCTATTAACGTTTATAAATTTTCCAACCACTCTGATCAATCTACATCTCCCCTTTTTTTGTGTTTTTTTTTTGCATCAGATTTTGTTGTTTGGAGAGTACAGATGTGTGCAGCAACAGGTTTGTCAGGTGCAGCAGTTATAATTCATATTCTGGCTTTGAATCCTGGAATTAGTAAATAACATAAGGAAAACATGAGTATAATCAGTAATATTCTTTTCTAATCAAAGAGTGACCCCCCAGGAGTGGCGTTCTATCCAGAAGAGATGTTCTTGCACATCCTTCCATATGGCTGTTTGTTGGGTGTATAGATGTACAGCATTTAGAGACTCTAGAATTTTAGTTTTAAGTTTCTTTACATCTGTGGTTAAATTATAATGTAGGGCTCCCCAGAGGTGTTGTTTTACCTCATCCTAACTATGTATTGATTGATTCTAAGATAGAGAGGTGACACAGATATGTTTATGACACCTGTCACAGTTTAATTGCTGTTGGAATGTCAGTGCATCTTTCCAATCCTCTACATATTCCAAGGCAGCCTCAAGGGCTTGCAGTCATGCAAGCATCTTTTGATCTATATCCTGCTGTAAGAGAAGCTCATTAGACATATTTATGTCTAAGTTATATATAAAGGTAGCTGTTTGTACTGATTCAGTAATAGAGGTCACAGCAACACTAGCAGTTGCCAAGAGACTATGGCTGAGACTCTAAAGACTATAAGTGTGCCTATGAATCTTTTGGGTTTTGCTTGGAACAGGGCACGTTCTCAGGTGGCAAGGGCAGAGGGACCTTACTAATCATGTGTCAAATTGACTGATAGAAATGCCTCAGCTTGCCTCCTTAATACCATGACACTAGTAATATTTAAATTAGATATATTATAATTAGTGATACCTGAGGTGAACCAAGCCTGTCCTTGCATTTGGGTCACAAACGTGTAGTTTTGGGGTGTAATGGATATATTTTTCTCATAAAGAAAATATATGGATAGGTAGTGTAAATCAGGCACTGATCTTGTGATTATGAATAAAGGTCATAGTATAATTGTTACTGAAATTACAATATATCCTATGTCAGGTGTTAAGGGAGATGCTAAGATGTCCCAGGCACTGTAGGGTATCTTGGGATATCACATCCCTGCATTGGCCCAAATCATAGGGGAATAGGACATGGCTAAAAAACTGTGATTGATGCCATCAGGGATTTGGACATCAGTATGGTCGCCCTGCAAATGGCCTTGGGGGCTCCAGTCTAAGACATTATAATTGTCTAACTGGAGGCTACAAGCTAGTCCCCCATGACAGACCTCCAAGCCAAAGTGGAATCCATTACTTTGTTCTTTAGTACAGGAGGAAATGTTGGGGAAAGTGGCATTAGTTGTATATCCAGTTTGAGGCTACCTGCAACCAAGAATGTTAAGGCATTTCCTTTGCCATAACGTAGCTGTAATTGTGTTTGGGCAGGTACTCAGTAAGGGTTAGAACTTTTATAACTTATACTTAGTGGGAGGATGGTGGAGTGATAGGTAGTGTTACCTGGCACCTTAGTCCAAATTGTGTCATTAATGAGGGACCCCACTGGGAGTAAGCCAATCCAATCCCTCCTAGGCAAGCAGTTACATTATTAGAGGATGAGAGGGTGTGTCTGCTCAAGTAATAGGGAAGATGAAAGGCGGATCTAAGAGCTAAGCCCAATACAGTGTAGCAGTTACGGGTTGCAGACAAAGTGAGAGCATAAAAAAGGATAAAAACCCTACACGAGTTGCAATGTACAATAGAAAGCATAGAAAGGAATAAATTACATGAAGTGAATGTTGTCTGTATCCAGAGCAGGATTCGCTCAGTCTTCTGAGTTGTCTTTTCAGCATCCCCCAGTTAATGTCTGGGGCTTGTGTCATCTGAGGAAACCACGTCGTCCAGGGCTGCAGGTCCTGCAGGGTCATTTTCTTCCTTTCTGTTACTGAGCTGGGTTATAGCCACTCCATGGTATGCTTTGATGCATTGTGCTGGAATCCAAAAAGGACCTGAGGGGGTGTGAACATAAGCTTATCCTCTTCTCAAAGTTAGTAAATCATTTAGACCACACCATGCATTACTATTTACATCTTTCCATAAAACTGCATGTTTTAGGTCTTGAGAGGTTTTAACAAAGTGTTTTTCTATAGTTGACTGAAATTTATTATTTAAATTTAAGAAACCAAGGGTAAATAATGCTTATGCTAATAGTGTTGCAGGGTCCTTACTCATATTCTCTCATTTTTGTTTTTGAGCATATTTTTAAGAGAGGAATGGACATGTTCTACTATAGGCTGTCCTTGGGGGTTATAAAGGATGCCTGTGGAATATTGGGTGTGTCACATGAGAAAAATTGTTGAAATTGTGAGCAGGCATAAGCTGGATGCTTAGCAGTTTTAATTTTTGTGGGCCACCCCATAAATGCCAAAGTTAAAAGAAGATGTTTAATGACATTGGTTGCAATCTCCTGGAATAACATGTGCGCTAATTAGGTTGATAATTGATATCAATGAATACATATACATATCTAAGTTTTCTAAATTCAGGGACATGAGTAACATCTGTTTGCCATAACTGATTAGGTTCTAGTCCCATAGGGTTAACACCTGTTGAAAGAGAGGATGTGCCTGTGATCTAGCAATCTGGGCATTGCAGGATAATTTGTTTAAATAGTCTTTGGGTGTGTTGAAATTGTTTAGATAAGTATCTCCAATTTGGTGGAAAAAAATGATGTGATTGGGAGGTTTGGTCAAGCAGTGATGCCATAAATTGCAGGTCTGCTTGATCATTGCCATAAGCCAGTGGTCCAAGCAATGAGATGAGGACTCAAATATATGTGATAAAAACATGATGTGTACCTTGGTCCAGCAACTGGTGACGTCGAAGAAAAAGTCCAAATATGGTGGGCTCAAGAGTGGACTTAATGAGGGATATCTTAAGGTTTTGTAATAAGCATTGTGAGCAGAGACACTAACAATATTGATAGGCTGAGCAGAAAATGCTTCTAAGGCCAATATTAGGGCTCCAACCACAGCTTTCTGAGTGCTAGTAAATCCAGATTGAGTGAGGGAGTTATGCAATTCCCACCCAATAGCTGCTTTTTCACTTTTGCCAGAGCCATCTGTAAAAAGTGTTAAAACGTTATGTATGGGGGAGTGAATTACTTTGGTAGGCATAACCACAGGATTATGAGATAAGAATTGAAGTAGTATGTTAGCAGGAAGGGAATGTTCTATATGGCTTGTGTAATCCGTGTGCTAGTTGCAGGTCTAGAGATAAAGGCAAGACTTCCTGGAGTTGCATTTTACTCAAGGAAATTCTTATGACATCAGGGTCATAACCTAGCAACTGATTGTATGATCTGTGGCCTGAATAGATGACTTTGCTAACTAGCTGGATATAGGGAGATAATGTTTTAGTCCTGGTATACGAGCAAAAAAACCCATTCTAGTAAGTGCAGCTCTGGGGCCATTTGTCATGTTGATATTTTTGGGGAATGCTTAGTAGGAAAAACAATTGGATTGAATATTATGGGTCCATGCGATCTAGTTGCCTCTGAGAAATGGCTTGCTTTGCTTCCTCAATTTCTCTTTTTGCTTCAGGAATTAAATACCTGGGAGAGGTCAGGGCTGTATTGCCCTTAAGCATAGAAAATAGGTTTTGTAACTTATCAGTAGTTATGCCTAACATGACACGAAGCCAATTAATATCACCCAGTAATTTTTGGTAATCATTTAAGGCATATAAATTGCTAGTATTTAATTTAACATTTTGAGGTCTTACTGACCAGAAAGCTATTATGTATCCAAAATATCTCCAAGGAGAGGACATGTATACTTTTTTCAGATGCTATGATTAAACTTATTAACTGTGTATTCTTTTGAACAGAGGCATATAAACTTAAAAGTACTGGATCTGTTAGTGGCTCCTGGTAAAATATAATCCATAAAATTAATAATCTGGCAATTAGAAAAATCTATTTTACTGGGGAGCAAAGTGTGATTTACATGATACTGACACATGGTAGGACTGTTCAGCAACCCTTGAGGTGTGCTTTCCAAGAAATCAGTGAACTGGCCTTCATTATTGATAGCTGGTATTGTAAATGCCAATTTTTCTCTTTCTTTTTCTGCAAGGGGAATGGTATAAAATAATCTTTTAAGTAAATAATGACTATAGACTAATTTTGAGGAATCACCACAGGGGAAGGGAGCTCCTGTTGAAGGGGCCCCATAGGTTACAGATTAGCATTAGTAGTCCATAGGTCATGTAAAAGTCTCAATTTGCCAGATCTTTTGTGTATGATGAAAATGGGCAAATTCTAAGTGCTGTTTGATGGTCCTATATGGCTGGCTTTTCATTTCTCCTCAACTAATGTATGGGCTTATTTTAATTTCTCTCCCTTTAAAGGCCACTGCTCTACCTAAATTAGATTTTGAGAGAGCCATGTTAGGGGTAGGGGAGGAACAACAACAGTGGTCATAATTAGAAAAGGGTTTGCTGTTCACATTATTCATTAAGTTCTGTCCTCTAGAGGAGGAATTACTTGGCATCTAAAGTTGTTTTAGCTAGCACGGACCAGTTCCATGGGGTCATATGGAAGTTGTCTGCTAGGGCTTCAATTAATCCTTTTGTAAATGGGCTAACAGCCTCGTTGTCTCTAATGCTTTTCCTTATCTCTTTGTAAGCGTCAAAAGAAATATGTTCATATATCTGATTGCCTTGTTGATCTTGCATTACTAAACAGGCTAAGAGCTTGCTTTTAATGCTGTATGCCTAAGACAGGGTCCAATACCTGTAGTGCATCCCTTGTCTTTTTTCCAGTATATTGTGGGACGGAGCTCAGGCAAAACCTCTATTTCCTCTTTGGTATTTTTGCCTGGTAATGGTGAGGCTGAGGAATAAGGAGGAGGCAGTAATGTGGGTGACAGTTCCTCCTCCCTTCCCTTTTTAGGCTCTTCTGTGTAGAGTGAGATGAAAGCAGCCCTAACTAAGGCCCATAACCTTAGAGATTTTACTGGAATTCATTGCCCTTGTGCATGATGTTGTCTAAAATTTTTCCTCACTTGTTCCCAGAGCTATAGATCTAGTTCTATAGAAATATAGAACCCCTCTTCTGGAACTTGGAGAGTTCAAGTAGTATGTTACTTCAGAACCCCTAGTTCTATAGAACGCCTCTTCTGGAAACCATGGGTTATGGGAAACAACAGTTTGCATTAGGTGCCTTAATTGAGCCTGCAAAACTGAGACTCTGCTAGCTTTAAACAGCTGTTTCAATAGTTTTATATACTGCTGCCATTGAGCTGATGACTGTTTTCTCATGATGAAACCCTTGCCTGAACCATTCCTTCAAACTTGGAAATCCTGAGCAGGCACCAATGACTTAATGATTGCACAGTCTCTTACCTTTTTCAAGGGATCCATTGTGATCCTTTGCAGTGTTCCTCACATGGGGCACCATCTGCCAAGTCTTCCCTACAGACTCTGGTTGAGCTATGCATGAAAGAAGTACACAGACAGGGATTATGCCTGACAGCGCGGCTAAGGGACAGCACAACCAAGCACTGCCAATGAGAATGCAGCTGCAGCAGCCTCAATAAGCCAGAGACGCTCACATTTATTTAGTACAGATTTAATGACAAAGTCCTGGAGCAAACACAATTTATGGGTAATTAACATGTCGACCCACCAAGTAGAGAGCACTCCTGCATTTCAATGATCAAATGTTGGCTTCTGGAGACAAAGTAAACCAATTTATCTAGATAACCTCCTTTACATTCCCTTTCTATCTACTTACCCTTTGCCCTAAAGATAATTTTGCTGCCCTAAAAAGAATTTAGCTGAAGGCAGCTAAATTCTCTTCTGAAGCTTTTGCAAAATCTCTCTGCCTTCCAAGAAGGTTTGTGTCTTTCCCTAAAACTTTTATAACTTTTTCCACCACCCTGAATGATCTTCTACAGTTGAGAAAGCTGGCTAGCCATATGCAGAAAGCTGAAACTAGATCCCTTTCTTACACCTTATTCAAAAATTAACTCAAGGTATGTTAAAGACTTAAATGTAAGAACTGAAACAATAAAAAACTTAGAAGAAAACCATTTAGGATATAGGCATGGGCAAAGACTTCATGACTAAAAAACAAAAAGCAACGGCAACAAAAGCCAAAATTGACAAATGGGATCTAATTAAACTAAAGAGCTTCTGTACAGCAAAAGAAACTATCATTAGAGTGAAAAGGCAACCTACAGAATGGGAGAAAATTTTTGTAATCCACTCATCTGACAAAGGGCTAAAATCCAGAATCTAAAAGGAAGTTAAACAAACATACAAAAAAAAAAAGCAACCCCATCAAAAAGTGGATGAAGGATACAAACAGATGCTTCCCAAAAAAAGACATTTATGCAGCCAATAAACATATGAAAAAAAGCTTATCACCACTGGTTATTAGATAAACACAAATCAAATTCACAATGAGATACCATCTCATGCTAGTTAGAATGGCAACTATTAAAAAGTCAGGAAAAAACAGATGTTGGAGAGGATGTGGAGAAATAGGAATGCTTTTACAATGTTGGGAGTGTAAATTAGTTCAACCATTGTGGAAGGCAGTATGGCAATTCCTCAAGGTTGTAGAACCAAAAATACCATTTGACCCAGCAATCTGATTATTATGTATATAGCCAACTTATTATAAATCATTCTACTAAAAAGACACATGCACACTTATGTTTTTGGGACACTGTTCACAATAGCAAAAACCTGGAACCAACCCAAATGTCCAGCAATGATAGACTGGATAAAGTAAATGTGGCACATATACACCATGGAGTACTATGCAGCCATAAAAAATGATGAATTCATAGCCTTTGCAGGGACCATGGATGAAGCTGGAAACCATCATTCTCAGCAAACTAACACAGGAACAGAAACCAAACACCACATGTTCTTACTTGTAAGTGGGATTTGAACAATGAGAACACATGGACACAGGGAGGGGAACATCACACACTGGGACCTGTCAGTGGGTGGGGGACTAGGGAAGGGATAGCATTAGGAGAAATACCTAATATAGATGATGGGTTGATGCGTGCAGGAAACCACCAGGGCAAGTTTATACCTATGTAACAAAGCTGTATGTTCTGCAGTACTTAAAGTATAATTAAAAAAAATAGAAAAAAAAAAGGAAATTAAATAGGAGAAAGAAGTTGTGTGCTTGACATTTTTCCCAAGGATGGAGCTGGGTTCCACAGTGCATTAGTCACAATGAAATCTAAGCTGGTTGCTCAGAAAGAGACAGAGAAGAGGACATAGGCACCAGAATGGCCCTACCAGAAGTAGTTTGTAATTTCAGATGCTTTATTCTTTACCCTACTCTTTGGTTAGAAATGAGACTTGGCTCCTCAAAATTAAATGTTGTATGCAGATTTTTAAGCATATGAGATTCTTTAGACGTACTTGAATGATTACCATTTGTTCTAGTTAATTCAATCTCATTTTATTTTCTTTCTGATTGGGGTTTAAGTGACCAAGGAATCAGGTTTTATGCCTGTTTTCGGATGCTTTTTATTCCTCCCAAGAAATAAAAAAAAAATAAATATTAAAATTATACTCATTTTTTACCTAAGATTGAATTTACTTAATGACTTACTATATTTCCATGATAAAAAAAAGTGTGTGTGTATGCATATATATGTGTATGTGTGTGTGTTTGTGTCCTGTAAGTGACTCAACATATGTAAGGGTTGATAAATTTATCAGGGGCAACAAGAGCAAATTGCTAGTATATATATTAATATAAAATTATTTATGCATGTTTGATGTGTGTAAAATAAATCATTAACATTTACATATTTAATTTCAGCTTCAAATGATGCACTTATTCAAATAAGACTTGTAATCCCAAATGTTAATGCTTATTATTTTTGCAAAAACCCCATTGAAATTTAACCATCTTCTTCCTAAATCTGTGGACTGACAGAAAAAAAACCCTGCTCTTTTTATAAAAGTAAACAAGACATTAATTTAATATTAACTTTTAAGTATGAAATTATAACATTAAAAAATGATTCTATGCCCTCTTAAAATCAGTTTCTGAATATAACTTTTTACTTTGTCCCAATATACAAATAGTTGTGAGTATGTAACCATTGTGCTGTGTACATCTTTTTCATGATTGGATGGTCTAAAACCCTAAGTGTTCAGGCTGGGTTTGGTGGTTCATGCCTGTAATGCCAGAAATTTGGGAGGCTGAGTCAGGTGGATCACTTGAGACCAGGAGTTCAAGACCAGCATGGCTAAAATGGTGAAACCCCATCTCTAATAAAACAAAAAATTTCACCCTGCATGATGGCACATGACTGTAATCCCAGATACTCAGGAGGTTGAGGGAGGAGAATCACTTGAACCCAGGGGGTGCAGGTTGCAGTGAGCTGACATCACACCCCTGCACTCCAGCTTGGGCAACAGAGTGAGGCTCCATCTCAAAATAAACAAATAAAAACCATAAATGTTCAATTGTATACATTCTGTAATTGGGCAAAATTTTTGTCTTATTTAAAATTTATAGTTACTTTTTGAGCAGTCTGACCCTTTGGTAGGATTTATCAGAAGAAGATAGTTTGAATTTTACAGAAATGTTTGCTGATGTCTGAAAACCGATTTCACTTGGCTTTATTTTAAGAGCTGACAGATGGGTTTCCTGTATCACAAGATTTTTTTCTGACATTTCTCAAAAATATCAGCAAGAGGAAGCAAGATATTTAAATAGCAATTTTTAACATCCTTTGAGTCACAAACACCTTGAGTAACTGATCAAAATTACTGGCCTCAATCAGAATAATGAACACATGCATGTTTTCAGAATTTGAGAGGATTTTCCTTGCATACATGGATCACTGGCTAAGAATGTTTCCTTCAGAAAGTAAATTGTTGGAAAGTCAAGCTCTCTTTTTTAATTTGAGAGGAAAAGTAATTTAAAGAGATAACTATCAGCAAATATTCACAATGAAAGTGGTATGTTAGGCCAGGCGCAGTGGCTCACGCCTGTAATCCCAGCAGTTTGGGAGGCTGAGGCTGGCGGATCACGAGGTCAGGAAATCGAGACCACCCTGGCTAACAAGGTGAAACCCCGTCTCTACTAAAACTACAAAAAAAAATAATAATAAATAAAATAATAATAATAAATAAATAAAAATTTAAAAAAGTAGCTGGGAGTGGTGGTGCACGCCTGTAATCCCAGCTATTCTGGAGACTGAGGCAGGAAAATAACATGAACCTGGGAGGCGGAGCTTGCAGTGAGCCGAGAACGCGCCACTGCACTCCAGCCTGGGAGACAGAGTAAGACTCTGTCTCAAAAAAAAAAAAAAAAAAAAAAAAGAAAAAGAAAAAGAAAAAAAGAAAAAGAAAACGAAAAAAGAAAATGATATGTTACCAGTATGTCCTGAACTTCCATGCATAAAAAGAAATGATTTTCAAAAATAAGAATCTGTCATGTCCTTAGTGTTCATGCAGATGTTATAAGAATAGTAAGCATTTTCAAATATTGAACTTAATATTTTAAAGGTTATTGTTTCCCAGGTACAAACGGGTACACTGACAACAAAAATTGATTGTTTAATCAGTTTTCCTTGTGAGTAACAGAGTAGCGATTTATCTTCTGTTGCTGTTGTTAGATTTTAGACTCTCCACCAGGTTCTATTTAAAAGTGTTCAATCACTGGATAAAATACATATTTTAAGTAATATTGGGGGATTCAATGTTACTTTTGACAATTTTAATTTAATATCCAGTTCCTTGAGTTACTATTTACAATAATTTCTTACAATAATAAAAGTATATACAGCTAGATGATACAGTTTCAATTGGATAGATCAACATGATGCTAAAAAAGAGTAAGATTGGCTTGGCTCAGTGGCTCATGAGTGTAATCCCAGCACTTTGGGAAGCTAGGTGGCAGATCACTTGAGGTCAGGAGTTTGAGGTCAGCCTGGCTAACACAGTGAAACCCCATCTCTACTAAAAAAAAAAATACAAAAATTAGCTGGATGTGGTGGTGGACACCTGTAATCCCAACTATTTGGGAGGCTGAGGCAGAAGAATTGCTTGAAACTAGGAGGCAGATGTTGCAGTGAGCAAAAGATGGAGCCACTGCACTGAGATGTTTTATATGTTGTTCTTTGTGATGCTTACTTGGTTACATCAGTTTTTTTTTTTTTACCAAAGTGCATTAAGCTGCATAATTATGGGGTATACAGTCTTTCCTGTATACATTTTAACTTAGTCACTATTTGTAAAGACAATAAGCTAAGTTTCACCACTGATAACATATATCTCTAAAAGGAACAATTTTACAGGATTTTCATAGGGCTTATGCAATACATTTTATGTATCAAATAATATTCTGTGGGATTAGTGTGCCTGACAACACAATCTATGAAACTGTCATTTACATGGTATTTAGTATTTAAAGACAACATCAAATTATAACCCATTTGTTAAAATGAATGTTTCCCTTTGAAATGATTAGACTTTGAAAAACTGCCTTAGGTGGCATATCTCACTGTTAAGTGATTCCAAATGACACATTACTACAGAAAGTTAAAGTGGATATTTTGAATTTCACTGTTAGAAACATAAAACTAATTCTCAAGAGTAAATATCAGTGAATGGAACTAATTAAAAGATACTATAACATTTGTTTATTTTCTTCATATATATTTTTAACAGGCATACATAATAAACTGAAATTTTTTTCTAAATCCAGTTTCTTATGTTCTAAATGATGCTAAGAAAATACTTTTTAAGTTTATTTTTCTGTCTTAAAATTTATTAGAACCATCACACACTCCAGCACACTAGTGAACACTAGAGAACCTACTAATTTTTCAGATAAACTCTCATAAGTGCACACATAGAAATGAGTGATACAATAGCTGTGAAAAATAATATTGCTAAGCTAATCTAATTATCTTACCTATAAAACAATGATAGGCTAGGGAAGAAAGTCACTTACTATTTGTTAGATATCTTCAATAATGTCAATTATTTGGGGGAACAGAATATAAAACTTTCAACTCATTAGAAAAAACATAACCTTGAGGATTTCCTGAGTGTATTTTAAAAATGAGAATTCATGCTCTTATGGGGTGAATTGATAGTGATTCATTTTTAAGCACATTCATTTCATGCAAATTTATGAGGGTGCATTTTTCCTCCTTATACTCTTGGTAGGTACTAAATCTGCAAACTTCAACACTTCTAAAGGAGAATGAATTGTTTTGCTACACATTCTAAGCAAAGGAATGTTGAATAAGATTTTGACAGATCCTTTTAACGAAGTGATTTTAATTTCTATATTAATACAATAAAATATAGAAAGCTAACATAACTTGAATAAAAATGGTTAACAACTTAAGGGAATTTGAAGCTACAATTGAACTTGTTTCCATGAATTGCCATTAATCAATTTGCTCTATCCCTTGCCTATGAGCTAAAACAATAAACCATAGTTGTTATTTCTGTTTTTGTTCCTCACTACTAAAACTAACAGAAGAGCAAGCCAATAGATAAAATAATATATATTATAAATCACTTGGAGAAAAATATAACCCATTGGAGAATGGAAACGTCCTTCAAATATTCATAAGGTTCAAATGGATTTTTTGCCTGTTTGCATGCTAACTCTCATCTGAACATCTCAAGTGCATTGTCAACTTTCATTTTAAATAGAATTTGTGCATGATATTAAACCAGTTACTTCTCTGTTTTACTGTTTTTTCTTTCATTGCTTTGCGTTTGAGAGTGGAAATTTTTTTCCAGGTTTTATACAAAGATCTGAGATGTTGGATCAATATATATGTATTTTTTGAGACGTAACTTACATACAAAAAATGCATAAATTCAAAGGACTGTTTTTGATGATTTTCATCTATTGTATACATCCATATGACAATGAACCAATTTAGGATACAGAACTTTTTCATTACTTTAGAAAATCACCCCATCTAACCATTCTCCACCAACTAACTCTTCAACAGAGGGATGTTTTCCTAACTTCTATTGCCCTGAAAATGTTTTTTCCTGTTCTTGTGTTCCTTAATAATAAGAAAATATGACATGTATCTCTGTAGATTTTTAACTCAATAAAACACTTTTGAGATTCATCATGATGTTGTCTTTGTCAGTAACGTATTCATTTTTATTGCAGTTCTGTATTCCCTTGAACAAATACATCACAGTTTCTCTTTTTTTTCCAGATGTTGGGCATTTGGGTTTTTTCCAGGTTTTGACTCTTCTATAAAGATTTGTATATCTTTGTAGAACATATTTCACATAGGTAATCTTCTGTAATTCCTTTTGTGATTTTTTTTCCTATGACCACACACTTAATATATACATATACTTTAAGTTGTGGGATACATGTGCAGAACGTGCAGGTTTGTTACATAGGTATACACGGGCCATGGTGGTTTGCTGCACGTATCAACCTGTCATCTACATCAGGTATTTCTCCTAATGCTATCCCTCTTCTAACCCCGCAGCCCTCAACATGCCACTGTGTGTGATGTTCCCCTCCCTGTGCCCATATGTTCTCATTGTTCATGTCCCACTTATGAGTGAGAATATGTGGTGTTTGGTTTTCTGTTCCTGTGTTAGTTGGCTGAGAATGATGGTTTCCAGCTTCAGCCATGTCCCTGCAAAAGACATAACTCATCCTTTTTTATGGCTACAGAGTATTTCATAGTGTGTATGTGCCACACTTTCTTTATCGAGTCTATCACTGAGGGCAATTGGATTGGTTACAAGTCTATGCTATTGTGAATAGTATGGCAGGAAACATACATGTACATGTGTCTTTATAGTAGCATAATTTATAATCCTTTGGGTATATACCCAGTAATGTGATTGCTGGGTCAAATGATATTTCCGGCTCTTGATCCTTGAGGCATCACCACACTGTTTTTCCACAATGGTTGAACTAACTTACACTCCCACCAACAGTATAAAAGCATTCATATTTCTCCACATGCTCTCCAGCATCTGTTGTTTCCTGACATTTTATTGATTGTCATTCTAACTGGTAGGAGATTGTAACTCATTGTGATTTTGATTTTTGTTTCTCTAATGATCAGTAATGATGAGCTATTTTTCATAGGTTTGTAAGCCACATAAATGTCTTTCTTTGAGAAGTGTCTGTTGCTATCCTTTGTCCACTTTTTGATTTTTTTAAGGTTACTTTTTTTTATTATACTTTAAGTTTTAAGGTACATGTGCACAATGTGAAGGTTAGCTACATATGTATACATGTGCCATGTTGCTGTGCTGCACCCATTAACTCGTCATTTAACATTAGGTATATCTCCTAATGCTATCCCTCCACCCTGCCCCGACCCCACGACAGGACACAGTGTGTGATGTTCCCCTTCCTGTGTCCATGTGTTCTCATTGTTCAATTCCCACCTATGAGTGAGAACATGCGGTGTTTGGTTTTTTGTCCTTGCAATAGTTTGCTGAGAATGATGGTTTCCAACTTCATCCATGTCCCTACAAAGGATATGAATTCATCATTTTTTATGGCTGCATGGTATTCCATGGTGTATATGTGCCACATTTTCTTAATCCAATCTATCATTGTTGGACATTTGACTTGGTTCTAAGTCTTTGCTATTGTGAATAGTGCTGCAATAAACATACGTATGCATGGGTCTTTATAGCAGCATAATTTATAATCCCTTGGGTATATACCCAGTAATGGGATAGCTGGGTCAAATGGTATTTCTAGTTCTAGATCCTTGAGGAATCGCCACACTGACTTCCACAATGGTTGAACTAGTTTACAATCCCACCAACAATGTAAAATTGTTCCTATTTCTCCACATCCACTCCAGCATCTGCTGTTTCCTGACTTTTTAATGATTGCCATTCTAACTGGTGTGAGATGGTATCTCATTGTGGATTTGATTTGCATTTCTCTGATGGCCAGTGATGATGTGCATTTTTTCATGTGTCTTTTGGCTGCATAAATGTCTTCTTTTGAGAAGTGTCTGTTCATACACTTCTCCCATTTTTGATGGGGTTGTTTGTTTTTTTCTTGTAAATTTGTTTGTGTTCATTGTAGTTTCTGGATATTAGCCCTTTTCAGATGAGTAGATTGCAAAAATTTTCTCCCATTCTGTAGGTTGCCTGTTCACTCTGATGGTGGTTTCTTTTGCTGTGCAGAAGCTCTTTAGTTTAATTAGATCCCATTTGTCAATTTTGGCTTTTGTTGCCATTGCTTTTGGTGTTTTAGGCATGAAGTCCTTGCCCATGCCTTCTGTCCCGAATGGTATTGCCTAGGTTTTCCTCTAGGGTTTTATAGTTTTAAGTCTAACATTAAGTCTTTAATCCATCTTCAATTAATTTTTGTAGAAGGTGTAAGGAAGGGATCCAGTTTCAGCTTTCTACATATGGCTAGCCAGTTTTCCCAGCAGCATTTATTAAATAGGGAATCATTTCCCCATTTCTTGTTTTTGTCAGCTTCGTCAAAGATCAGATGGATGTAGATATGCAGCATTATTTCTGAGGGCTCTGTTCTGTTCCATTGGTCTATATCTCTATTTTGGTACCCAGTGCCATGCTGTTTTGGTTACTGTAGCCTTGTAGTATAGTTTGAAGTCAGGTAGCATGATGCCTCCAGCTTTGTTTTTTTGGCTTATAATTGACTTGGCAATGCAGGCTGTTTTTTGGTTCCATATGAAATTTAAAGTAGTTTTTTCCAATTCTGTGAAGAAAGTCATTGGTAGCTTGATGGGGATGGTATTGAATCTATAAATTACCTTGGGCAGTATGGCCATTTTCACGATATTGATTCTTCCTACCCATGAGCATAGAATGTTCTTCCATTTGTTTGTATCATTTTTCATTTCATTGAGCAGTGGTTTGTAGTTCTCCTTCAAGAGGTCCTTCATGTCCCTTGTAAGTTGGATTCCTAGGTGCTTTATTCTATTTGAAGTAATTGTGAATGGGAGTTCTTTCACGATTTGGCTCTCATTTGTCTGTTTTTGGTGTATAAGAATGCTTGTGATTTTTGTACATTGATTTTGTATCCTGAGACTTTGCTGAAGTTGCTTATCAGCTTAAGGAGATTTTGGGCTGAGACAATGGGGTTTTCTTGATATACAATCATGTCATCTGCAAACAGGGACAATTTGACTTCCTCTTTTCCTAATTGAATAAGCTTTATTTCCTTCTGCTGCCTGATTGCCCTGGTCAGAACTTCCAACACTATGTTGAATAGGAGTGGTGAGAGAGGGCATCCCTGTCTTGTGCCAATTTTCAAAGGAAATGCTTCCAGTTTTTGCTGATTCAGTATGCTATTGGCTGTGGGTTTGTCATAGATAGCTCTTATGATTTTGAGATACATCCGAGCAATACCTAATTTATTGAGAGTTTTTAGCATGAAGTTGTTGAATTTTGTCAAAGGCCTTTTCTGCATCTATTGAGATAATCATGTGGTTTTTCTCATTGGTTCTGTTTATATGCTGGATTATGTTTATTGATTTGCATATGATGAACCAGCCTTGCATCCCAGGGATGAAGCCCACTTGATCATGGTGGATAAGCTTTTTGATATGCTGGTGGATTCAGTTTGCCAGTATTTTATTGAGGATTTTTGAATCAATGTTCATCAGGGATATTTGTCTAAAATTCTCCTTTTTTTTGTGGTGTCTCTGCCAGTATTTGGTATGAGAATGATGCTGGCCTCATGAAATGAGTTAGGGAGTATTCCCTCTTTTTCTTTTTTCTTTTTTTTTTTTTTTGAGATGGAGTCTTGCTCTGTCGCCCAGGCTGGAGTGCAGTGGCGGGATCTCGGCTCACTGCAAGCTCCGCCTCCTGGGTTCACGCCATTCTCCTGCCTCAGCCTCCCAAGTAGCTGGGACTACAGGCGCCCGCCACTACGCCCGGCTAATTTTTTGTATTTTTAGTAGAGACGGGGTTTCACCGTTTTAGCCGGGATGGTCTCGATCTCCTGACCTCGTGATCCGCCCGCCTCGGCCTCCCAAAGTGCTGGGATTACAGGCGTGAGCCACCACGCCCGGCCTATTCCCTCTTTTTCTATTGATTACAATAGTTTCAGAAGCAATGGTAGCAGCTCCTCTTTGTACCTCTGGTAGAATTTGGCTGTGAATCCATCTGCTCCTGGACTTTTTTTAGTTGGTAAGCTATTAACTATTGCCTCAATTTCAGAACCTGTTATTGGTCTATTCAGAGATTCAACTTCTTCCTGGTTTAGTCTTGGGAGGATGTATGTGTTGAGGAATTTATCCATTTCTTCTAGATTTTCTCATTTATTTGCGTAGAGGTGTTTATAGTATTCTCTGATGGTAGTTTGTATTTCTGTGGGATTGGTGGTGATATCCCCTTTATGATTTTATCTATCTATTTTATTCTTCTCTCTTTTCTTCTTTATTAGTCTTGCTAGTGGTTTATCAATTTTGTTGATCTTTTCAAAAAATCAGCTCCTGGATTCATTGATTTTTTAAAGTTTTTTTTGTGTCTCTATTTCCTTCATTTCTGCTCTGATCTTAGATATTTCTTGCTTTCTGCTAGCTTTTGAATATGTTGCCCTTGCTTTTGTAGTTCTTTTAACTGTGATGTTAGGGTGTCAATTTTAAATCTTTCCTGCTTTCTCTTGTGGGAATTTAGTGCTATAAATTTCCCTCTACACACTGCTTTGAATGTGTCCCAGAGATTCCGTAATGTTGTGTCTTTGTTCTTGTTGGTTTCGAAGAACATCTTTATTTCTGCTTTCATTTCGTTGTGTACCCAGTAGTCATTCAGGAGCAGGTTGTTCAGTTTCCATATAGTTGAGAGGTTTTGAGTGAGTTTTTAATCCTGAGTTCTAGTTTGATTGCACTGTAGTCTGAGAGACTTTTTGTTATAATTTCTGTTCCTTTACATTTACTGAGTAGTGCTTTACTTCCAACTATGTGGTCAATTTTGGAATAAGTGTGGTGTGGTGCTGCAAAGTGTGTATATTCTCTTGATTTGTGTTGGAGAGTTTTGTAGATGTCTATTAGGTCTGCTTGGTGCAGAGCTGAGTTCAATTCCTGGATATCCTCGTTAACTTCCTGTCACATTGATCTGTCTAATGTTGACTGTGGCGTGTTAAAGTCTCCTATTATTATTGTGTGGGAGAATAAGTCTCTTTGTAGGCCTCTAAGGACTTGCTTTATGAATCTGGGTGCTCTTGTATTGGGTGCATATATATTAAGGATAGTTAGCTCTTCTTGTTGAATTGATCCCTTTACTATTATGTAATGGCCTTCTTTGTCTCTTTTGATCTTTGCTGGTTTAAAGTCTGTTTTACCAGAGACTAGGATTGCAACTCCTGCCTTTTTTTGTTTTCCTTTGCTTGGTAGATCTTCCTCCATCCCTGTATTTTGAGCCTATGTGTGTATCTGCATGTGAGATGGGTTCCCTGAATACAGCACACTGATGGGTCTTGACTCTTTATCCAATTTGCCAGTCTGGGTCTCTTAATTGGAGCATTTTGCCCATTTACATTTAAGGTTAATATTGTTATGTGTGAATTTGATCCTGTCATTATGATATTAGCTGGTTATTTTGCTGATTAGTTGATGCAGTTGCTTCTAACCTTGATGATCTTTACAATTTGGCATGTTTTTGCAATGGCTGTGCAGGTTGTTCCTTTCCATGTTTAGTGCTTCCTTCAGGAGCTTTTCAGAGCAGGCCTGGTGGTGACAAAATCTCTCAGCATTTGCTTGTCTGTAAAGTATTTTATTTCTCCTTCACTTATGAAGCTTAATTTGGCTGGATGTGAAATTCTGGGTTGAAAACTCCTTTCTTTAAAAATGTTGAATATTGGCCCTCACTCTCTTCTGGTTTGTAGAGTTTCTGCTGAGAGATCAGCTGTTAGTCTGATGGGCTTCCCTTTGTGGGTAACCCGACCTTTCTCTGTGGCTGCCCTTAACATTTTTTCCTTCATTTCAACTTTGGTGAATCTGACAATTATGTGTCTTGGAGTTGCTTTTCTCGAGGAGTATCTTTGTGGTGTTCTCTGTATTTTCTGAATTTGAATGTTGGCCTGCCTTGCTAGATTCGGGAAGTTCTCCTGCATAACTTCCTGCGGAGTGTTTTACAACTTGGTTCCATTCTCCCCATCACTTTCAGGTACATCTATCAGATGTAGATTTGTCTTTTCACATAGTCCCATATTTCTTGGAGGTTTTGTTCATTTCTTTTTATTCTTTTTTCTCTAAACTTCTCTTCTTTCTTCATTTCATTCATTTGATCCTCCATCACTGATACCCTTTCTTCCAGTTGATCGAATCAGCTACTGAGGGTTGTGCATTCATCACGTAGTTCTCGTGCCTTGGTTTTCAGCTCCATCATGTCTTTTAAGGACTTCTCTGTATTGATTATTCTAGTTAGCCATTCATCTAATTTGTTTTCAAGGTTTTTAACTTCTTTGCCATGGGTTCGAACTTCCTCTTTTACCTTGGAGTAGTTTGATCGTCTGAAGTCTTCTTCTCTCAACTCGTCAAAGTCATTCTCCGTCCAGATTTGTTCCATTGCTGGTGAGGAGCTGCACTCCTTTGGAGGAGGAGAGGAGCTCTGATTTTTAGAGTTTCAAGTTTTCTGCTCTGTTTTTTCCCATCTTTGTGGTTTTATCTACCTTTGGTCTTTGATGATGGGGACATACAGGTGGGGTTTTGGTGTGGATGTCCTTTCTATTTGTTAGTTTTCCTTCTAACAGTGAGGACGCTCAGCTGCATGTCTGTTGGAGTTTGCTGTAGGTCCACTCCAGACCCTGTTTTCCTGGATATCAGCTGCAAAGGCTGCAGAACAGTGGGTATTGGTTAGCAGCAAATGCTGCTGCCTGATCGTTTCTCTGGAAGTTTTGTCTCAGAGGAGTACCCAGCCATGTGAGGTGTCAGTCTGCCCCTACTTGGGGGTGCCTCCCAGTTAGGCTACTCAGGGGTCAGGGACCCCTTTGGGAGGCAGTCTGTCTGTTCTCAGATCTCCAGCTGCATTCTGGGAGAACCAGTACTCTCTTCAAATCTGTCACTCAGAGACATTTAAGTCTGCAGAGGATTCTGCTGCTTTTTGTTTGGTTGTGCCCTGTCCCCAGAGGTGGAGTCTACAGAGGCAGGCAGGCAGGCCTCCTTGAGCTGTGGTGGGATACACCCAGTTCAAGCTTCCCAGCTGCTTTTTTTACCTACTCAAGCCTCAGCAGTGGTGGGCGCCCCTCCCACAGCGTCGCTGCCACCTTGCAGTTTGATCTCAGACTGCTGTGCTAGCAATGAGTGAGGCTCCGTGGGCATAGGACCCTCTGAGGCAGGCATGAGATATAATCTCCTGGTGTGCCATTTGTTAAGACCATTGGAAAAGCGCAGTATTAAGGTGTGAGTGACCCAATTTTCCAGGTGCCGTCTGTCCCCTTTTTCTTTGAGTAGGAAAGGGAATTCTCTGACCCCTGGGGATTCTCGGGTGAGGCGATGCATCGCCCTGCTTTGACTTATGCTCGGTTCACTGCATTCACTGTCCTGAACCTGCTTTCTGACACTCCCCAGTGAGATGAACCCGATATGTCAGTTTGAAACGCAGAAATCACCCATCTTCTGCCTGGCTCATGCTGGGAGCTGTAGACTGGAGCTGTTCCTATTCGGCCATATTGGCTCCACCCGTAGGTTACAAAAAGATGTCTTTTTTTCTTGTACATTTGTTTCAGTCCTTGTAGATTCTGGATATTAGCCCTTCACCAGATAGATTGCAAAAATTTTCTCCCATTCTCTAGATTGCCTGTTGACTCTGATGATAGTTTCTTTTGCAGTGCAGAAGCTCTTTAGTTTAATTAGATACGATTTGTCAATTTTGGCTTTTGTTACCATTTCTTTTGGTGTTTTAGTCATCAAATCTGTGCCCATGACTATATACTCAATAGTATTGCCTAGGGTTTCTTCTAGGTTTTTTATGGTTTTCAGTCTTATGTTTTAGTCTTTATCCATCTTGAATTAACTTTTGTATAAGGTGTAAAGAAGGGGTCCGGTTTCAGTTTTCTGAATATGGCTAGCCAGTTTTCCAAGCACCATTTATTAAATAGGAGTCCTTTTTTCATTGCTTGTGTTTGTCAGGTTTGTCAAAGATTGATGGTCTTCGTTGTGTGGTGTTATGTCTGAGGCCTCTGTTCTGTTCCATTGTTCTATATATCTGTTTGATGTCACTACCATGCTGTTTTCATTACTATAGACTTGTAGTGTAGTATGAAGTTAGGTAGTGTGATACCTCCAGTTTTTTACATTTCCTTAGGATTGTCTTGACTACACCCATCTTTTTTGGTTCCATAAGAAATTTAAGATAGTTTTTTTCAAATTCTGTGAATTGGTGTATAGGAATGCTTGTGATTTTTGCATATTGATTTTGTACCCTGAGAGTTTGCTGAAGTTGCTTATCAGCTAAAGGGGATTTTGGACTGAGAAGATGGAGTTTTCTAAATACACAATCATGTCATCTGCAAACAGGAAAAATTTGACTTCCTCTCTTCTTAGTTGAATATCCTTTATTTATTTCTCTTGCTTGATTGCTCTAGCCAGAACTCCCAATTCTGTGAATAGCTGTGGTTAGAGAGGGCATCTTTGTCTTGTGCCAGTTTTCAAAGGGAATGCAGTATTTTCCCATTCAGTATGATATTTTCCCACTCAGTATGGTATGTGGTTTTTGTCATAAATCTTTCTCATTATTTTGAGATATGTTCTGTCAATATGTAGTTTATTGAGAGTTTTTAGTATGAATTGGTGTTGGATTTTATAGAAGGCCTCTTCTGCATTCATTGAGATAATTGTGTCTTCTTTTGTCATTGGTTCTGATTATTTGATGGATTACATTTATTGATATGCATATGCTGAACCAGCCTTGCATCCCAGAGATGAAGCTGACTTGATCATGATGGATAAACTTTTTGATGTGCTACTGGATTCGGTTTGCCAGTATTTTATTGAGGATTTTCACCTCAATGTTTATTAATGATAATGGCCTGAAATATTGTCTTTTTGTTGTGTCTCTGCCAGGTTTTGGTATTAGGATGATGTGGGCCTCATAAAATCAGTTAGGGAGGAGTCCCTATTTTATATTGTCTGGAATAGTTTCAGAAATAATGGCACCAGCCCCTCTTTGTACCTCTGGTAGAATTCAGCTATGAATCCCTCTGGTTGTTGGGCTATTAATAACTGCCTCAATTTCAAAACTTGTTATTGCTCATTCAGGGATTTGATTTCTTCCTAATTTAGTCTTGGGAGTATGTGTATGTGTCCAGAAATTTATCCATTTCTTGTAGATTTTCTAGTTTATTTGCATAGAGGTGTTTATAGTATTTTCTGATGGTAGTTTGTATTTCTGTGGGATCATTGGTGATATCTCCTTGATCATTTTTATTGTGTCTATTTGAATCTTCTTGCTTTTCTTCTTTATTAATCTGGCTAGTCATCAATTTTGTTAATCTTTTAAAAAAACTGGCTTCTGGATTCATTGATATTTTAAGGGGTTTCTCGTGTCTCTCTCTCCTTCAGTTCTGCTCTAATATTACTTATTTCTTGTCTTCTGCTAGCTTTTGAGTGTGTTTGCTCTTGCTTCTCTAGTTCTTTTAATTGTGATGTCAGGGTGTCAATTTTAGATATTTCTTGCTTTCTCCTGTGGGCATTTTGTGGTATAAATTTGCCTCTAAACACTGCTTTAGTTGTGTCCCAGAGATTCTGGTATGTTCTCTTTATTCTCAATGGTTTCAAATAACATCTTTATTCCTGCCTTCATTTTGTTATATACCCAGCAGTCATTCAGGAGTAGGTTGTTCAGCTTCCATTTATTTGTGTGGTTTTGAGTGAGTTTCTTAATCCTGAGTTCTAATTTGATTGCACTTTTGTCTGAGAGACTGCTTTTTATGATTTCTATTGTTTTGCATTTGCTGAGGATTGTTTTACTTCTAATTATGCTGTCAATTTTAGAATAAGTTTGATGTGGTGCTGAGAAGAATGTATATTGTGTTGATTTGGGGTGTAGAGTTCTGTATATGTCTATTAGATGTGCTGGGTCCAGAGCACCTTGAAATCCTTGTTAATTTTCTGTTTCATTGATCTGTCTAATATTGACAGTGCGGTGTTAAAGTCTCCCAGTATTATCGTGTGGGAGTCTAACTAACCACTGAGGTTTTAAAAATTATCTTAACTTTAAAAATATGTAGGGCTTGCAGAGTATCCTGGCTCATGCCTGTAATCTCAGCACTTTGGAGTGTTGAGGCAGGCAGGTCACTCGAGGTCAGGAATTCAAGACCAGCCTCACCAACATAAAGTAACCCAATCTTTACTAATACTACAAAATTAGCCAGGCATGGTGTCCCATGTCTGTAATCCCAGCTATCTGGGAGGCTGACTCATGAGAATCACTTGATCTGGGAGGTGGAGGTTGCAGTTGTGCTGAGCTGTGGTCGCACCATTGCTCTCTAGCCTGGGCAACAAGAGTGAAACTTGGTCTCAAATATATATGTGTATATATATATATACATATATGGCTTTCTCTGTCTCTATGTCTGTCTTTCTGTTGTTTGTTTCTGTGTGTTTCTCCTAATCCTTCTCCTTTCTCTCTTTCTATCTCACACATATCTCTTGCTTTGTTTTATGCCATGGGGTTTTTCTACATATTTGATTGTCATTGATTTATAATTTAACATCCTTTTAGCTAGGGGATATATTTGGTATGACTCCAGTCCTTTGATAAGTTTTTAGACATATTTTAAGGCACAGTGTGTAATCTATTCTAATGAATGTGCACTTGCAAATCAGCGTAACTTCTGAAGTGGCTGGATATACTGTTCAGTAAATGCCAATTAAATAAATTTGGTTGATAAGGTAGTTGAACTCTTTCATATTTTTACTGAATTTTTGTCCGTTGTTTCTGTCAGTGAGAGTGAGTGGATTTTTTCCTATTTCCCACATTACATCTATTTTTGTTTTCTACATTTTAAAGTTCCATTCTCAATATTTATTGCAGTGCAAACCTGCAAAAGAGAAATTCCTTCAACAATTTACAGTTTTCATTCCATGGTCTTCTACACACCCATGTTTAAAGGAAACTGCAACATTTTATTTTTTGCATTTTGATAACTGCAAGGTGTGTTCTTATTATCTCAGACTGTAGGTTTTTTGTATAATTTCAGTTTTCATCAGATTGACTATGGAGTGCCCAGGTGCAGCTTTCTTTGTGTGCATCCTGCTTGAGGGTCTCACATTATTGTGGTGACATATTTTATCAATTTCAGGAAGGTATTGACCATTTTGTTTTTCAATATTATTTGGCTCTTTTCTCAATTTTATGTCTTTTTGAAGCTCCAATTACACACACAACTTTTGATACTGTCTATCAGCTGACACCTGCTCCTTTTTGTTTATCTACTTTTTTACTTAAAAAAAAGTGTCTGCGCCGGGCGCCGTGGCTCACGCCTGTAATTCCAGCACTTTGGGAGGCCAAGACAGGAGGATCATGAGGTCTGGCGATCGAGACCATCCTGGCTAACATGACGAAGCCCCGTCTCTACTAAAAATACAAAAAATTAGTCGGACGTGGTGGCGGGCGCCTGTAGCCCCAGCTACTCCGGAGCTGAGGCAGGAGAAGGGCGTGAACCCGGGAGGTGGGGCTTGCCATGAGCCGAGATCGCGCCACTGCATTCCATCCCGGCGAAAGAGTGAGACTCCATCTCAAAAAAAAAAAAAAGAAAAAAAAATCTGTCTGTTTGGATATTTTTTATAGACCTATGCCAAAGGGCACACAGAGGCACTCAATTTGCTTTTCAAGTTTCCTGTTGAGTAACTCTAATAAATATGTCATTTCTAACAACTTTTAAAAATCTCTAGCTTAAAAATACTGATACCAGAAATAATTAAATATTTTATAAATAATATATAAATTTGTAATCATACCTAATAAAAACTTTTGGTGTCACTTTACATTTTTACCTTTTTACTAAAATATACACTCTTATTTTCCTTCTTCTACATGAGTTCCTGTAACATAAATACCTTCTCTCATAGTGAAAAGTATTCTCTGATAATCCTACTATTTCTAGATCTGCTTTTATTCACTATTTCCTCTATTGTTCATTGGTTACACATTTATAATTATTTGGAAGTCTCATTATGTTTGATTTGTAAGTCAGACATTTTGCATAAAAGCCTAGTAGCATGTGAAATATGTAATTTTTTGCTCCAGGAGAAAACCGGTCATTTTTTTTCTCTTTCAAGCCCCTAAAGTGTGGATTTGTGCCAATTTGACCTCTAGTTGAACTGCATCTATGCATTCCACCTCTTTAGTTTAATTTTCTAGTGACTTCAAACTTTCCATAGACATGCCTGGGCTTTTTTTTCAGCATCCCTTGCAATCTTGAGCACTTGTATGATTTCATTTACTGGGTGGCCTCCCTTGTTTACTACCCAGCATCCATCTTGTAGGAGTTCCTTTTCCAGTTCTGCTTCTATAGTTTTTGTTTTGAGAAGACCTTTTTCTCCACTGATGTCTTCCCCTAGGTTTTAGACGGCAACTGCCTTGCAATCTGTGAAGGTCAAAAATGCTTTGGAGAATCTCTCTCACCATTTTTCCTCTCCTGCCTTCAGAGCGTGGCTTCATAGTACTAGGGGTGGGCCTGAGGACCTCACAGGGATACAGCTCAACTCCTGTATCCTGTGCCCAGGCAGGTATGAACTGCTCACACATTCTGGGAAGACCAAAATATATAGGGCGGGGCGGGGGGGGGGATCCGCAGTACCCGTGGCGCACACCATCCTGGAATTCTAATCTGTCTCAGCAGCCCATCGGTTATGGAAAGTTTGTTATAATTTTGGATTTTAAAATAAACTGCCACCCCTTTTCCTTCTTGTACTCTTGCTGTAATCTATCAGGGAGGTGAAAAACCATGGCCCACGTCTCCCTCGCAGGGAGATCATCACTTTTCTATTGATTGCAGATTTCTTTGCTTCCTGTGTTTATAATAAATTTAATTTGTGTAATTTCCAGTGTGTTCAGGTTGACAGGATGAACATGATATTCTCTCACTACTTTCTATATTCTAATTGGAAGAAGAAGCACAAATATAAAATTTAAATTGAATGCCTACTAAAAAAGAACTGAAGGCAAGTGTTCACTTAACTAATAATTCTGACATATGAAAATATATTCTGTATACGTATAAATATGTAAATATACAAATATAGAAGTATATACAAACATAAAAAGTATATACATATTCAAATAGTACATTTTATAAATACAAATATGTACATTTTATATGCTTATATACACATATATATTTATGTGGTAAATATAGTACAGTATACATATAGTTGTTTCTTTTTTTTTTTTTTTTTGAGAGAGGTTCTCACTCCATCACCCAGGCTGGAGCGCAATGGCAGAAGCTCAGCAAACTGCAACCTCCACCTCCCAGGTTCAAGCGATTCTCATGCCTCAGCCTCCTGAGTAGCTGGAATTACAGGTGTATGCCACCATATCCGCTAATTTTTGTGTGTGTATATATATGTATATATATATATTTATGTATATTATATATATATTATACATGTGGTTTTTTTTTTGCTTTTTTTTTTTTTCAGTAGAGACAGGGTTTCACCATGTTGACTAGGCAGGTCTCAAACTCGTGGCTTCAAGTGAACAACTTAAGGAGTTATATGTTAAATTATATATTATTAAATATAAACATGCATATTTATATATTTGCACTATATATTTATACATAGTGCATACGTATACACCAAATATAGTATAGACTGTGTACTTAAATATGTATATAGTATATACTATATAAATATGTATATGTGTATATATATTTTATATAATATATACATATATAAGTATAATTGTCCCTCACTTTCTCCAAAGTACTAGTTCCAGGACATTAGCAGATAGCAAAATCCAAGGATGCTCAAGTCCCTCTAATAAAAAGGCATAATATTTTCATATAACCTATCCACATCCTTCTGTAGACATTAAATAATCTCCAGGTTGCTTATATTATCCATATAATGTAGATGCTATGTAAATACTTGTTGTACTGTTTTGTTTAAAAGTATGTACATATTCTGTACAGTTGCAATTATTTATCTTTATTTCCCAATAGTTTTGATCCTAAGTTAATTTAACCCCTGGAATATGGAGGGCCAACTCTATATATATATATAGATGCACACACACACACAGACACACACACAAGCCAATAATTATCTACTTTTATATGCAGATTTAGCTTTGTATTCTATACTTATGTAATTATACATACATATGCAAGCACAGGCACATAAAATTTTATACCTATAAATCTTCTGAACCCTTTTGTATTAATGATATTAAGTAAGTTTCAACCATGGTGAATCAAAGTGGGAACTTTTTTATTTGAAGTCAGTATTATATGACTTAATGACAGAGAAGAAAAAAGCCATAGCTACATACGGTTTCCCACAATAGACATCTTAATTTCACAGCCCATTTTGTAATCCCTGCATATTCAGGCCTCCATAGAGTTATTTGAATGGGTTTTGTTGAAAATTCCTATATTAGGAACATACTCAGTCCTTTGTAATATCCAATATTAAAAAGTTCAGATATTTATATTTTTACAATGATGGCATACAGTACCTTACACTCCATAAATTGGAGAATGTGCATGTAGAATTAAGATAAAAGGTATTAGGGATATCCTACTGAAGAAGAATCTCCTGGGAATGATAGTGCCCAAGTCTGTCTGTGTTTAGGAGTAGTTAGAAACCATACAACCCAGGCTCAGAAATGAAGGAGAAAAAGACATTTTCCCCAGAAACAGAGGTCGAACTGACTTCTCTGCCATGTTGTAGCCTCTTTTCTCACTTTCCTAATTGACCTTTGCATGTCCTTCATTTCTATTATAACACAAACATTCTCTAATATCATTCCTTTTGTTTGACTCAAATTGCCTAGCCAAACCTCAGTCTGTGTTGTAACTCTCACATCTGTTGCTGTTTAAAAAGCAACTATTATTTAGTTTGACCTTTTTGGAGACATCAGTGTAGACTGGGTTTAGCTGTCTGGTTCTGCTAGTTGAGGTCAGGCTTCCCCAAAATTTTCAGCAGGACAAGTCAACCACATGGTTCTCTCCCTTCTTGGCTGCAGTTGGCAGGTGACTAGGGGCTTGTTGGTCTGAGATGAACCCAGATGTGACTTCTCTTGGGTGACACACAGGGGCAGATTGAAGGTATGGAGCAGTAGTCTTCACATTGCTAGAGAAGGAATTTATATTGTGTGGACATGAATACAGAGAAGGAGGAAGAACCTGGTCTCTACTGTCATCAACATCTGTATGATCTTTAAGGTCAGATGATACTCTTGAATAAGTCAAAGCTTCTATTTTGCTACTCCCTGCCTAGCTTCTGTGTTCCAGCTGATCCCAGCTTTACCTATTTATTCAAACCTCTCTCCAGTATAAAATATATATTCCTATCAATCATCCCCCAAATAGGATATTATTATGGTTTTCAAACCTGAATTTCAAGGAAAATCCTATAATCTGTAATTACGTACTTATAGTTAAAATATGACTTAGAATAAGGTTATCAGGTACATAATACTGGCTTGATGAAGGACACACAAATATACTTAATAGTAAGAATTGGGTGGGGGCAAAGAGCACTGACAAAATGAGAGATATGTAATGCATGGAATTATTCCTTAACTTTATGTAAAATCATAGCTAATCCTCAAGATACAACAAAAAACACTATTAATGTCAAATTTTTATTAAAAAAAAACAGGCCCACATATTGTATGTGGATATATATATGTGCATCTTTTTGTGTGTGTCTAAACATATACATATGTATGTATAAAACTTTATTGCAATGCCTCCAGTATGTGACTATATATTTTGATAGTAAATCTACTTAAATTAAATACAAATTAAAAATCATCTTCTTCATTTATACTGGCGACACTCAAGTTCTCAGTGGGTACACATGGTTTATGCCTACCATACTGGGCAAGATAGAGGTAGAACATTTTTTTTCTTTATAGAAAATTTCACTTGTTCCTTGAAAGCCATTAAATTCACATGCACATTAATTATTCATAAGAGGATCATGTCTCTTCCTGGGGATTTAAATGGCCAATATCTCCATGTTTATCAATCTGCCCTATGTTGAATTTTCTTTCAAAAAGCAAATAGTAACAGCAGAGGATATTCCCATTGCAGATAATTTCCAAAGAAGACATTACATTGAATAATTGAGAAGTGCAGCTTGTGTTGTTCTTTAGGTGAAAGTCAATAGGACTGGGACTTGTCACTGGAAAATGACAATAGGAAAAATAGGCTCTGCCAATCAGTTCTAATATGCTCTGCCTTTAAACAGAACTGAAAAGAGATAATGACACTTTCTCAGTTGGACAGCCCAAATTGTTGATTATTCCATGAGTCACAGTTCAAAACTATGAGTCTTAATTTTTAATTCTGTCCAGGGGGTGATGGGTTTGTTCTATGTACTGCTATGAAAAGTATTCCATTTCTGGTGGATCATGCATATCAAAGAGTATTTACTAAGGCAGAAATTTTGCATAAACAACTGAAGCTGGGTGGCATGCAGTGGCTCATGCCTGTAACCCCAACACTTTGGAAGGCCAAAGCAGAAAAATCCCCTTAGCACTCTTGAACCCAGGAGTTTGAGATTAGCGTGGACAACACAGCAAGACCCCATGTCTACAAAACAAATTTTTAAAAATTAGCCGGGTAAGGTAGTGCTTGCCTGTGTTCCTAGCTACTCAGGAGGCTGAGGCAGGAGGAGTGTTTGATCCCAGAAACTCAAGGCTACATAGGACTCTAGCTGGGCAACAGAGCTAAATCCTATCCCCAAAACACACACACACACACACTCTGAAGCCCACCATATAAAACCATATAGCTTTTATAGCTTCACTGGCCTGCTCTTTTTGGCTTAGTTTACATCTATTTGGGTACTGACAGATGCTTTTCAAAATAACTTGTCCCCCATACGTGGTCTGCCCTGCCATCTGTCCCAATCATTTATTCAATTGTTATCAAGTGACAAGTAAGCATTGCAGATGAGTTTCCAATTGGCTCTGGCTGTGTCCTGGTAGAAGGAAAATGCAGCCAGATATGAGTGCTAATTTTGATCTTTTACAGAAGCTACTAGCTGAAGCTTTGTATGCCCATGAAGATCATCAAATCAAGATTATACTTCAGTGAGCTCTTATTTTTCCCAGGTTAAATGCCTTCTTCCAATCTCAGGAGAATAGTTATTGAAGTTGTGATACACTTATCCAAACTTCCTTAAGATGCAGTTAATTAAATCATTCTCTTGTAGGTTTTCCAATATACCTTCTTATTTTCTCTTAAAATCACAATAGCTCACGCTATTCTAAAATGCATGGTTTTGTTGATTCAAGTGTGCATTGATTTAGAGACTCCTCTTAATTATTTAAAGTAACTTTGGTTTGATATGTAATATTGACATAATTTTCCTTCCAAAGTAAAGTTAAAGAATTGAGTCAAAGACTGGAAAACTCTGTAGATTAAAAATAGACTTGCATAGAGGAGAGAGTCCAGGAAGAAGCTGGCATCTTTCTTACCAAAAGATATTTGTATTCAACCAGGGAAATGAAGAAAGAGGCTATGGTAGTCTAGAACTTGTTTTCTCAGATACTATTTCAGCCTAGGTCTTATATAAATGTTGTCCTTTTTAAGAACCTTAAAAACAACAGCTTTGAAGCAATAGAGGAAGAAGTGATGACATCAATATGATGATAGCTGACCATAACAGTCATGAAATCGTGAAAATATTCCATTTAGATGAGCTACTTATCTATTTAACAGCATTAGAATGAATGCATAGGGCTTTTCTTCTTTCTTATGCCTGATATTGATAAAAACAGAAGTTATAATGGTCAACACATATTTAAGAGCTAAAGAGATGTCAAATGGATTACACATATATTAATTTAGCTCATAATATATCTTGGCAACACCGTGATGAATTCTGGTTTCACCATTGTTTTTTCCTGCTTTGAGGTGGCTAATTATTTGGGCAAAGGGAAGTTTGATATCTCGGTACAAAGTATTCAGAAGAGAAAACGTCATGCCTTGAAAACGTGTATCATTAGTGACTGCTCTATTTGCCACCTTAGCAACTTTCCTGCCATGTGACTTCAGTTATGAGTTTTAAATAGGATAGTATAAAGGGGCTAGTCTGGGCCACTGTACTCCCTCCTGTAGTTGGGGTCAAAGCTACAGTTTGTGTCAAGCATGTTTCATCTGTATTTCTTCTGCAGCTCAGATAACAGGGGCCATGGCATGTCACTGGAGGTGAAGGTAAACCTACCAGTGCAGGCACCTGTTAATCCACCACTCACATCAGATGGACTCATCTTCTATTGCCCAAACAGAATCATATGTTCAAAATCAAGAGGAAAGAAATGCTTAGCAATGAGTGCATATATTATTATTTCCAGAAAAGTGAAAAATTAGGACAAATCATTGAATCTTTCACATGCATCTTCTTGTGTGAGTTGAAAGATAAAGTGTTTGCTGTTAGACAAGGATAAAACATTACACTTAAGTACTGAGAGATGGATGGATAAAGAGTGATCACAGCCGCATGGGCTTCACCATTGAGTCAACAGTTCTGAGTCAGATATGGGAGACAGAAATGACCAAGACAGTGGCACTGGCTTAAACGAGTAGAGTTCCATGCATTTGAACATGATATCATGATGTAAGGTAACTAGAAAGTGGATATCTATAGGAGAAGGGCATCAATTTGCACACAAGTATGGAAAACTGGAAGTAGATTGAGGTTTGGGAAGAGTGTAGAACTCAAGTCACAAGACCAGCCTTGGAATATGAAGTTTACTTTTATCAAATAACACTTCTGAGACTCAGGGTCTTCCACCCAAATGTCCAAGGAAACAGTACAATCTAAGTTACATGACTTAAGATTCCCCTGATATAAGGCAGGATTAAGTTTGATGAAGGAATTTGCAAATAACAGCGATGATACTGAGAACTCTACAGCTTAATGAATTTGTCAAAGTTACGCAGAGTCAACAGAAGATCTCAAATGTGAAACTGATGCTTCTTGTTGTCTTTAAACTTGATTAAGGATCAAATTAGGAACTCTTGATAATTCTAGAAAATTCCATGTCTTCTATACTCTTCCATTCCTACAGTTCCTCCAAACTGGAACTTGAATGTACAATTTTTATCAGATCCAAGTCCTGATGTTTAGCAGTAGAACTGCTTCATAATTGGTGTTTAGTTCTTTCATCAGGAGCTACATAATGCCTGTTTGTCCCTCTTTGGGGGAAGCTAAAACATTAATGGTCATTGATGAAATCTGTCTTCATAAGGAGTTGCAAAATGATGACAGTGTAATTGTATACATCTTTCTACTCTTAGTTGGAATTCTTCTTTAAAAGGAAAATTTCCTTCATAAACTGCATGGTTTCTAAGAATTCAAGACTATCCAAAAGTACAGGATGTTGTTTACAGGACATAACAGCTGACTTGAATGGACTCCCACTGGCTAAAGATCAAATACTTTGATCATCAGTAAGAGTGATAACTTAATGCATTTCAACACACTAAATTTGATAAAAGAAGTGAGTTCCCAATGATGTTTATGATAGGCACATTGATCACCTTTAGAAAATACTTGCAAACTGAAAAATAAAACAAAAAGAAATCATGTGTCCTAGTTTTCCTTAAAAAACTCTTGAATAGATTAATCAGTAACATTTAAAATATACATTTTTATGGAATCACCTATGAGATATGTGTCATACAAACACAGATCTTCAGTTTCCTGTATAAATCTTTAAGCCATATATATATATATATATATATATAAAACGTTACTATATAATACTTTCACAATAAGACAAAAAATGAGGAAAGAGACCATGTTGCATTTTGACCTTGGCACATAAACCATTGGGCTGTTTCTTGACATGCAACTACAACGGCTGGTCAATGTTGTTTTGTGTGCTGGGAGGAAAATGTATTCCCCACTTTATTGACTGGTGATGCATAGTACACATCTTTGAGTATAACTTTAGGAGAAACAAAAGATAATTTATCAAAGGATATTAACTTCTCAATACCTGTTGTGTGAGTTATCTCCTAATGATTCTAATACTTCTAGTATATGAGATCAATTCAACAAAATTGAGGTGAAATGAAAGAATTCGAAGAATTGTGATAAAGTTAGGCAAATATGAAATAAATTATAATAACCATCTTAAAATACAAACAGAATGATTTCGGCTCTCATGATTTTAATTTACAACTTTATTTTTTATGTAGTGCAATAGTTCCTAATTTAATTAGACATAAAATTTTGTCTCAGACACAAAATGAGCCACAATGGTAATTTTTGCTTAGGACATCAATTAAAGAAATCTTTCTTTAACACTAACATATATTTTACATCAAAAGGAAAAGAATACAATGTTGGAAGCTTGGGAATATCACTGGAACACAAGTGCTCTGAAAGTCCAGAGCCCTGCAGGTTGCAAATCACTGAACAGAACATGGATAATTTAATACAATTGCAGGCAGCATTCCCAGGGTTCATCATTTCTCTGCTCTCCACTGAAAACACAGTGAGAGGGGAAAAAATTAGGTGGCATCAGTACAAAATATTATGCAAACACTAACAGGTATATTTAATATACCTGTTGGATACATACATTATTGTGATGTGAGGCATTGCTGTTTGGTGGTGGGAGAACAGATTTGGACTTTAAACACTTATACACTTAAAGAACCATTTTTTTTTTTTTTATCATACAAAGAATTACCCATATGAATAAGGTCACCAAAATGTTGGTCAAAGAAGGAAAACCTGATGAAAGAAGACAAAAAAGCCCACTGATTCTGAAGAGTAGGCTCACTACTTCCTCATATTTATTTAGACATGTCAATTTGGATATATAAGAATATATTTTTAAATGTATTATTTCTGTCTTCTAAAGAACTGTGTCCGGAGTTTTTTCCTTTGGGTGGGTTCTTAGTCTTGCTGACATCAAGAATGAAGCCGGGACCTTCGCGGTGAATGTTACAGCTCTTAAAGATGGTGTGTCTGGAGTTTGTTCCTTCAGATGTCTCTGGAGTTGGTTCCTTCAAGTGGGTTCGTGATCTGGCTGACTCAAGAATGAAGCCGAGCATGTCCGCAGCAAGTGTTACAGCTCTTAAAGGTGGTGCTGACCCAAAGAGTGAGCAGCAGCAAGATGTATTGTGAAGAGCAAAAGAACAAAGCTTCCACAGTGTGGAAGAGGACCCTAGCGGGTTGTGATGCTGGCTGGGGTGGCCCCCTTTTACTCCCTTATTTGTCCTGGCTCACTTCCTGCTGATTGGTCCATTTTAGAGTGCTGATTGGTGTGATTACAAACCTTTATCTAGACACAGAGTGCTGATTCGCGCATTTACAATCCTCTTGTAAGACAGAAAAGTTTTCCAAGTCCCCATGTGACACAGAAGTCCAGCTAGCTTCACCTCTCGGAACCAATATATAAATTACAATCCTTCAGGGTTAATATTTGAATGGTCTTGGGTTCAAATCCCAATCTTGGCTGGACACGAGTCTCACACCTGTAATCCCAGCACTTTGGGGGTCCGAGGCAGGCAGGTCACATGAGGTGAAAAGTTTGACACCAACCTGGTCAACATGGTGAAACCCTGTGTCTACTAAAAATACAAAAATTAACAAATGTGGTGGTGTGTGCTTCTAGTCCCAACTACTAGGGAGGATG
Source organism: Homo sapiens (assembly GCF_000001405.40). Taxonomy (NCBI): domain Eukaryota; kingdom Metazoa; phylum Chordata; class Mammalia; order Primates; family Hominidae; genus Homo; species Homo sapiens. The sequence continues at coordinate 14,902,836 of NC_000024.10, forward strand.
AGGCAGGAGAATCTCTTCTTTGGAGAGTTGGAGGTTGCAGTGAGCCAAGGTTGCACCACTGCACTCCACCTTGGGTGTCAGAATGAGACTACATCTAAATAAATAAATAAATAAATAAATAATAAAAAATACCAATCTGGGCACTTACAAGCTGTGCATTCTTGGTCAAGTTACTAAATTCTTTTTATTTGGGGGGACCATTCTGAGAATTCGAGTTAACGAAGCTAACATTTTTGGCACAAAGGTGAGTATTTAATAAACAATAGCTCTTATACTGAGATTAAGTCATGGGGCCAGCAAAGGTTTCAAAATTCATCCCCAAACATAGCTTTTATGGTGCCCTCCACTGCCATGTATTAGTTTATCCATGCATTTATTTATTCACATATTTATAAAATAAGTTTAAACACTACCCTCTATTTAGCTTATAGATTATTAACAAATAGATGTATTTTAGGAGAGCACATTCTATTGGGACAGAAAGATGAAACATCTAACAGTGAATTAGAGGACCTAGGGACTAGACTGGAGTGGAAGTGAGGATTCAAAATGATGCATGTCAATGGTAAATGTCTGCTAACAACCCAGGCAAGGTTCAGTGGTGTGATACTCAATTTTAAAAATGGGTATTAATCCCAGGTGTATGGGAGTCCAAAGCAGGAGGATCACTTGAGGCCAGGAGTTTGAGACCTGACTCGAGAACATAGCAAGACCCTGTCTCCACACAAATTTTAACAAAAATTAGCTGGGCATAGTAGTGCTTGCCTGTAATCCCAGCTACTTGAGAGGCTGAGGTGGAAGGATATCTTGATCCCAAGAGGCCAAAGTTGCAGTAAGCTATGACTGTTCCATTGCACTCCAGCCTGGACAACACAGTAAGACCCTGGCTCAAAAAATAGTAAAAACAAATGGGAAGTTTTGTCTTACCTAGTATCAGAAGTGGCATCCCAACACTTTTCCCATATCCTATCTTTTAGAAGCACAACACTAAAGCCATACCAAGACAGGGGGTCTCTTGTGCCTCCTCATTCTATTTCCAAGAAGTTGCCTGTTGCCTCACTCAAGGATCAGCAAAATAAATATGTGTTGGTTGACTAAATGTATGTAAATCTGGAATTAAGGCAGGATGCAAGTGCTGGTATCTATGGGATAATAATAATGATGATGAAAATGGTAATGATAACAATTATATAACACTTACTAGGAGCCAGTCATTGTTCTAAACATTTTATATCTTTACTCTTCTAATCCCCACAAGAGTCCTGTGAGGGAGTTAGTACATTATTCAGATTTTGCAGATGAGAACAATGAGAAACAACAAGGTTGAGTCACAGGCTTAAAGTCACCCTACTAGATGCCTTGAATTTGTGATGTGAACTCCCAGAGGTTTTCACTCAATATCTGTAAACTTAACCAATACCAACTCTCATGAATAGAGCAAGATTCTAAGATATTTTAATAGTAAATAAACAACTCAAAAATATAAATGTTCTTAGCTGCCCTAATATAAATACAACATTTAAATAAATACTGTTTCACTTTAAAGAATTTCCCCTTTAGAAAATTTAAAAGAAAACAAAAACAATCAAAGTCACACATACAAGGAACTCTATGAAACTTTCCCTTCACACCTCCAAATGAGGCAAGTCCACTGAGATCCTGTGATATGTGTTTCTCATGTCCTTTGCTTCCCTTTTCTAACTATAGCAATTTGTCCCATCTTAGTATCTCTCAGAAGTTAATCTATAACTCTTTTTGTCCTTTATATGGGAGACAGAGAATTTTGTTAAGAAAGTACCAGAGTATCTAGTCAATCTTGGGGAAAGTAGGGCAGATTGGCTTAAAGTTCAACATTGAGAATCTGTGGTCTGTGGTCTATCTCCTGGAACAAACATTTTATTACTTTTAAAACATTAGCTAGTGAGTTAATCTGCTGAAGCTTCAGTTTCCTCCATCTGAATGTTGCTGTGACATTTAGTTCTCAAAATGCACCTATAAACCCCCCAGCAACTAAACATAGAGTGACTAAATGACATAGAAATACCACTCCAGAGTTATATACCCCAAAAGATTTAAAGACAGAAACTCAGATACTTGTAAGCCAATGCCCTTTGCAGCAGCATTCACAATGACCAGAAGGTAGACAAAACCCTCATATCTATAGACAGACAAATGGATAAACAAATTGTGTTGTTTATGCAGTGGAATATTATTCAGCCATAAAAAGGAAGGGAGCTCAGATATCTTTTACAACATAGATGAGCCTTGATGACATGCTAAATGAAATAAGTCAACCACAAAAGGACACATATTGTCCAGTTCCACTTATATGAGGTACCTGGAGTAGTCAAATTTATAGAGACAGAAAGTACAATAATGGGTGCCAGGTGCTGGGGGAGGGGAAAAATGAACAGTTACTGTGTTATGGGTACAGAATGATAAAACTATTTTTCAAAATAGAGAGTGGTGTTGGCTGCATCACAGTGTAAACATAATTAATGTCACCGAATTGCACTCTTAAAAGTGGTAGAAAATGCTATATATAAAATTAGCAATTTCAAACCCTTATATGTATATATTTATTTTATATTATTTATTATATAGTGTTATATAAAATATGATTGTATATATAATTTAAATAAAACTAGATCCACCTAAGCATGTCATCAATTGCAGTTGTTAACATTCCTAAATGTAGGTGGACAATCCATATGATACTAAAAAACGAGGGTGAAAAATGGCTAAGAAGAGCAATGAATTATTTAAATGAATGTTAATTAAACATCTGGGTTAGAGATGTCACCCAATAATGGCTCATTTTGCTGTGGTCTTACACAGTAAAGAAAAGCATGGTTCTTAAGTCATAAAATGCACTTGTTCTCCTGGCCCACCTAAGCCCCTGGTTTTATGACAGCAAGAGAAGTACAGCCAGCCAGGTGTGCTGGAAAGACATTGCATGAATAAATTACAGTGTGTTGCTTATTGGGACTTTTGTCAGAAGGAAGACCAAACATGAAGGAGGGAAGTGAATTTAAAAGGTTCCAACTGTGTTGTTGGTCTTTTCCATGAACTTAAAAGTGGCTTAACTGGAGTCATGTTCGTTGCTTCCTAAGTGGGCCAGGGATGTTAGCACCTCTCTTTCTCCACTTTGGCTGCATGATTGAATCATCTAGAAAGATTTTGCAAAGCCTCATGTCTAAGCTCATCCAGGACCAGTTAAGCCACAGTCATAGGGATTAAAAGCCCGTCCTTAGTATTTTTAATGCTTTACAAATGATGCTGGCCAGGCGTGGTGGTTCATGCCTGTAATTCCAGCACTTTGGGAGGCCCAGGAAGGTGAATCACTTGAGCCCAGTTGTTCTAGACAAGCCTGGGCAACATAGTGTGAAACCCTGTCTCTATTAAAAAAAATAAAAATAGTTTTATATTTTATCTAAAAAAAATGCAGGATTTGAGGTGGTGACAGAGGCCCATACTACCTGGGAGGTCCCAGCTACCTGGGAGGCTGAGGCCCACACTACCTGTGGTCCAAGCTACCTGGGAGGCTGAGGTGGGAAAATCATCTGAAACCAGGAGGTCAAGGCTGCAGTATGCTATTATCATACCACTGCACTCCAGCCTGAGTGATGGGAGAGAGACCCTGTATCAAAACAACAACAGCAAACAAATGATGCTATATGCAGCCATCATTGAGAATTGCCATAGTCGATGCCAATAATGTCAAGTTGCTGGGTGATAAACTCAAAATCTACTTAAATATTTTAATTGTAAAAATAATCTCAAAATCTGTTATGTGACATTAAATCCAGTTACATTTAAGTCACCTACCAAAGAAAAAATAAAATAAAAGTCCTTTTCCAATGCTAGCTTTAATATTGTTTTGTTTTGGGAGCTGGAGATTAGAACCTGTTTAATTTGAAAATAGTGTAAGTTATATTTTCTTGTAAGTATATGTCACACAATTCAGGGTTCAGATCTTAAATTTTTGTAACTCTTCAGACTTTTATAAAAATCCAGGAATTTATTTCATTATAAAAAAATTGTTCAGTCTTGATTGATTCTTTTTTTATGTCCAATTTATCAGCATGTTTCCTTAAGTGTTGTTGCATCCAACCAAATCACTCTTCACAGAGTCCCTTTACTTTTTATTGCTACATCCTGCCTATGGGATACTTAAGCATCACTCCAAGGCCCTGTGGTCTGTAGAGATCCAAAGGGTAGGCCTACTGTTGATTTATATAGCAGTACTTGAAATGATAAACTTCCTGCCATAACTAAATTGGGCACTAGTTATTTTGTATCCAATTATGCCCTTACTTGAAACCAATGGATTTTCTAGATAGAGGAACTTTGGCAAATCATGTTATATTATGAATCTCTTGTTCCAGTGTCTGACATATATGAGAATTTGATGTGGGAGTAGAAAAGAAAAATCTACAATGTATGATTTCTCTGCTCTCTGGAAGTAAAAGTCCAATGTATAAAGTTAGACAAATTGCACATTTATGAGTGGAGGGACTTTGTCCTCTGAGATAGAGGGCTGAATAGAAAAAGAAGAAAGATTGACAGAGATAGAAGAAAGAGGAAAGAGACAGCAAGAGAAAAAGGAGGAGGAGGAAGAGGAGTGGAGACAAAGAGAACAGGTGATCCAGTGGAATTCTTACACTTAGTACACAGTGTAAATAACCACATGCTGAAGGAAAGTGAACAGATAAAAGAGAGAAGCAACTCTAATTCAAAAACAACATTGAACTTAGGAAGCACAGTTAATTGAGTAAGTTATAAAGTTTATCAGAAATATATGAATGATCCTCAAATGTTTGATGTGATGTTACCTTCCTTAAATAAATAGTATTTTAAAAATAATCTAAAGATTTAAAAATTTGTCCTGAGTCAAGAAAACAAAACAAAACAAAACAAAACAAAACAAGAAAAAAGAGTAAAATGGAGTGTAAGTTTTTGCTGAAAAACATTCTCAGAATTCAGCCCAGAAGGCATGAATTTGAAAAATACAAGTAATAATAAGGAGATATATATTAAATCCACAGTTTGCAAAATATCTTTTCACCATCGTGTGTCTGTTAGTGATGATGTTGGCATGGATGCAGATTCAGCCAGCCAAAGACTTGTGATCTCTGCTCCAGACAGTCAAGTGAGATTTTCAAATATCAGCACTAATGATGTAGCAAAGACTCCTGAGATGCATGGTACTGAAATGGCAAATTCATCTCAATATCTGCATTAATAGTCCTAGAAGGAGAAACTAGAATGTACAGTGGGGGTTAATTATTAGAGAATCAAATAATATGCACTTCTGTAAAAATAAAGAAAAACATAAGGAATGGACTTAGTGTCTAGCATGATAAATATCTAAACAAATAAGCAAATCATATTGTTGTAGAATTTCATAAATAGTGGAAAAACAGGTCCTCATATTGGAAAATTATCTACAAAACCACAAAATCAAATTGTCATTATATTTATTTTCTATGACACTACTAGCATCTACGATGATGGAAAAATATGTTTAAAAAATTAAGGCAAAATAAAATATGGCAATGATAGTCCTTATTTTTTTCAAATTATTGATAACATTAAATAGTTTAATAATTTAAGGTATTTTAGTTTCCTACTACAGAATAAATCAAAGTAAATTCTCTGTCTCTCTCTCTCTCAAACACATACACAAACACTTTATTATTTTAGATCTATTAAATAACTCAATATGAAAACATTGAATATATAAAAATAATGAAAAAAGATGATATGTTATAATCTTTAAGATAGAGGAACTCCTCTTTTAAAACGCTTCAATAAAAAAACTACTCACTAAAATATTGAATCATTTGGTTACCTCAACATTAAAAATTCACAATAAACTACAGTTATATGTTGCTTAACATCAGAGCTCTCTTCTGATAAATGTGACATTAGGCAATTTCATCATGTTTGTGTGAACATGACAGAGTGTACTTACACAAATCTAGGTGGTATAGCCTACTACACACCTTGCCTATATGGTACAGCCTATTGCCCGGAGGCTACAAACCTATGCAAAATGTTACTATACTGAATATTGTAGGCAACCATAACACAGTGATAAATATTTGTGTATCTAAACACAAAAAAGTTACAGTAGAAACATGGTTTCATAATCTCATGGGAAGAGTGTGGAATTGTGGCTATTCAATGACTAAAATATTGTTATGCAGTACATGACTGTATATCCAGAATTTGTGTTTAAAAACCTCCTCACAACACAAAGGAAACCACTAATGAAAAAAATTATCAAAAGATTTGATCAATTTATTCAGGATTGCAAAAATACAAATTAAATACTAAATACTAATTAACCTTATTACTAATAAGGGAAGCACAATTTTCTCTCATCATATTAGCAAACACTTCAAAAGTTTGATAAAAATCAGGCCTGGAGTAGGGAGTTTAGTGCTCAGTATGAATGTAAATTTCCTGAATTTTTTTAGGTTAATTTGGCAGAAGCTATTACAATAAAAAAAAATCAGTCTGTGATTTAGCAATTCTACTTCTCATGGCTCATTTTAGAAAAACATGCATCAAGAAGCATGTGCAAGGATGTGTTCCGTGGCTTTTCTTCTAACAGTACAGAGCTTGGAAGGACATAGACACCCACAGGAAGCACAGTGATAATATATGCAGTTAGACAGATGGATAAATGAATAGATAATGGATAGAGTTAGTGTAGATGAATAAATGGATATATATATAGTTAGATGTTAAAGAGATGGGTGGAAGGATGTATAGACAGATAAAAGATACATATAGAGATATACATTAGATAGATCAATAGAAATTTATAACTACATAAATGCTGCTCCAGCATGAGACATATCAAATTGATAGTGGCGTTTACTTTTAGAGAGGGAATTATAGTTGGACATGATTATTCAGTGTATCTTAGTATTATCTGTATTTTGGAAACTTTCAAAAACAGAATCGATCCATGTATTACTTGCTAAATTAAAAGTTTACTTTGATAAAGATCATACTTGATCAAGTCCACCATGAAAAAAAAAAAAAACTTACATCAAATCTATGAGGATTTATGTGCTGCATAAGCAAAACTTAGGAACTCTGCAATGGAGAGAGACTCAATCTGTTAGACTGGGATCTGCAGAGAAACAGAACCAAAGAAGTTTCTTGGGAGGCATGGGTTCATGTGACTGTAGCGGCTGGCACACCCAAAAGCTATAGGGCAAGGCTTCTGGCTGGGGATTCAGGAATGAAGTGATGCTGCAGTCTTGAGGCGGAATTTCTTATTGTTCACAAAACCTGTTTTTGCTCTTAAGGACTTTCAACTATTGTTGATGAGACTCACTCCCATTATCCTCTTAAAGTCAACCGATTGTGGTTGTTAATGACATCTACAAAATACTTTCACAGCCAAAGCTATGCTAATGTTTGATTAAGGAGCTAAGTGCTATGGCCATGTCGAACTGATACATAAAACTAATGTCTCATGCAGCGTACTCCTGCTCCAGTAAAGCACTGATGATTCCAGATTGGGGCATAACGAATTAGAATCTCCATAGCACCAAGATGATCTGATTCCCATTGTTTCCGTTTTATTCTCTTTGAACACAGCTGCGATTACAGCATCAACACTCCAATTATTTTGAATATGTGTAAAGTTCACGGAAGGACATTTTGTTGGGTATGCACCTCTCCTCCACGTTTAATTTCTGTGTGAGTTCTCTCTTCCCTTCCACTCACGGTGGCATCTGAGGAAGTGCAGGGTTAAGAACAAAGTCAGTTTTTTAGACTTGCAACCTGGAAGTCAGAACCAGGACCCTGGAGACATCATTAAGATATTATCATTTTTATGTGGATCCTTGGATGCCAATCATGCTTCAATTACAACATGCTTCAAGAAACTCACTTATATCACCACTTGAGACATGGAGGCAGATTATGTCCTCCTACTAAGTAGTTAAATCTTACTTGTTAACATGGAAATGTTAATATTCCCAGAAAAAAAACTTATTTGATACTTGAGAAATTAATTCCTTAAATTTTTCTCTTTTTTTTTTGTTTCAACATTTAACCATTCATGTCTGATCCTTCTTATCTCAGTTTTGAATGATTTAGTCTGCAACCCCATGACACCACTTTTTGTGAATTCGTGCTACTTTGAAATTTCTCTACAGTACGCAAATGACACACCACAATTCAACATTTTATCACTAGATTTCTGAGAAGAGCCACGTCATTGACAGATAGACCCTACCACCTGATTTTTATATATTTTTTAAAATTGGTGAAATTTGAATTATTTTTATTTTTTCTTAGTTTGCATTGATACTTTTATAATAAGAGTATTCTCCTCTTAGACATACTACCTGATATTGACATAGGTTAATGTCATACTACCTGATGTTGATATAGGTTTATGTTTCAACCTTGAACAAGAGTCAAGAGTAAATTTTCAAATTTTGATTATTTCATAAAACAGATATATTAGTGCAATAATATTTCCTTTTCAAATGGCAGGGAACAAATCATTTTTCTTTTTTTTCTTTTTATTATACTTTAAGTTTTAGGGTACATGTGCACATTGTGCAGGTTAGTTATATAGGTATACTTGTCCCATACTGGTGCATTGCACCCACTAACTCATCATCTAGCATTAGGTATATCTCCCAATGCTATCCCTCGCCCCTCCCCTCAACCCACAACAGTCCCCAGTGTGATATTCCCCTTCCTGTGTCCATGTGATCTCATTGTTCAATTCCCACCTATGAGTGAGAATATGCGGTGTTTGGTTTTTTGTTCTTGCGATAGTTTACTGAGAATGATGTTTTCCAATTTCATCCATGTCTCTACAAAGGACATGAACTCATCATTTTTTATGGCTGCATAGTATTCCATGGCGTATATGTGCCACGTTTTCTTAATCCAGTCTATCATTGTTGGACATTTGGGTTGGTTCCAAGTCTTTGCTATTGTGAATAATGCCGCAATAAACATACGTGTGCATGTGTCTTTATAGCAGCATGATTTATAGTCCTTTGGGTATATACCCAGTAATGGGATGTCTGGGTCAAATGGTATTTCTAGTTCTAGATCCCTGAGGAATCGCCACACTGACTTCCACAATGGTTGAACTAGTTTACAGTCCCACCAACAGTGTAAAAGTGTTCCTATTTCTCCATATCCTCTGCAGCACCTGTTGTTTCCTGACTTTTTAATGATTGCCATTCTAACTGGTGTGAGATGGTATCTCAGTGTGGTTTTGATTTGCATTTCTCTGATGGCCAGTGATGATGAGCATCTTTTCATGTGTTTTTTGGCTGCATAAATGTGTTCTTTTGAGAAGTGTCTGTTCATGTCCTTTGCCCACTTTTTGATGGGGTTGTTTGTTTTTTTCTTGTAAATTTGTTTGAGTTCATTGTAGATTCTGGATATTAGCCCTTTGTCAGATGAGTAGGTTGCAAAAATTTTCTCCCATTTTGTAGGTTGCCTGTTCACTCTGATGGTAATTTCTTTTCCTGTACAGAAGCTCTTTAGTTTAATTAATCCCATTTGTCAATTTTGGCTTTTGTTGCCATTGCTTTTGGTGTTTTAGACATGAAGTCCTTGCCCGTGCCTATGTCCTGAATGGTAATGCCTAGGTTTTCTTCTACGGTTTTTATGGTTTTAGTTCTAACGTTTAAGTCTTTAATCCATCTTGAATTGATTTTTGTATAAGGTGTAAGGAAGGGATCCAGTTTCAGCTTTCTACATATGGCTAGCCAGTTTTCCCAGCACCATTTATTAAATAGGGAATTCTTTTCCCATTGCTTGTTTTTCTCAGGTTTGTCAAAGATCAGATAGTTGTAGATATGCGGCATTATTTCTGAGGGCTCTGTTCTGTTCCACTGATCTATATCTCTGTTTTGGTACCAGTTCCATGCTGTTTTGGTTACTGTAGCCTTGTAGTATAGTTTGAAGTCAGGTAGTGTGATGCGTCCAGCTTTGTTCTTTTGGCTTAGGATTGACTTCGTGATGCAGGCTCTTTTTTGGTTCCATATGAACTTTAAAGTAGTTTTTTCCAATTCTGTGAAGAAAGTCATTGGTAGCTTTATGGGGATGGCATTGAATCTGTAAATTACCTTGGGCAGTATGGCCATTTTCATGACATTGATTCTTCCTACCCATGAGCATGGAATGTTCTTCCATTTGTTTGTATCCTCTTTTATTTCCTTGAGCAGTGGTTTGTAGTTCTCCTTGAAGAGGTCCTTCCCATCCCTTGTAAGTTGGATTCCTAGATATTCTATTCTCTTTGAAGCAATTGTAAATGGGAGTTCACTCATGATTTGGCTCTCTGTTTGTCTGTTATTGGTGTATAAGAATGCTTGTGATTTTTGTACATTGATTTTGTATCCTGAGAGTTTGCTGAAGTTGCTTATCAGCTTAAGGAGATTTTGGGCTGAGACAATGCGGTTTTCTAGATATACAATCATGTCATCTGCAAACAGGGACAATTTGACTTCCTCTTTTCCTAATTGAATACCCTTGATTTCCTTCTCCTGCCTAATTGCCCTGGCCAGAAATTCCAACACTATGTTGAATAGGAGTGGTGAGAGAGGGCATCCCTGTCTTTTGCCAGTTTTCAAAGGGAATGCTTCTAGTTTTTGCCCATTCAGTATGCTATTGGCTGTGGGTTTGTCATAGATAGCTCTTATTATTTTGAAATATGTCCCATCAATACCTAATTTATGGAGAGTTTTTAGCATGAAAGGCTGTTGAATTTTGTCAAAGGCTTTTTCTGCATCAATTGAGATAATCATGTGGTTTTTGTCTTTGGTTCTGTTTATATGCTGGATTACATTTATTTATTTGCATATATTGAACCTGCCTTGCATCCCAGGGATGAAGCCCAATTGATCATGGTGGATAAGCTTTTTGACGTGCTGCTGGATTCGTTTTGCCAGTATTTTATTGAGGATTTTTGCATCAATGTTCCTCAAGGATATTGGTCTAAAATTCTCTTTTTTTGTTGTGTCTCTGCCTGGCTTTGGTATCAGAATGATGCTGGTCTCATAAAATGAGTTAGGGAGGATTCCCTCTTTCTCTATTGATTGGAATAGTTTCAGAAGGAATAGTACCAGTTCCTCCTTGTACCTCTGGTAGAATTCAGCTGTGAATCCATCTGGTCCTAGACTCTTTTTGGTTGGTAAGCTATGGATTATTGCGACAATTTCAGATCCTGTTATTGGTCTATTCAGAGATTCAACTTCTTCCTGGTTTAGTCTTGGGAGAGTGTATGTGTCGAGGAATTTATCCACTTCTTCTAGATTTTCTAGTTTATTTGCATAGAGGTGTTTGTAGTATTCTCTGATGGTAGTTTGTATTTCTGTGGGATCGGTGGTGATATCCCCTTTATCATTTTTTATTGCACCTGTTAGATTCTTCTCTCTTTTTGTCTCTATTAGTCTTGCTAGGGGTCTATCAATTTTGTTGATCATTTCAAATAACCAACTCCTGGATTCATTGATTTCTTTAAGGGTTTTATGTGTCTCTATTTCCTTCAGTTCTGCTCTGAACTTAGTTATTTCTTGCCTTCTGCTAGCTTTTGAATGTGTTTGTTCTTGCTTCTCTAGTTCTTTTAATTAGGGTGTCAATTTTAGATCTTTCCTGCTTTCTTTTGGGGGCATTTAGTCCTATAAATTTTCCCTCTACACACTGCTTTGAATGTGTCCCAGAGATTCTGGTATGTTGTGTCTTTGTTCTCGTTGGTTTCAAATAACATCTTTGTTTCTGCCTTCATTTGGTTATGTACCCAGTAGTCAATGAGGTGCAGATTGTTCTGTTTCCATGTAGTTGAGTGGTTTTGAGTGAGTTTCTTAATCCTGAGTTCTAGTTTGATTGCACTGTGGTCTGAGAGACAGTTTGTTAAAATTTCTGTTCTTTTACATTTGCTGAGGAGTGCTTTCCTTCCAAGTATGTGGTCAGTATTGGAATAGGTGTGGTGTGGTGCTGAAAAAAATGTATATTCTGTTGATTTTGGGTGGAGAGTTCTGTAGATGTCTATTAGGTCCCCTTGGTGCAGAGCTGAGTTCAGTTCCTGGATATCCTTGTTAACTTTCTGTCTCATTGATCTGTCTAATGTTGACACTGGGTTGTTAAAGCCTCCCATTATCATTGTGTGGGGGTCTAAGTCTCTTCGTGGGTCTCTAAGTACTTGCTTTATGAATCTGGGTGCTCTTGTATTGGGTGCATATATATTTAGGATAGTTAGCTCTTCTTGTTGAATTGATCCCTTTACCATTATGTAATGGACTTTTTTGTCTCTTTTGATCTTTTTTGCTTTAAAGTCTGTTTTATCAGAGACTAGGATTGCAACCCTTGCCTTTTGTTTTTTCCATTTGCTTGGTAGATCTTCCTCCATCTTTTTGTTTTGAGCCTATGGGTGTCTCTGCACGTGAGTTGGGTGTCCTGAATACAGCACACTGATGGGTCTTGACTCTATTCAATTTGCCAGTTTGTGTCTTTTAATTGGAACATTTAGTCCATTTACATTTAAGGTTAATATTGTTATGTGTGAATTTGATCCAGTCATTACGACGTTAGCTGGTTATTTTGCTCATTAATTGATTCAGTTTCTTCCTAGCCTCAATCATCTTTACAATTTGGCATGTTTTTGCAGTGGCTCATACCAGTTGTTCCTTTTCATGTTTAGTGCTTCCTTCAGGAGCTCTTTTAGGGCAGGCCTGGTGGTGACAAAATCTCCCAGCATTTGCTTGTCTATAAAGGATTTTATTTCTCCTTCACTCATGAAGCTTAGTTTGGCTGGATATGAAATTCTGGGTTGAAACTTCTTTTCTTTAAGAATGTTGAATGTTGGACCCCACTCTCCTCTGGCTTGTAGAGTTTCTGCTGAGAGATCAGCTGTTAGTCTGATGGGATTCCCTTTGTGGGTAACCTGACCTTTCTCTCTGGCTGCCCTTAACATTTTTTCCTTCATTTCAACTTTGGTGAATCTGAGAATTATGTGTCTTGGAGTTGCTCTTCTCAAGGAGTATATTTATGGTGTTCTCTGTATTTCCTGAATTTGAATATTGACCTGCCTTGCTAGATTGGGGAAGTTCTCCTGGATAATATGCTTCAGAGTGTTTTCCAACTTGGTTCCCATTTATGATTTCTTGATATAAGCAGAAAATAATTGCAGCGTTCTGAAACAAATAATTGCAGAGTTCTGAAAACTTAGTCTTTAAGGTTTTTGGGGGACGTATTGAAGGTAAGCTCCTTGGAGCCCAAGAAGAGTCAGCTGCCTAATATCTGGAAGCTTGGCCTTATCTCGAAAGGAATGCCAGACAGGCTAATTACTCCCCTGTAAGAAAGTGAAATTGTTCAATTCCCAAGAGGCTGCTATGCTATTTGTATCAGTGAGCTATTTGAGAGTGCCATTAGTATTGGGAAGGCACTTTTGATTTTTACCAGCCCCATACATTCCTCTCTTATCAGCTTCATAATCCAGTCCTTATCTCTGATCAGTGGACAGAGAATAACAAAGTCCCAGAGAACAGCCAGCAATGAAAACAATTTATATTCTTCAAAGAAAGTAAAAGTATGTGATTCTATCTGTACCCTCAGATAGAAGCTTAAATATAAAATTTGTGAAATTGTATAAATCTCCCTTAAATGGCACTGTATTTATCAATTTAGATTGTTTTTAAAAATGGCCTCTTCAATTAAGGATTTTTTAGGCAGATAATGACCTTCCTATTGCTATTTAGTGGAATTGTAGACTATGACTCAACTATATATACTAAACATAAGACCTTAAAAGCCCCAAGCATACATTTGAATGGGTTTTTCCCTAAAATATTATAGATTAAACAACAAAAACCAAATAACAACTAATCATCTTTGCCATAGGTATTCCTGTGGCAGGTATTCCTGCTATATTCAAAGTCAATTTGCTGCCCTTGTAATTCATGGATTTCTCAAAAAGAATAAAATCATATAATATATAATATATATTTTCCATTATATCTGTTAAATAAATATTAAATGTTATATGTTACATATGTGTATATATATATTTACACTTAAATATGTTTACCCTAAGGCACTTTTACGGTAGGAAGTTTCAAATAGAAGAGGTCCTATTTGAAATTAATCATAGATATTTACTTTTATTTTGTCTTCCAAAGCACTATAGACTATTTGATTCTTTCTGAAGTCATCAATATTATTTTTGTCTAAAGACTTCAGAAAGCCAGATTGTCTCTCAAAAACAATTTATTTCTCGTTTGCTTGCCTGGATATTTTCTAATTCCATCCTTAACCTTTTATATCAGTTAAAGTTGATTTTTTTACTTGCTTTTTTGTCTTTCAGATACTAAATTGTACTCACAAAAGAACAGCAGATAATATATGGAAAGCACAAAGAAAAAACATGTTGAATAGTTTTATGATTACTTTCAGCAATACAAATGGCTGTGGAAAGTATTTTAAGGCTGGGCATAGTGGCTCAGTCTTGTAATCCCAGGACTTTGGGAAGCTGAGCCTGGTGGATAATTTGAGGTCGGGAGTTGGAGACCAGCCTGGCCAACATGGCGAAACCCTGTCACTATAAAAATACAAAAAATTACCCTGGTGTGGTGGCACACATCTGTAATCTTAGGTAGTCAGAACGCTGATGTAGAAGAATCCAGGAGGCAGAGGTTGCAGTCAGGTGGAATTGTGCCATTTCACTCCACTCCAGAGCGAGACTCTGCCTTAAGAAAAAAAAAAAAAAAGAATAAGATTTAGGCTCCAAAGAGCATTCTTGAAATTTTGAATTAGTAGTTCAGCTTTTTCTTTTAATTGAATTAAAATGGATTAAGATAACTAGATAATACTAAATTTCCAGTCTACTTTGTGTTGTGTAATTGTTCTGAGACCTTTGTTTCTTGAAGTGTGAAAATAAATTAGTGACAATTGGACTGTGCATAGGCAAATAGCCAAATAAATGTGAAAATATAAATATATATGATGTGGTTAAGCTCCAGGAGATCAGATTGGTATTGCCACTGATGATTCTCTGAGATGAAAAAGCACAATGAAATTCATGTCATACACAAATTTATACAATAAATATTTATGACATGGATGAGTAAGTGAATAAACAAAGACATGACTATTAAGACAAGAATCTTTTCTGGGCCAAAGAGTAATAATGTTCATTGTAAATTAAATGAAGAGACAAAACTACACACACAAAGGATATATAAATTAAACACACTTTACATCAGTTTTTCAATACAACATTGATGAGGTCCTACATGTGCTTCTTGAACTATTTGAAAAAAACTAAACAACCAAGATGCAGTATATCATTGCATCTTATATTGTCCAAAATATCAATGACCTGATACCACTAGGCTAACTTAAATAGAGATTCTATTCATACTCTAATGTGGTTAGATTTTCCTTCAATTACTATTTGAAATGTAATTTATTGCTTCATTTTATTTCCTAGTAAATCTTAATCTAGGATGTAAGTTTTGATTTTAACTTGGCATGGCCAATATATTGCTAATTACAGAGATATGTGGATAGGATTTTGTCTTTAAAAATCTATAAGGTATATTAATATTCTGTGAATGATATTTTAAAACATTACTAAACATAAATGGATTATTAAGTTATATATTGATATAATGCGGTTGGGAAATTTTATTAGATCAATATATGTTCAAAATACATATGAGTAAAGCTACAATCAAACTAAACAATATGAAGAATTGCATATTGGAAGTATCATTTGGCTTCTCCCCAGAAATAACACAATGTAATTACTTTGTTAAGAAATGTTTTAGATAATAATATATTTTCTTTTTTCTTTTCTTATTTTTCTTATTTTTCTTTTTTTTTTTTTTTTGAGAAAGAGCCTCACTCTGTTTCCAGGCTGGAGTGCAGCGGCATCATCTTGGCTCACTACAACCTCTGCCTCGCAAGTTCAAGCAAGCAATTCTCCTGCCTCAGGCTCCTGAGTAGCTGGGACTATAGGTGCATGCTTCCACATCCAGCTAAATTTTTTTTTTTTTTTTTTTTTTTTGTATTTTAGTAGAGATGGGGTTTCACCATGTTGCCCAGGGTGGTCTTGATCTCCTGAGCTCAGGCAATCCTCCCACCTCAGCCTCCAAAAGTGCTAGGATTACAGGCATGAGCCACTGCACCTGGCCAATAGCTTATTTTCAAAGGAGATATTTTCTACTAATTTAAAAAGTGGAATGTCAAAGAGGTACTAGACAAAGCAAGCTCTCTGCAAAAAAAAAAAAAAAAAAAGTAGTTTAGGAGAGATAATTACTTGAATGATAATCATTATAAAAATAACCACAAATCGTCCAGTACTAGACACTTGGTGATTTCTCAAATATTTGATAGTGAAAACAAAGCCATTAGATCAGTAAATTCAGTGTTATTAGAATTATTCTTCTCTTAGTACTCAGGAACTGGAAACACTGAATCAAAGATGACTGTGTAAGTTGGAAGCAAAAAAGAAAGGAAGGAAGGAAGGAGAGAAGGAACAAGGGAAGGTAGGAAGGAGGGAGGCAGGGAGGGAGGAAGGGGGGAAGGAAGGAAGGAGGGAAGGGAGGGAGAAACAGGAGAGAGGGAGGGGGAGAGGGAAAAAGGAAGCGATGGGGTAGGAAGGAGGCAAGGGGTGAAAAACAGAGAAAGGAAGGAGGAAGGACCAGGGCAGGGAAGGAAGGATGAGGAAGAAAACATGAGCAATAGATGTCAAGAAACAAATTTCTTTTGCATCTTGTTACACCCTGTGATATGTTTTGGATGTGTCTCCACCCAAACCTCATCTTGATTTGTATTTCCCATAATCCTCACATGTTGTGGGAGGATCCCAGTGGAAGGTAATTTAACCATGGGTGTCGTTAACCAAATGCTGCTGTTCTTTTGATAGTGAGTTCTCATGAGATCTGCTGGTTTTATAAGAGGCTTTTCTCCCTTTTGCTCAGGATTCTCCTTCTTGCCGCCATGTGAGGGATATGTTGCTTTTCCTTCTACCATAATTGTAAGTTTCCTGAGTCCTCTCCAGCCATGGGGAGCTGTGAGTGAATTAAACTTCTTTCCTAAATGAATTACCCAGTCTCGGATATGTCTGTATTAGCAGCTTAAAAATGGACTAACGTACCCTGTCTATCATCATTCTTGACTAATGCAATGCACAAGTATTGGATAACTTGAAATGACTTCAAGGTGTTCAGTATATGAGAAAAATCTGGATTTTCTCACAAGGACTTTCCTTTGCTAGCTGTGTGACACGGTAATTTCCAGGCACCTTTGTCTCTATTTGTTCATCAGTAAGTGGAGGGAAATGATTCCTTCCTGTCCTAATTGATGTGTAGTATAAGTGGCATATTTGCATGGTGCCCAGAACAGGTGCTGCCTTTTAATTAGTCCCTTATTTTAGTCCCTTGTATTTTTGGTACTTTTTCTTACATTTTAGAAATTGTCTTTGATTGAACTTGAATAATACCCACTTTACAGACTCCTTTTCCCTTCTCAAAGGGCATATTTCTTCTTCTGCCACAGTGGGATATTTATCTCTAAATAAAACTGCCCTTGTTTTAAACCCCATTGTTGGCAATCAGGTCAGATAATGCAAAAAGGGAGTAACGTGTCAAAAAACAAAAAAACAAACAAACTCAATATTATTGTGGTTTTGTTAGTTTATTTCTTTAAATGAATTTATTCCATTTCATGAAATAATATTTATCAGTTATAATGTCTGTTACCCACAATTGGTAGCCACAATTGGTACCACAATTTTTTTGCATGTAATATTAGAGGAAAGAATAGCTCCATCTCTGCCACATAAATATTTCAAATATTTCAAAATAAACAATTAAGTCATTGTTTGTTTGTTTGAAATGGAGTCTTGCTCTGTCAGCAGGCTGGAATACAGTGGCACGATCTCTGCTTACTGCAACCTCCTACTCCCTGGTTCAAGCGGTTCTCCTTCCTCAGCTCCCACGTAGCTGGGATTTCAGGCAAACACCACCATGTCCAGCTAAGTTTTGTATTTTTAATAGAAATAGGGTTTCGCCATGTTGTCCAGGATGGTGTCAATCTCCTGACCTTGTGATACGCCCACATCAGCGTCCCAAAGTGCTGAGATTACAGGCATGAGAAATCATGTATTTTAATTATGTATTCCTGCAAGGAAATATTCAGATTTGCCTAAAAACTAATAGTCCTCTTTTTCTTTTATTTTCCTATTCCAGCCCAAAATGTTGAAATTATCTATGAATAAACTTAGACCTAAGCAGTCTCCAAAAGAATTTATATTGTTTACAATTCAATTCAGCTAATGTTTGAGTAACTATGTTCAAAGCGCTGTGCTATGAGATATGTGGAGAAGAAGCCTACATAGTTCCTGTCCTTCATAGATTTATTTATAGTGAAGGCAGCATACAAGTGATTAATTAAAATTCATTGCAAAAATAGTACTTCTATGCCAGAGATGGTAAAGGCAAAGAAGTGATTCATTAAACCTTAGAGGACGTGGTTACACATTTTTAGGGATGAGGCGTTTTGTTTCAAAGTTAAAGGCTAATGAAAATTTTAACAGGCTCAAAACATGGGAAAGAGATTCTAATCTAAAACAATAGCATGAGGCAAGACATAAAACACCAAAATTAAAAACTCATATACCCAACATGCAATTATGTTTTTTATGTGAGGAGGTGCAGAAGCAGAATTGTCAGCATTTGATGGACAGAACAGAGGAAGAACTCTGGCTAGAAAGTTGAGTCTCATTCTTAAAATACCTTCATTGGCATAAGAAAGTAGCCTTGATTTGCAATAGAGAATACTAACCACTATAATTACAATGACTAGTCACTAACATAATTTGTTTTGGAAAAGAGAAAAGAGGTATAAAGAGAAAGTAAAGCTAAAGAAGAGATGATAAATATAGAAATAAATTACACATTTTATAAAGAAAAAGCATAGATTTTGTTTTTAAAAACTATACCTTGATAATTATAATTAAAAATAGTTTAAAAATTCAAAGGAAGAACAGTAAATTGGAATGATGTAGTAAAAAAAGGGAAAATGCATTATAAAGGAATTCACAAAAAAATGGAGGACAGAGAAAAAGTAGGCACACTGTCAAGCAGAAGTTTAGATAAATATTAACAAATACGTTATGGGATATATCTGTTTGTGTTTGAAAAGATAGAGTGGTAACATATGAAGAATTAAAGGAAAATATGACTTCTCTGTGCAAAAATATACACCAAACAATCAGATTCAAATATTTAAAAGGCAATACAATAAAAAAATAGCTAAAATAAAGGAAAGTAAAGCCAGCTACCGAACAACAGCAACAAAATAACTAATCATAAAGAAATGGCAAGAAGACTGACAGATTCTTATCAGCATCAGTAGAACCCATATAAAATAGACTCATATTAAAATGTGTTCTAAAAGGAAACTTTCAACCTGTAAGTGTATGCTCACTTAAACTGTCTTTCAATAATGGTAAAATAAATAATTTGTGGACATACATAATTGAAATATTCACAAAAGAAACTCAATTTTTCATAAAACCTACCAAAATATATACCTTATATAAAAACAACAAAACACAGTAATAGGGAAAAGACCCCAAAATTTGTCAAAATATTTTTTTAAGATGCAAGCCACCGAAACATTTCACTCAAAAACTTCACCAAAGTTTTTCAGGTAATTTAAAGGACACTAAATGATTCTTGGCAGCAGTGGTGTTAGGGTGATTCTGAGGCTGCCATTTTGTGAGGAAGCCCAAGCCACATGTAAAGCCTGTCTGCACGTGATACTTCCATTGATAGCCCGCTTGAGCCTAGTGTTCGATGTGTTTCGGTCCATATGCATGTCATGTAAATGTCTTGATATTATTATTATCATGACATTGATTTACATGATATGTAAATAAAGAAGCCTCCCCCAGATTCTGGCTCCCAGCCATCTGAATTACACATAGCTCTTTGAAACTTATCAGCTAAACATCCAGACTCCATGGAACAGAGACAAGCTATTCATATACCTTGACTGAATTATAAAAGCCTGGCAAGGGTTAGCATAATAAAGCGGTTATTGTTCTGTGCCATGCAGTTCTGGAGTAGTTTGTTATGTGGTGATGGAGATCTCAAACCCTACAAGCCAGAAGAGAGTGGGGGCAAATATTCAACCTTCTTAAAGAAAAGAATTTTCAACCCAGAATTTCATATCCAGCCAAACTAAGCTTCATAAGTGAAGGAGAAATAAAATACTTTACAGACAAGCAAATGCTGAGAGATATTGTCACCAGCAGGCCTGCCCTAAAAGAGCTCCTGAAGGAAGCACTAAACATGGAAAGGAACATCTGGTACCAGCCGCTGCAAAATCATGCCAAAATGTAAAGACCATCGAGACTAGGAGGAAACTGCATCAACTAACGAGCAAAATAACCAGCTAACATCATCATGACAGGATCAAATTCACACACAACAATATTAACTTTAAATTTAAATGGACTAAATTCTCCAATTAAAAGACACAGACTGGCAAATTGGATAGAGTCAAGACCCATCAGTGTGCTGTATTCAGGAAACCCATCTCACGTGCAGAGACACACATAGGCTCAAAATAAAAGGATGGAGGAAGATCTACCAAGCAAATGGAAAACAAAAAAAGGCAGGGGTTGCAATCCTAGTCTCTGATAAAACAGATTTTATACCAACAAAGATCGAAAGAGACAAAGAAGGCCATTACATAATAGTAAAGGGATCAATTCAACAAGAAGAGCTAACTATCCTAAATATATATGCACTCAATACAGGAGCACCAAGATTCATAAAGCAAGTCCTGAGTGACCTACAAAGAGACTTAGAATCCCACACATTAATAATGGGAGACTTTAACACCCCACTGTCAACATTAGACAGATCAATGAGACAGAAGTCAACAAGGATACCCAGGAATTGAACTCAGCTCTGCACCAAGCAGACCTAATAGACATCTACAGAACTCTCCACCCCAAATCAACAGAATATACATTTTTTTCAGCACCACACCACACCTATTCCAAAATTGACCACATACTTGGAAGTAAAGCTCTCCTCAGCAAATGTAAAAGAACAGAAATTATAACAAACTATCTCTCAGACCACAGTGCAATCAAACTAGAACTCAGGATTAAGAATCTCACTCAAAACCGCTCAACTACATGGAAACTGAACAACCTGCTCCTGAATGACTACTGGCTACATAACGAAATGAAGGCAGAAATAAAGATGTTCTTTGAAACCAACGAGAACAAAGACACAACATACCAGAATCTCTGGGACGCATTCAAAGCAGTGTGTAGAGGGAAATTTATAGCACTAAATGCCCACAAGAGAAAGCAGGAAAGATCCAAAATTGACACCCTAACATCACAATTAAAAGAACTAGAAAAGCAAGAGCAAACACATTCAAAAGCTAGCAGAAGGCAAGAAATAACGAAGATCAGAGCAGAACTGAAGGAAATAGAGACACAAAAAACCCTTCAAAAAATTAATGAATCCAGGAGCTGCTCTTTTGAAAGTATCAACAAAATTGATAGACCGCTAGCAAGACTAATGAGGAAAAAAAGAGAGAAGAATCAAAGAGACACAATAAAAAATGATAAAGGGGATATCACCACCAATCCCACAGAAATACAAACTACCATCAGAGAATACTACAAACACCTCTATGCAAATAAACTAGAAAATCTAGAAGTGGATAAATTCCTTGATACATACACACTCCCAAGACTAAACCCGGAAGAAGTTGAATCTCTGAATAGACCAATAACAGGAGCTGAAATTGTGGCAATAATCAATAGCTTACCAACCAAAAAGAGTCCAGGACCAGATGGATTCACAGCCGAATTCTATCAGAGGTACAAGGAGGAACTGGTACCATTCCTTCTGAAAATATTCCAATCAATAGAAAAAGAGGGAATCCTCCCTAACTCATTTTATGAGGCCAGCATCATTCTGATACCAAAGCTGGGCAGAGACAGAACCAAAAAAGAGAATTTTAGACCAATATCCTTGATGAACATTGATGCAAAAATCCTCAATAAAATACTGGCAAAACGAATCCAGCAGCACATCAAAAAGCTTATCCACCATGATCAAGTGGGCTTCATCCCTGGGATGCAAGGCTGGTTCAATATATGCAAATCAGTTGTTTAATAGTCAATATCTGCCATTATAGAGAAGTATGCATATTCATGCCATGAGAGTGCAGGTGATGTCAGTGGAAAATGGAATATTTTATACCGGTTAGTAAAAGGCTTAAATCCCACTAGATTTAACTTTTTTTAAGTTTACATATAAGCCTTATATAAGAACAGATCTCCTTCTGTAACCAAACCATATATGCTGTTGCTGCCTTACTCATGGGTTGTGTGATCTCTGTCTTTAAGCCACTGCATCTCATCATGCTTTTTGCCATAAAGTCATCTTCCATGAAGCTAATAGATGGCATAGATTTTGTTTGTTTGCTTGTTTGTTTGAGATGGAGTCTCACTCTGTCACCCAGGCTGGAGTGCAGTGGCAGTATCTCGGCTCACTGCAAGCTCTGCCTCCCAGGTACACGCCATTCTCCTGCCTCAGCCTCCCAAGTAGCTGGGACTACAGGTGCATGCCACCACACCTGGATATTTTTTTCTTTTTTCTTAGTAGAGATGGGGTTTCACCATGTTAGCCATTATGGTCTCGATCTCCTGACCCCGTGATCCACCCACCTCAGCCTCCCAACACATAGATTTTTCACCTAAAACATAACCTGCTAAAATAATTTATGCATCAGAGTTCTCCAGAGAATCAGAACCAATAGGTTAAATAAAAATATTTTTAATCAAGCATTGACTCGTGGAATTACAGAGGGCAAGAAATCCTATGATCTGCTGCTGTCTGCAAGCTGGAGACTCAGGAATGCCAGAGGCATAGTTTGAAGCCTCAGAGTCAGAGATAATGCTGTAGATTCCAGTCAGAGTCTGATGATCTTTGAACCAGGAGCTTGAAGGCCAGGAGAAGATCTATTTCCTGGATCAAGCTCCCAGGCAGAGGGAGAGCAAACCTAATCTTCCTCTGTGGTTGTTGTTTTATTCAGGCTTCCAGTGGATTGCATGATGCACCCTCACCTTGGATCAGGCTATCTGCCTTACCTGAATCCAAATGCTCTTCTTGAAACCATTTCTTGAATGCTTGAAACTCTTCTTGAAACATCCTCCAAGGCATATTGAGACATGTTTAATCAAATATAAGGCCATCCCACTAACCAATCAATTTAATATGCAAAATTAACCATCACAGATGATTCCATTACCAAGCAGTGCTTTAAGAGGTTTCTATTAGTCCTAAATACTGGTTCTGTACAAAAATAAAATTAAAAAAATTAAATAGCAAAAAGGCACTGTTAACACTGGCATGAATAAACGAAGAGAAAAAGGTGAAACAGAATAGATTATATCAAAGACATTTTTGAAACTGCCATGAAGCATTTTTTTTTTTTTAAATCAAGCATTGCTTAAAACATTCAAGACATGAGAAATGCATACTGGTGGAAGATAGTTGTTTCTTTTTTTTTTTTTCTTTTTCTTGCAATGGAGTCTGTGGCAGAGCAGGAGGGCTGTCATCTTGTACAAACACCACCACTTTAAGTTCCAGCTTCCTTTTTAGACTCATGCATTTCAAGGAAATCATTTCTCTTCTAACTACAAGCAGGCAGAAAGAGCAGACAGTAAAACATAGATACGACAGCTCAGGCATAGAGGGAGGTGGGGTAAAAGTCTCTTAAGTAACTGCCAAACTTCACCCTCATACAATGGGCCCCAGTAAAACAGTAGGCCTTAATAAGCACATTCCCTTACCTTGAGCTGCACTAAGATAGGGAAGCTAAAAGCACACTCGTGGGGTATGCTTGCAGCTGCAGGAAGATCTGTGGGAAGAGACACACAGCTCTCCCTCCCAGATAAGAACAACAAAGAGACAGAGAAGCAGTCCAAGCCTCTGATAAATGCTCCCATCTGGAATTCTTAAAAGCTCTAAGTCTCTAAGAGAGTGTGCCTCTGACCTAACTTGGCGAGAAGGCTCCTCTCAAGTTTGTTTTCTCTAAAATAAACCTGTCTTCACTGGTGAGCCACCTTGCATGTTTCTTTCCTCTTTCTTTAATTCTTTTTTATTTGTTATTATACTATAAGTTTTAGGGTACATGTGCACAATGTGCAGTTTAGTTACATATGTATAGATGTGCCATGTTGGTGTGCTGTACCAATTAACTTGTCATTTAATATTAGGTATATCTCCTAATGCTATCCCTCCCTGCTCCCCCGACCCCATAACAGGCCCCAGTGTGTGATGTTCCCCTTCCTGTGTCCATGTGTTCCACCCAGGCTGGAGTGCAGTGGCATGATTTTGGCTCACCACAACCTTTTCCTCCTGGGTTCAAGGGATTCTCCTGCTTCAGCCTCTGGAGGAGCTGGGAGTACAGGTGCACAATAACACATCTGGCTAATTTTTGTATTCTTAGTAAAGACAAGGTTTCACTATATTGCTCAGGCTGGTCTTGAATGCCTAGCCTCAAATGATCAGCCTGCCTTGGTCTCTGAAAGTGTTGGGTTTACAGGTGTGAGACACCACACCTGGCCTGCTAGTTATTTCTTAATACTCCCTTTGCAGAATGCGTCTTTCATGGGGTTATCCGTATTCTGTTTACTATTACATTTCATTTTATTTCTTTTGTTTGTTTTGCCTTTAAAAACTTAGAATCTCCAAGATGGTAATGTGACCCCTGTTTACAAATTCACATGTGAAGTTTACAACTTCACATTAAATTTGTGTTCTGACTTGGGATAACGTCTTAATTACCAAATATCTGTGACTCTAAGCAGCTCATTTTTCTTCACATGTTAATCTGATAATGCATTTTCTAAAAAGTTAATTGTGTTAGTTTTTTTTACATTTGTGCAATGATTTGTCACAAACTTAACAGCTACAGCACCATGTAATGATTTATCAAAAACTTAACAGCTTGCAACAGCACACATTGATCATCTCACAATTTCTGTTGTTCAGTCATCTTACCAAACTCACTTGTATCCTCTGCTCTGAGTCAAAAAAAGCAGAAATCAAGGAGTCAATCAAGGCTATGGTCTCCTTGAGGTTAGGGAGTCCTCTTTCAAATTTATTTATTGAAAGAATATATTATATTTTCTTGCAGCTATGTAACTCACACTGTCCTGATTGTTTAAAATCAGCAATTGACAGCCATTCTTCAGGAGGGATTCTTCTTTTAAGAGATGTTACCTGATTGAATCAGATTTCATTTATCTACCAAATGGATATTAGAAGAATAACAGCCATTAAATGAACTAAACCTAAACTGATTTGCAAATTAGCTCGCCCCCTTTGAGATATTCTATTAGTGAGGAGTTGGTCACAGGTTCTGCTTGCACTAGGTGGAGAGAATTATACAAAAAAGTAACCCTTTTGGGGTTCTGTCAGGGTGTGCCCATCAATATGCATTGTCTTCTTCATAATCTTTTAAAAAAACATTCCGAGAAAGAAAAATCTTTCAATCTTCAGTAGGCAGAGAATGGCACTTTCTATTACAGACTCTTGGATTCAGCCCATTCTTTATCACTTGTGGAAGACAACTTTCCATGGAGATTTTCTCCCTCTGTTTCGAATTTATTGTTTAAACGGACAATAAATTTTTTTATGGTTTGATTACCAATTTTGTATCTTATCATTCATTTATAAAAAATAAGATTCCCAGTAATAATTTAATAGCTTTGATTTTGGAAGTACTTTTTACTTGTGTGTGCTAGTGGGGGTGTTAGATTGTGTCACGGAGGAAGACTTTTGAACTTACTAAGGCTTTAATCTTTCTAAATCTCATTTTTCTCAGTCATAACAGTGGAATAATGCTCACGAGTACAGTGTGAGTGCATATAAGCTAGTCTTATGTAAACATTTTTGTAACAATTAAATAATTTTGTAACAATTAAATAATTTTATAACAATCATAAAAAATGTGTAACACATCATGAAAACATTTTTGTATAGTTAAGTATACCATAATATTGATGTTACTACTAAGGATAACAGAAATAGTGAGATCATCAAATCAAAGTAACAAAACTCTAGAACTTACCCAGTTTTATTAGTAATTTAAAGTACACAGATAATTATGAAGTACAGTTAAAATTGGAGATGGTATGGGACATTCATCACTGGTCCCAAAGTAATTCTTTGTCACACCAACATATGTACATATGCTGGATATATGTACATCCCAGTACATATCCACTGACTGGATATATTTCTGTCTTTAGTGCATAAAGTTACATTATTAATATGGAAGGGAGCAACTTTGGGTGTAAAATTTTTCTAATGTCTACTCATCTAATTACATAAAAGTTTTCACGGTGCCATTTTCTATAATTTCATAAAGTCCAGGTCTGCTTATCAGAAGTGATTCTAGCCAGGCTTCTTACATCCAACCAAGAGCATTCCACATTTAATGACTCTTCCTCTGGCAAAAAAATAGTAAGTGTCCAGGAGGTTTCTCCCTGACATGTTTTCAAGGGGATTTGACCAGTTTACTTCTCTTCTTCCTTTACCAGGGGCTTCTATCTTCCCCATAAAAGGGAAGTATGAATTGCAGAGCTGTTATTTCACACCTTTCTTCCCTCTGTTGATAATGAGCAGTCAGACACAGTGGTTTTCACTTGGTGTTTCCCAAAGCCTTGGATGATAGTACATAGAAGTTTCTTCAGCAGCAAATGTTGAGAAAATCCACCTGTGTAGAGACAATGTTGGCTTCCCTAACCTTTTCCTCAACTAAGTCATTTTTTTCTATATTCTGTACAAATTAGACTCCTGCCCATGATTCTACCAGAACCAAGGATTTTGTAGCTCAAAAAGTTATGTTTGTACCAATGTTAAAAGAACATAATAATTGATATGGTTTGGCTGTGTCCCAACCTAAATCATAATTTGAATTGTAGCTTCCATAATCGCCATGTGTCATGGGCGGGACCTGGTGGAAGGTAATTAAATCATGGGGGTGGGTTTTTCCCATGCTGCTTTCATGATAGTGAATAAATCTCATGAGATCTGATGGTTTTATAAAGGCAGTTCCCCTGCACACACTCTCTTTCCTGCCACCATGTAACATGTGTCTTTGCTTCTCCTTCACCTTACACCATGATTGTGAGCCGTCCCCCACCATGTGGAAGAGTGAAAAGAAAAACTTCTTTTTCTTTATAAATTACCCGGTCTCAGGTATGTCCTTATCCCAGCGTGAGAATGCACTAGAGAATAATTTTTTTTATCCTGTAACAAAGAAAATGTAGGCATAAAAGGCAGTCATGGATTAAGGATAATTTTTGAGGATTATAGAAAGGAGAAACATTGTTCTCAACTGGGAGGCTTTCCTTTTTCACATTTCTCTGCTCTTCTACTGAATTCTATAAATATTAAATTTATTTCAATGCTCAGCTTAGCATGTTTTCCCACTGAGTCATAATAGGCACTGATATAGTGCTTTCTCTCTCCTCTGAACAAAAAGACATACTGTTTTTTCTACTATTTTGGTAGTTATTTTCCTACTATATCATGAGAACTTTTTTCTCATACTGATATTTTCGTTCACCTTTTCCTGTTTCCTCTCAGGAAAGTAGCATAGAAAGCATACATTTCTCTCAAAAGTAGTAATTCCCATGAGGGCAGAGATTACATTTTAGCATGCATCATTTATTTCCAAAGTAGTTCATTAAGGACATATTAGACTCATAAAGGGTGACTTTAATAGTTTCATATGTTGCTATGCTATTTTGAATGAATGTGCCCCTACTTGGCTACATAGCTTTCTTATTGGCATATACTATTTGTACATATTTATGGGGCACAAGTGGTATTTTGTTCCATGCATAGAATGTGTAATGATCAAATCAGGGTATATGGGGTATCCATAACCTTAAACGTTTATTATTTCTTTGCGTTGGGAATATTTCAAATCTCTTCTAGTTATTTGAAATATGGACTAGAATTGTTGCTAACTATAGTCACCCTGCTGTGCTAAAGAACATTAGCACATATTCCTTCTATCTAACTGTGCGTTTGTGCCCATTCACCAGTCTCTCTTCATCCCTCACCATTCCCAGCCTCTGGTAATCTTCATTCTACTCTCTACTTCCATGAGGTCAACTTTCCTCAGCTCCCACATATGAATGAGAATATGCAATATTTGTCTTTCTGTGCCTGGCTTATTTTCTTTAACATAATGGATGTTCCATCCATCATTCTGCAAATGACAATATTTCTTTCTTTTAAAAAGCTGAGTAGCATTCTGTTGAGAATATATACCACATTTTCCTTATCCATTTATCTGTTGGTGGACTCTTATGCTGATTCGATAACTTTATTATTGTGAATAGTGCTGCCATAAACATGCGAGTGCAGGTATCCCTTGATATACTGACTTCTTTTTCTTTGAATAAATACCCAGTAGTGGATTTGCTGGACTATATGGTAGTTCTATTTTCAGTTTTTTGAGAAAACTCCATGATGCTTTCCTTAATGGCTGTAGTATCTGCTAGTACATTGATAAAGAGCATATAATTTGTGGCAAGAATTTGCTTATTTTAGCATCAATTTCTATCATAAATTGTTTAGGCCAAAACAGAAATGATGTAAAAAATACATATATCTTGTTTCCATTCTCCCACAAATGGTGAAAACATATTTATTTCAGGAGAATGAAACAAATAGAAACAAAACCACTACATATTTATTCATAGACAGTCCACAGTATATTACTTTGTCCATAGTTATGAAAAACATTGGAATGGTCAGTGAGATGCAACTTAGCCAGCAAGCATTTGAAACACAGTAAAACATTTGAAAATGTGTCTAATGTATATCCCAGGAGCATTTTACCAATGCATATAAATGAATTTAGATACCAGACTCCGCTTACATTCCTTTTTTTTATGATTACCCTCCTCAGTTCTGGTTAACATTGAACTAACTTACCTGAAAGGTAAAGATCTTACCTGGAATAGTTGTTGAAGATGCTGCAGTGTTAACCCTGGTTTTCAGCAACAGGTGACGCTCTCTTTCATCAACTTCATTCCCTGATGGCATGAATTCTGCTGCCTTTTTCTTCTTGACAGGCTGTGTTAAAATATTTTTAAGATTTATTTCATTTTAGTATTATTTATTTACTTATTTCAATAGCCTTTGGGGTACACATGGTTTTTGGTTAGATGGATGAAGTATATAGCGGTGAAGTCTGAGATTTTAGTGTACCTGTCACCTAAATAGTGTACATTGTACCTGGTATGTACTTTTTTATCCTTCACTCCCCTCTCTTTTTTTAATTATGGTCTTTATTTTGTCAATTGAGCCTGGAAACTGATTTCGTGTCACACACACCTTCATTTGAACTTCTAAACTCTCTCATCTCCTAGGCACTGAAGTAATTCATAATGTTGATGGAAAAGGATGATGATGTTTAATTATTATCCACAGGAATAACTTAACTGAACTCACAATCTCCAATAGAGTTTCTACTTTGTTATTTTTTCAGGGGTGGAGTGATATTTTTCTTTCTATCTGTTTATTTTCTTCCAACTTTTATTTTAGATTTAGGGTTACGTGTGCAGTTTTGTTATATGGGTAAACTGGGTGTCAGAGGAATTTGGTGTACAAATTATTTCTCCAGGCAGGTAATTAGCATAGTATTCAATGAGTGGTTCTTCAACCTTCTCCCTTGTCCCACCTCCCACTCTCAAGTAGGCTCCAGAACCTATTGTTTTCTTTTTTTTGTTTCCATGTGTGCGCAATGTTTAGCCCTCACTTATAAGTAAAAATGTGGCATTTCATTTTCTGTTTCTGTGTTAGTTTGCTTAGGATAATGGTCTCCAGTTGCATCTGTGTTGCTGCAAAGAAAATGGTTTCATTCTTTTTTTATGGTTGCATAGTATTCTATGATGCATATGTACCACATTTTCTTTATCCAGGCTTCCATTGATGGGCATCTAAGTTGATTCAATGTCCTTTCTATGGTGAGTTGTGCTGCAATGAATGAACATACTCGTATGTCTTTTTCATACAATGATTTATGTTACTTTGGGTATATACCCAGTAATGGGATTGCTGGGTCAAACGATAATTCTTTTTTAAGTCCTTTGAGAAATCCCCAAACTGCTTTCCACAGTGGCTGCTGGTGGGAATGTAAACTACTTCAGCTATTACATTCTTTATAAATTTTTATATTTTGTCTGCAAATAACTCATAAATCTTTAAATAAATTGTTCATTGTTTCCCTTTCCAACTCATCTGTAATTTTCATGAAACGGAAAAAAATAAGTTTCTTCATTATTTCACTGCTTTAAATTAGACTAATTCTGCCTCTGCTTCTGAGAGCAGGATTCAGGCCAAAATCAGCTTGGTTGAGCACCTCAGAACATCTACGTGTCTCTGGGCAAATACTGTGGCTAACTACACCTGGAATAGACCCAGCTGTACCCTGGAAAGGGCAGTAATATGAGAACAGAAGACAGAGACAACTAATTTATGTCCTTCAAAATGTCATAATCAGTAATCAATTAGTTATTCACAAAGGTCAATAAAATTGATAAGCTACTAGTGAGACAAGCCAAAAAAATTGAAAGCATACACTATTAATCAGAAGAAAGAGGAAGAAAGGAAAGAGGTGCCACCACTACTGATCTCATGGACATTAAATGAAAATAAGAAAAAGATTATATTATGAACAATTCTATGCCCACATATTTCATGATTTAGATCAGGAGTCTCTATCCCTGGGGCCATGGACTAGTACAGGTCGGTGGCTTGCTAGAAGCTAGGCAGAAGGAGGTGAATGGCAGGCAAATGAGGAGGTAAATGGCAGGCAAATGATCAGAGCTTCCTCTGTATTTATAGCCACTCCCTATCACTGGCATTGCTGCCTGAACTCCATCTTCTTTCAGATCATCAGCAGCATTAGATTCTCATAGGAGAACAAACCCAATTGTGAACTGTGCATGGGAGGGTTCTAGGTTGCACTCTCCTTGTATGAATCTAATGCCTGATGATCTGCCACTGTCTCCCATCACACATCACCACACTCATATGTTTTATATATATATATAAAATATGTAAACTCCATATATATGGGGTTATATATATAAGTGTATATACATATATAAAACTGGTATGGGAGTGTATATATATGAGTATGTGTATATGGTGTATATAATTTCCGAATTCTTATTGGTGAATTGTCATGGGCCATATATAGAGAGAGAGACAGATGATAGATATCATATCTGTATCACATATATACATATGTCAAAATTTTCATATAGATATAAATCTTCATATATATGCTTTTATATATCTTACTGGTTCTATGATACAGGTTTAGACATATATCATATAAGGGAGTTGTATCATATATCATATAAAGGGAATTGTACCTTGGTATCTGTGGGAGATTGGTTTGAGGATATTTCAAGGATATTAAAATCAATGTCTACAAAAATCCGTCCTATAAAATGGTGTCATATTTGCATGTAACCTACACACATTCTCCTACATACTTTAAATCATCTCTATATTACTTGTAATACTCAATACAATGCAAATGCTGTGCAAGCAAGCATTGTACTACAATTTTAAAATGTATTATTGTTTTAATAGTTGTACCGCAATTATTTATTTTTGAAAATAGTTTTAAAATATGGTTGATTGAACCCATGCATGTGGAACCCACAGATATAGAGGTCCTACTGTATTTGTTTTGTTTGTTTTTTGTAACAGAACCTCACTCTGTTGCCCAGGCTGGATGCAGTGCCATGATCTCAGCTTATGGAAACCTCTACCCCCAAGGTGCAAGTGATTCTCATGCCTCAGCCTCCTGAGTAGCTGGGATTATAGACACACACCACTATGCCCAGCTAGTTTTTTTTTTTTTTTTTTTTTTTTTAAGTAGAGATGAGGTTTCACCATGATGGCCAGGCTAGTCTCAAACTTCTGGTCTTAATTGATATACTCCTGTCTCGGCCTCCCAAAATGTTGGGATTACAGATATGAGCCACTGCACCAGGCCAATGTCCAACTATTTTTGATATACAAGTAGATTATATCTCTATCTACTTATCTATCTATCATCTATCTATCTATCCATAGATTTATTATGAGAAATTGGGTCACAAAATTATGAGCTGAGAAGTCCCATGATCTACCTTCCACAAGCTAGACATTCAAGAAAAGTCTCTTGTATAATCTGATCCAAGACTAAAGATGAGAACATCTATGAGAATCAAGTGAAATCCTAGGCCAAGGGCAGAAGCAGCCTCATGTCCCAGCTCAGGCAGGTAGTCAGGAAGCAAAAAGAGAAAACTCTTCTTTCCCTCTGCCTTTTTGTTTTACTGCGAACCTCAACAGACTTGCTGTTACCCACCCACACTGGGGAAGGTCATCTACATTATCAGTTCCACTGAGGCAAATGCCAATCTCATCCAGAAACACCCTCACTGACACACCCACAATCATGGGCAAGATGTCCCTTGGTTTGTGGCCAAGTCTTCCCTGTCTCTCCTTCCTTCTCCATGTAGCCTTTCCTGTGTCAGCGTCTCCTCTTTTGTATCATCTTTTGACACCTGTCCTTGGATTTAGAGCCCACCTACATAATCCAGGTTAATCTCATCTTCAGATCTTCACCATAATGGCATCTTCAAAGGTGTGTTTCTCAAATAAGCTCACATTCACAGGCTCCTGAGATTATGATAGGGACACACATTTTGGGAGACATCAGTCAGTCTACTGCAGCCTTCAACAATGCTACCTTTTTTTAAAATATGTTCTTATTTTCTGTGTGTGCTCCATCCACTGAACTGATGATACAAATATTATGAACAGCTTTTGGCCACTCAAATAAAGTAGCTTTATGTACTGTTATGCCTAGTGGTACCCTAGAATCTGTTATCTAATTTATATCTTTACTGTTAGTATCTGCATATGATGTATTGCATTAGATTGCTGCAGAGACATTTACTTTCCCCTGCAAATAAAAATCTTCCTGCATCTCTCTATATTGGCTTAGAAATGCAGATCATTATCACCATTTTTTTTTTTTTTTTGAGATGGAGTCTTGCTCTGTCACCCAGGCTGGGGTGCAGTGGTATGCTCTTGGCTCACTGCAACCTCTGCCTGCCACGTTCAAGCAATTCTGCTGCCTCATACTCCAAAGTAGCTGGGACTACAGGAGGCCCCCATCACACCCAGTTGATTTTTTTGTATTTGTAGTAGAGACAGGTTTCAGCATGTTGGGCAGTCTGATCTGGAACTCCTGAATTCAAGCCACTCCACTACATCAGCCTCCCAAAGTGCTGGAATTACTGGCATGAGCCACCACTCCTGGACTTTTTTATTTCCTTTCTTTTTAGAGACAGGATTTCCCTTCATCATTCAGGTTGGAGTGCAGTGGTGTGATCATAGCTTACTGCAGCCTTGACAGCCTGGGCTCAAGGGATCCTGCTATGTTACCCAGGCTGTTCTCCACCCCTAAGCTCAAGGGATCCTGCCACTTCAGCCTCCCAGGTAGCTGGGATTACAGGTGCACACACATACACTTGCCCAGCTATTTTGTTGTTGTTGTTGTGTTTTGTTTTTTGTTTTACAGATAGGGTCTCACCAGGCTGCCCAAGCTGGTTGTGAACTCCTGGCCTCAATCAATCCTTCTGCCTTGGCTTCCCAAAGTGTGCTGGGATTACAGGTGTGAACCACTGCACCTGGCCAATTATCACTTCTTAACCTGTTTCCTTTCTTTACTAGATTGTGAGTCCCCCAAGGGCTAGTGGGCAACTTGTTTGCCATAGTGACTGCCCTCTCACTCATGAACAGCTTTATTGCAAAATAGTGCCATATATGCTACGAAAGAGCTATTGAATAAGCTAACACATGTCCTATTTTATTCTTTACACTTCCAATTTAATATAGAGGTATAAAATACTGTTTCTAAGCAGTTTTTTTTTTCTTGTGACATGTTAGGCTATTTCAGAGGTGTTTGCATACCCTGGATAAAGTGTCCATTCATTTGTTCTGCATTTAAAAAAAAAAAAAACTCTGCTCTTCCTCATCTTGAACAAGGAGATGCTTCTCACCACGCCAGTGGAAGGAAGTTCCCAAAACCTCAATGCTTGACAACTGCTGCAACATGGGCTGCAGGGCAGCTTGCCCTGACAGCTTTGGGCCCTTTCTGTTCCAAGCAGCAGTTGCCTCATAGTTTTAGCTGTGTTAGTTTCCTCCTACATTGAAAGTCTATTTTCCTACTTTTCTGAGCAGATCTGAAATAAATTTAAAAACAAGTTGCTCTCAGATGCATTGCTACCAGGGCTCATTTTCTTAGCCCCCACCTAGAGCGTTACAGTTAGGGTCAAATTGTCTCTCAGGATACACAGCACTGCTGGAAGCTTAGCAACAGATCCTGGAACCTGCACCTTCTCCCTGGATATAGAAAAACCGAACCAAGTGTGCAGAAATAGGTAAGGGATGCTTTGGGCTGAGGACAGACCAGTATAATGCTCTGGAGAGTAGCAGAATTTCTGTACATTTTATTGATTTTGGGGTTTATGTGTTGATCTTTGTGTTTAACTTAGGAATTGGCACTGTGTAAATGGTGAGGAGAATGTATTTGCTCTCTTTAGGTGGAATTCTAAGGTAGAGTGTTGACACACTACAGTCTGCCATCAGTCTGCCATAGGCCCTCTGGTCTGTTTTTTTAAGTCAAATTTTATGAGCACACAGTCAGGAACATGCAATTGCATGTTGTCTGTAGATGCTTTTGCTTTACAATGTCAGAGTGGACTACCTGGCTCACAAAGCTGAAAATATTGACTCTCTGTCCCTTATAGTAAATTGTGTTCATCTTTGTTCTATGTCATCAAATGAAGGCGGAGTTGGTTATGATAAAAGACCTGTGTAGGTTTTTATGTTTCTGTGTCTCCTTCTTTGTTTTTGTTTTGTTTTTTTGTTTGTTTTTTTGTTTTTGTCTGGAAAATAATTGGCTTCAGTCTCTGAAATCCTCCCAGATGCTGGCATTAACATCTCCATCATATTTTTAACTGTTATTGACACTTTGCTCTCTCTTGTCTTTACACTATAAAAGTGGAAAACATGGTTTATTAGGCTTATACTAAGATCTGTATATTCAATATGTGGTATATGTGTTAGAAACATTTCTTTCTAAATTAAGACTTATGGTTTCTGGGTAAGAGGGTTTCTGCTCTATGATACATATTCCCAGACTTATTCTAGAAAAAATAGGTCTTTTTTTTTTTTTTCTTTTTTTTTTTTTTTGCAAAAGAAAGCATTTTGCCAAATTTGATGATGCAAATAATGAGACAACCAGGTGGGAAGTGTTCCCTGGCAGAACCTCCAACCAACCTGTACACTGGGAGGAGAACAGTGTGGGGTGGAGACACAAACGTTTGTACCATTTGCAGTGAGGAGCAGCTAGGTCCCTCCTCTTTCTGGGTGGTACATGGAATTCAAGCTGTGAGGCAAGAAGCACACTGGAGGACCTCTGTCTTGCAGAGTTCCTGTTTTCCATTTTTTTTTCCTTTTTATTCAATGAAGCTCTGCTTTACTCACCCTTCAAATCATCTGCAAGTCTAAATTTTTATGGCTGTGTGACAAGGACCCTGTTTTTAGATGAACTAAGGAAAAGTCACACAACAGTAATATGGAAGAGTTATGTAAAAAAAATGCAGGGATGGTAAGATATATATAAAATGAGGGTGTATTGATTGATACAGATATCTAAAGTTAACTCAAAAATTGCCATGGATGGTTTATGAAGGTTCCAGTTAAGTTTGTTTGGAAGCTATGGAAAATATGTCAATTCCAAATGACCCCAAGAATGATATAAATCATGTGTCTACCAGAAAAAGTCAAAGAAGTGATGGTAAGGGCAATAACAGATCTTTTATTTTATACTAGCATGTAATTTAAATGTAGAATACTTTTAAAATTCATAAAAATAAACAAAAAATCAGCATTATCTTAATACTCTATAGAGAACTAATATTAATTATTATGCAATTTAACAATTTGATGCCTGGTCTCTTTTCCTATTGCTAAATGTTTGATATTTTAAGTGGTGTAATTGAGTGACTAAAAGGAATGCAGTAATTTAAGGAATTTCAAAGCCAATCATAAAAACTATATTAGAAACTAAAGGCCAATATAGTGTGAAAATTAACTTAATGTCCATTGTGTGTGTGTGTTGTGTGTGTATGTGTGGAAATCAGAATAACATTACAGTAAAATAGTGTAATATGATTTGCATGAGAAATTCAAAAATAATTTGAAGAAGAAATAAAATAGGACTTCACCTTTCCTTTGCAAACATGTTTTGATGACAATTTATGAATAATTTGGTCCTACCAGTGCCCTTCAGGGAAATTCTGTTTGCTTTACAAGGTATTGAACATGATTCAATTTAATCACATTCTGAAAAGGACAATTGCTTATAAAATGATTATTTTGAAATAATCTTTATTTAGAGACTGATTTTTTAAATAATATTTTGTTTCCCTGTAAGCATATTGTCACATTGGTATTTATATTTTTTATATATAATTAAGTAATCTTTTCTTGTCTAATGATTTTCTCCCTTGAGAGAACTATACTCCTAAAAAATAAATATAATGACAAAATTTGTTTTCGTTTTTTGATGATAACAGGAATTAAAATTGAATTCCCCTAATATAACAATGGATAAGGTGTTTATTTGGTATGTCTGATATTCTTTCTCTTTTTTGTGTTTAAAGGGCTCAAAGATATACTGGAGAAATTTGCTCTCAATCCAACCTTTCATTGTACCTGATAATACTGACAAGTATAGAAGCTATCCCTATGAGAATGTCCTCTGTAAAACTAGTAAATAAGATATATGTGCACTTAAAATGTGTCAGGCATGATTGTAAGCATTTAACAGATATTATTATGCCATGTATTAGCAACACAATGAGAATAAATACAATTATTTTCCCTGTTTTATAGCTGAGGAAACTGAGACATAGCAAAATTAAGCTGGGTGTCCATTCACATGGGTAGTAAATGGCTGAGTAGAGGTGCAAACCCAGTTTCTTTGCTCTTAAATTCCTATATTTAGACCCCAACATAATCCTCAGCACTGTGCATAAGATAGTGCATGTGATAGGCATGTATTACCTTTGATATAGATATGCTTGTACAAGATGCAGATGCAGGAAGTCAAAATCACTCTATAATCTGTCTTCAAGCCAAGAGGCCATGCCTGCACATGAATGTAATTGCCTTTGGAAGTCATGGTCTTTCCTTGATGCCACATTTTCTCCCTATGAATGGATATGTACACTACACAGAATTTTTAACAAGCGTCTGCAGACATTGACACAAAATACCTCACAATAGTGGTAATGGGTTTTCAGGCACTAAGCTACTAATTTGCTTTTGCACAATTCCCTTTATAAGCAAGAACATTAATTTGCAAAACTCATCTCTGGAGCAAAAATAATGCACACATAGCTGAAACGGATGTCTTCTTTGACTCATTCTCAAGCTAAATCTACTCAACCTTGCAGATCTGAGCACATAGTACTATACAGCGCTATGGAATGTTTGGGGTTGCCTATCTCTTTTCCTTTCACCTTTTCATGGGCCTGTTAGTCTTTCATATGGCCTTAACAATGGTTAGTTTTTTCTGTTATGAGGGAGAAAAGTACGATTTTGAAAGACTGCATTTTCTTTTTTTTTTCATGATCTATATGGTTTTCTTTTTAATTATCTTTAGTTTTGTGATCACACATAATTTTAAAATTTGTGTATATCTCCATTACTTTAATCCTTTTAAGGTGGCAAAAGCACCATTCCCAATCACAAATACACAGTTCTACAGTTTTATGTTTCTGAATGGCTGTTTAAAGACAATCCTAAATTATAACTTAGTTTGACTTCGACTGTAAAGAATACAAGAGTGAAGTTTAACTTGCTACTATTTTAAAAGCATGTGATCTTATAGATCTATAAGATGTGAGAGGTGTTGAATAATCTTTAATATTACACATAAACCACACTAAAATGACTTTCAATAAGTAAAAGGAACCATTTTAAATACAGGGAATTATAATTAGATTGGCATAGTTAAGGCCAAAACTATAGACATTGCTACCTTATTTATCTTCAACCCTTGCCTTTAAGAGGGAAATGAACACAAAACACAGGTGAATCTTGCTTGGTTCTAAGACAGTGAAAGAATTTCCCCAGTATTTACATATATTCACATAACCAGTTATATAAATCTAAATATAAAACCAATCTCCAGTAAGTTTTAAGATGGCACTCACCATCTTTGTGAAAAGTTGAACATTACTAACGAAGTCTAATCATATCTTTAGAAGGGGTAAACAGTGATAGCGTTTACGGAATTGGAGTTACTATTAAAATTCAAAAACTGAACATATTTATTTAACCACAAGCCAGTATTAGTTTTAAATCAGGACTGCCCAACAAAATATTCTGTCAGTCATTCATGATCTGAATTCTGGTGTATGAGATATATTAAATGATGGTACACATCAAAAAAGTTAGGAGACATTTCTGTTTTGTAATAAATAAGGCAGTAGCTTACTCATTAGTAGCTTTTTTGAGATAAGCTATCAAGTCTGCCCTTTCTTCCTTTTTCTTAATGCTGACAAAGATCATTTTTGTTCCAGCGATGTACTTCTTGGGATTCTCCAAATACTCCATCAGTGTATCCTCTCCGCAAATGATGCCTTTGTTCTTATTGGTGGCTGTGTAAGAATATGCAGGGGCCTGACCTGTCTTCTGTTCCCAGTGCCACACCGTTGAAAAGGGAGGCAAGCATAAGACTGGGCCAAATCTCCATGGTCTCTTTGGGTGAAAGACTACATTTTCTAACATAATACCAGCCAAAAAATTGAGTAGCACTTTAAAACAAGACAGAGAGACTCACTTTGCTGTGTTTAGAATTGATTTTCTCCTGGAAAATGTAGACTGGTGTTACATGCCATATTTAGAAGTTAGCCACTTATGCTCTCATAATTTTATTAATAATATAACAAAAGAAATGGGATTTATTGGTAGTGGGAATCTAACATACCACAAGAAGGTACAGAAAGACATTGTCTAACATTTACTCTGTATGTTTAATTCTAACTCTACACAAGACAGTCAATTTATGAGGTGGAATACAAGGGCAGTGTGCATCTAACTTCTAGAACAACAAAGTAGTTACTGTGGTTAAAAAAAATTTAAACTGAATATATGTAGCTAGATAGAGGGATCAAACATATGCAAATAAAATATTTCGTATATAATAAGATTTTGTTGTATTAAGTCTCATCTCAAGCATCTATGTTGATCAGCAGAATTACAGAAGGTCAACAGACCTGGTTGTAAAATAATAAAAATTCAAGTAAGTGATTTGGTCACAAAGCTTTTCCATGATCTGCACTTAGAGAAAGAATACTAGCAACACTGTGTTGAATAGGAGTGTTGAGAGAGGGCATCCTTGTCTTGTGCCAGTCTTGTGCCCATTCAGTATGATATTGGCTGTGACAAAGAATACTAGCACACTGAAGAAGAGAAGAAAAAAAAATTATGTAACTAAAAGGTTAAAGTAAAGAAGATGTAATCAATTTCTGTGTCTTCTTTCTACAACTACCATTGGGGTTTATGTCTATGGAGAAGAATATCAGAAGAATAACAGATTTATGGAAAGGGCAATGATACACTCAGAGAAGCTTTACAGAGTGCTAGGAAATATATCCTCCCTTCAAAAGGAAACCAACCATAGCTATTTATCAATACCCAGACCCAGTATGCACAGAACACACTGACAGGTGCACATAGGCACAAGCTTCTGGCTAATTTTTTCATAAAGCTATACCTTAAGCCTATGAGGATATGTTTTTCCTAAAATGTTTACCTCTATAAAATAAGTCCTCATGCATTATTTTCAAACTTGTCTAAAATTATGCAAATGTTCTATTATATATTCATACTGAAGGTCATTTGATTGGAATGAACGGTCCTCTTCACCAAATATATATATATATATATATATATATACATACATATATATATATGTGTGTATATATATATATATATATAAAAATAAAATATCCATTCTGAAGCTATGAAAATGGCCTCATTTGGAAATAGGCTTTTTGCAGATATAATTAAGTTAATATGCGATCAT
Organism: Homo sapiens; assembly: GCF_000001405.40. Taxonomy (NCBI): domain Eukaryota; kingdom Metazoa; phylum Chordata; class Mammalia; order Primates; family Hominidae; genus Homo; species Homo sapiens. Next base: position 14,943,144 of record NC_000024.10, read on the forward strand.
CCTGGATTACGGTGTCTATAAATACAATGACCAGAGTGCTTCGAAGAGATAGAAGAGGAGACAAAGATACAGAGGAGAACTCCATGTGAGAGGCAGGAAGGAACTTTCCCTAGATCCTCCTAAGGCAGTGCAGCCATGAGACACCTGATTTCTGACTTCTGGTCTCCAGAATGTTTTGAACATCTCTTTTTTAATTTCATTTTTTAAACCCATTCAATTAGTGGTACGTTGTTATTGCAGCCCTGGGAAACAAAGACAGCCCTGGGAAACAAAGAACACTAGTCCTATATAACAATGAGTAATTTTGAGTAGGAAATATAAGTTCTTCAGCATGTACAAATTGATATAGGATTTAAATTGCTAATTTTCCTGCCTTTGTGTTCCCTTTAAAAATGTATTCAGGCAAAGCAGTGATGCATTTCTAATAACTGATCTTTCCTGTGGGGATGTTGTGAGCACTCAAATTCACATGTCATTAGTCCCTCTATGAAAAACATAGGAAGCAATTAGCCAAGAGAGCTGGGAATAACATTGCAAAATCATCACTGAATCTCTAAAGTCCCCCTAGAACATAAAACTGAAGTGTCCTTGAAATAGACTTAATTGGGAAAGCAGCAATTCTCAGATTATTGGTTGCTTAAGCATCACTTGTATGATGTGATCATGAAAAGCAGAATATCTATGTGTCAGTGTACTTTATTCATCCGTCATTGGGTCAGGGTCTGCAGGACAGACCTCTGCAGTTTGGTTCTGTGGTCCCATCCAAATCTCATCTTGTAGCTCCCATAATTCCCATGTGTTGTGGGAGGGACCTGATGGGAGATAACTGAAGCGCAAAAATTATGTCTTTCTGATTGGTGAGCCTGTGTGCCTAAAGAAGGGAACAGAGTCCTGAAGTTTGTACTAGAAGTCATTCTTGTAGGAGAAACTAGAAAAGCACCATGGACAGGGAGTGGTTTTTAGAAGTGGGAATAACCTCTAAGAAGAGAGGTGGGAGGAAGTTTCTCTGACAGTCGTTAGGACCCAGGAGGCAAGGGTCAGGAGAGATAGGACACATCCCATCTGCAAAAAAGTGCAGATTCTGAAACTGCATGGTGATTCTCATTCTGTAGGTCTGCAGTGGTTCCCAACACCTGCATATGTATGAGGACTAAGGTGGTCCCAAAGAAGGCGGTCCAATGGGATACTGTTCTAGAGATAGTTCATGATTATATTCCCATCCTGACACTTCATTACAGTTCCTAGGAAAGTTAGTCAGACTCCCTGGGCCCCAATTTCCTCATTTGTAAAATGAGAAAATAATTAATACTGACACCATGCATTGATATTAAGAAAATATGAAATTTAAAAACATACATACATATCCATCTATATACAATATAAAATTATATCAACCTTATAATATAAATATCAAATGTAATTAACATTAATATAATATTCATGTTAAATGTAGATATGCAAGTATATATTACAAATATATAAACAAATGTGTAATTTCCAATAAAGTTTTATAAACATATATGATGGATACTATATATATATTTCTGAGTACAGTATTCTGTCCTATTGAATTTGGCATAAACAGCACCTTTTAATTTTAATTTTAATACTATTACTTAAAGAGAACACTCAAACATCACAGAGAGTTTGCAAGGACAAAAAAACCAAACACCGCATGTTCTCACTCATAGGTGGGAATTGAACAATGGAGAACACATGGACATAGGAAGGGGAACATCACACTCCGGGGACTGTTGTGGGGTTGGGGGAATGGGGAGGGATAACATTAGGAGATATATCTAATGCTAAATGACGAGTTAATGGGTGCAGCATACCAGCATGACACATGTATACATATGTAACTAACCTGCACATTGTGCACATGTACCCTAAAACTTAAAGTATAATAATAATAATAATAATAATAATAATAATAATAAAAAGAAATAGGTATCTGCATTGAATTTTCTCCTAAGATAATACTAACATATATAATAATGTTTATTCTTTCTTTTTGCATTGTACCTTACATATGGATTTTGTTTGTTCTTTTCATGCTTTAAAAATATTGGTATCACCTTTAGTCCTTAGAAGCAACTGCAGAGATTTTTAGGACAAATTTCATGAAAATTGAGGTATGTGTATTTTCTTATACCAGAAATATTTATGGCTATCATCAGTGACTACAACGTAGGATAAAATATAGAAATTCACAGAGAAGATATAATAATTCAACTCGTTATTGAATTTGGAATTATTTGTTAATTTAAACAAAAATTAAGAGACAAGGTGTATTACCCAGGCTGGAGTGCGGTGGTGTGACCATAGCTCACTGCAGCCTGAAACTCTTGGGATCAAGGAATTCTCCTGCCTCAGCTTCCCAAGGATTTGGGACTATAGGTACACACCACCATGCACTGGTAATTTTAAAAATTTTTACAGAGACAGGGTCTTTTTCTGTGTTGCCCAGGCTGCTTTTGAACTTCTGGCTGCAAGCAATGTTCCTGCTTCATCCTCTCAAAATGCTGGGATAAGAGGTATGAGCCACTGTATTCTTAACTTTGATAAGTAAAAGGAATTATAGGGAAAATCATATGGAAATCACAATGATAGTTACAATTTCTCCTGTATCAGTGGCTGGACAAGGTCAATGACCTTAGTGGATGCTTTTCAAATAATAGTTCTAATTCCCACAACAATCATGGATAAATTAAGAGCAATCTCTTTGTCCTTAATTCAATAAAAGGAATAGAATATGATTTGTAAAATCCCCATAATTTTACACATGTCCGAATTATGATAAGCTAGGTAATTTGCACAATTCAATTCAGTGTATGTGTGATGAATCCAGTCACTGAATCAACTTCATTTTGATCCAAAACCCACTTTATCCTGGAATATGACTCATAAAAGACAAGAAAATAAAAGTGTCAAAAAATAGACTTTTGACATCCGATCACTGGGAAGTCTTGAGAAAGATGTGGGGAAAATGTAATATACATCCCATGTATATAAAGCACAAACAGTATTCCATATTTTATAAATGATACCAGCTGGGCTCCAGTTCTTGGGTAGAATTGTATTTTTATTTTCTATTTTGGAGACAGGATTTCACTCTGTTATGCAGGCTGAATGCCCTGGTGCAAACACAGCTCACTGCTGCCTTGACCTTCTGGGCTGAAATAATTCTCTCACCTCAGCCTCCGGAGTAGTTAGCACTACAGGCAAGAACAACTGCACCCATCCCACCACTTTTTCTTAAAACATACTACCTATGAAGAGGCACAGGACATCACACCCAGCTATATATTTTGTTGTTGTTTGTGATGGGGGTCTCACTATGTTTCCCAGTCTGGTTTTGAACTCAAGCAATCCTCCCACCTCAGCCTCCCAAAGTGCCGGGATTTTAGGCATAAGCCACAATGCCCAAACAGTATTCTAGATAATATACAAGAAAGCATTTACAAGAGTATGTGATAATATATGAAAATAGTTTTCAAAATGATTCTCCACAAGTATTTTAAAATAAGATAAATTTGTATTAGTCTGAGAGAGATTGTATTTTGGATAATCTGTCTGTCATTCTTTTTTTTTATTATACTTTAAGTTTTAGGGTACACGTGCACAATCCGCCGGTTAGTTACATATGTATACATATGCCATGCTGGTGCGCTGAACCCACTAACTCGTCCTCTAGCATTAGGTATATCTCCCAATGATATCCTTCCACCATCCCCCCACCCCACAACAGTCCCCAGAGTGTGATGTTCCCCTTTCTGTGACCATGTGTTCTCATTGTTCAATTCCCACCTATGAGTAAGAATATGCGATGTTTGGTTTTTTGTTCTTAACGATAGTTTACTGAGAATGATGATTTCCAATTTCATCCATGTCCCTACAAAGGACATGAACTCATCATTTTTATGGCTGCATAGTATTCCATGGTGTATATATGCCACATTTTCTTAATCCAGTCTATCATTGTTGGACATTTTGGTTGGTTCCAAGTCTTTGCTATTGTGAATAGTGCCACAATAAACATACATGTGCATGTGTCTTTATAGCAGCATGATTTATAGTCCTTTGGGTATATACCCAGTAATGGGATGGCTGGGTCAAATGGTATTTCTAGTTCTAGATCCCTGAGGAATCGCCACACTGACTTCCACAATGGTTGAACTAGTTTACAGTCCCACCAACAGTGTAAAAGTGTTCCTATTTCTCCACATCCTCTCCAGCACCTGTTGTTTCCTGACGTTTTAATGATTGCCATTCTAACTGGTGTGAGATGATATCTCATTGTGGTTTTGATTTGCATTTCTCTGATGGCCAGTGATGTTGAGCATTTTTTCATGTGTTTTTTGGCTGCATAAATGTGTTCTTTTGAGAAGTGTCTGTTCATGTCCTTCACCCACTTTTTGATGGGGTTGTTTGTTTTTTTCTTGTAAATTTGTTTGAGTTCATTGTAGATTCTGGATATTAGCCCTTTGTCAGATGAGTAGGTTGCGAAAATGTTCTCCCATTTTCTGGGTTTCCTGTTCACTCTGATGGTAGTTCCTTTTGCTGTGCAGAAGCTCTTTAGTTTAATTAGATCCCATTTGTCAATTTTGGCTTTTGTTGCCATTGCTTTTTGTGTTTTAGACATGAAGTCCTTGCCCATGCCTATGTCCTGAATGGTAATGCTTCGGTTTTCTTCTAGAGTTTTTATGGTTTTAGGTCTAACGTTTAAGTCTTTAATCCATCTTGAATTGATTTTTGTATAAGGTGTAAGGAAGAGATCTAGTTTCAGCTTTCTACTATGGCTAGCCAGTTTTCCCAACATCATTTATTGAATAGGGAATCCTTTCCCCATCCCTTGTTTTTCTCAGGTTAGTCAAAGTTCAGATAGTTGTAGATATGCAGCATTATTTCTGAGGGCTCTGTTCTGTTCCATTGATCTATATCTCTGTTTTGGTACCAGTACCATTCTGTTTTGGTTACTGTAGCTTTGTAGTATAGTTTGAAGTCAGGTAGCGTGATGCCTCCAGCTTTGTTCTTTTGGCTTAGGATTGACTTGGTGATGTGGGCTCTTTTTTGGTTCCATATGAACTTTAAAGTAGATTTTTCCAATTCTTTGAAGAAAGTCATTGGTAGCTTTGTGGGGATGACATTGAATCTATAAATTCCTTTGGGCAGTATGGCCATTTTCACAATATTGATTCTTCCTACCCCTGAGCATGGAATGTTCTTCCATTTGTTTGTATCCTCTTAAATTTCATTGAGCAGCGGTTTGTAGTTCTCCTTGAAGAGGTCCTTCACATCCCTTGTAAGGTGGATTCCTAGGTATTTTTTTTTCTCTTTGAGGCAATTGTGAATGGGAGTTCACTCATGATTTGGCTCTCTGTTTGTGTGTTCTTGTTGTATAAGAATGCTTGTAATTTTTGTATATTGATTTTGTACCCTGAGACTTTGCTGAAGTTGCTTATCAGGTTAAGGAGATTTTGGACTGAGAAAATGGGGCTTTCTAGATATACAATCATGTCGTTTGCAAACAGGGACAATTTGACTTCCTGTTCACGTAATTGAATACCCTTTATTTCCTTCTCCTGCCTAATTGCCCTGGCCAGAACTTCCAACATTATGTTGAATAGGAGTGGTGAGAGAGGGCATCCCTGTCTTTTACCAGTTTTCAAAGGGAATGCTTCCAGTTTTTGCCCATGCAGTATGATATTGGCTGTGGGTTTGTCATAGAGAGCTCTTATTATTTTGAGATACGTCCCATCAACACCTAATTTATTGAGAATTTTTAGCATGAAACGTTGTTGAATTTTATCAAAGGCCTTTTCTGCATCAATTGAGATAATCATGTGGCTTTTGTCTTTGGTTCTGTTTATATGCTGGATTACATTTATTGATTTGCATATACTGAACCAGCCTTGCATCCCAGAGATGAAGCCCACTTGTTCATGGTGGATAAGCTTTTTGATGTGCTGCTGGATTCAGTTTGCCAGTATTTTACTGAGGATTTTTGAGGCACTCCCCATTAGGGGCAGACTGACACCACACACAGCCGGGTACTCCTCTGAGACAAAACTTCCAGAGGAATGATCAGACAGCAGCATTTGCGGTTCATGGAAAAGCGCTGTTCCACAGACACCGCTGCTGATACCCAGGCAAACAGTGTGTGGAGTGGACCTCTAGCAAACTCCAACAGACCTGCAGCTGAGGGTCCTGTCAGTTAGAAGGAAAACTAACAAACAGAAAGGACATTCACACCAAAAACCCATCTGTACATCACCATCATCAAAGATCAAAAGTAGATAAAACCACAAAGATCAGGAAAAAACAGAGCAGAAAAACTGGAAACTCTAAAACACAGAGCACCTCTCCTCCTACAAAGGATTGCAGTTCCTCACCAGCAATGGAACAAAGCTGGACAGAGAATGGCTTTGATGAGTTGAAAGAAGAAGGCATCAAAAGATCAAACTATCAGCTACAGGAGGAAATTCAAACCAAAGGCAAAGAAGTTAAAAACTTTGAAAAAAATTTAGACGAATGTATAACTAGAATAACCAACACAGAGAAGTTCTTTAAGGAGCTGATGGAGCTGAAGGCCAAGGCACAAGAACAATGTGAAAAATGCAGAAGCCTCAGGACCTGATGCGATCAACTGGAAGAAAAGGTATCAGCGATGGAAGATGAAATGAATGAAATGAAGTGAGAAGGGAAGATTAGAGAAAAAAGAATAAAAAGAAAAAAACACAGCCTCCAAGAAACATGAGACTATGTGAAAAGACCAAATCTACATCTAATTGTTGTACCTGAAAGTGACGGGGAGAATGGAACCAAGTTGGAAAACACTCTGCAGGAAGTTATGCAGGAGAACTTCCCAAATCTAGCAAGGCAGGCCAACATTCAGATTCAGAAAATACATAGAACACCACAAAGATACTCCTTGAGAAGAGCAATTCCAAGACAACTAATTGTCAGATTCACCAAAGTTGAAATGAAGGAAAAAATGTTAAGGGCAGCCAGAGAGAAAGGTTGGGTTACCCACAAAGGGAAGCCCATCAGACTAACAGCTGATCTCTCGGCAGAAACTCTACAAGCCAGAAGACAGTGGGGGCCAATATTCAACATGCTTAAAGAACAGAAGTTTCAAACCAGAATTTCATATCCAGCCAAACTAAGCTTCATAAGTGAAGGAGAAATAAAATATTTTACAGATAAGCAAATGCTGAGAGATTTTGTCACCACCAGGCCTGCCCTAAAAGAGCTCCTGAAGGAAGCACTAAACATGGAAAGGAACAACTGGTACCAGCCACTGCAAACTCATGCCAAAATGTAAAGACCATCGAGACTAGGAGGAAATTGCATCAACTAATGAGCAAAATAACCAGCTAACATCATAATGACAGGATCAAATTCACACATAACAATATTAAGTTTAAATGTAAATGGACTAAATGCTCCAATTAAAAGACACAGACTGGCAAGTTGGATAAAGAGTCAAGATCGATGGAGGAAGATCTACCAAGCAAATAGAAAACAAAAAAAGGCAGGGGTTGCAATCCTAGTCTCTGATAAAATAGACTTTAAACCAACAAAGATCAAAAAAGACAAAGAAGGGCATTACATAATGGTAAAGGGATCAATTCAACAAGAAGAGCTAACTATCCTAAATATACATGCACTCAATACAGGAGCACCCAGATTCATAAAGCAAGTCCTGAGTGACCTACAAAGAGACTTAGAATCCCACACATTAATAATGGGAGACTTTAACACCCCACTGTCAACATTAGACAGATCGAGACAGAAAGTCAAAAAGGATACCCAGGAATTGAACTCAGCTCTGCACCAAGAGGACCTAATAGACATCTACAGAACTCTCCACCCCAATTCAACAGAATATACATTTTTTTTAGCGCCACACCACACCTATTCCAAAATTGACCACATACTTGGAAGTAAAGCTCTCCTCAGCAGATGTAAAAGAACAGAAATTATAACAAACTATCTCTCAGACCACAGTGCAATCAAACTAGAACTCAAGATTAACTATCTCACTCAAAACTGCTCAACTACATGGAAACTGGACAACCTGCTCCTGAATGACTACTGGTTACATAACGAAATGAAGGCAGAAATAAAGATGTTCTTTGAAACCAATGAGAACAAAGACACAACATACCAGAATCTCTGGGACACATTCAAAGCAATATGTAGAGGGAAATTTATAGCACTAAATGCCCACAAGAGAAAGCAGAAAAGATCCAAAATTGACACCCTAACATCACAATTAAAAGAACTACAAAAGCAAGAGCAAACACATTCAAAAGTTAGCAGAAGACAAGAATTAACTAAAATCAGAGCCGAAGTGAAGGAAATAAGACACAAAAAACCCTTCAAAAAATTAATGAATCCAGGAGCTGGTTTTTTGAAAGGAACAACCAAATTGATAGACTGCTAGCAAGACTAATAAAGAAAAAAACAGAGAAGAATCAAATAGACGCAATAAAACATGATAAAGGGGATATCACCACCGATCCCACAGAAATACAAACTACCATCAGAGAATACTAAAAACACCTCTATGCAAATAAACTAGAAAATCTAGAAGTGGATAAATTCCTCGATACATACACACTCCCAAGACTAAACCCGGAAGAAGTTGAATCTCTGAATAGACCAATAACAGGAGCTGAAATTGTGTCAATAATCAATAGCTTATCAACGAAAAAGAGACCGGGACCAGATGGATTCACAGCTGAATTCTACCAGAGGTACAAGCAGGAACTGGTAATATTCCTTCTGAAACTATTCCAATCAGTAGAAAAAGAGGGAATCCTCCCTAACTCATTTTATGAGGCCAGCGTCATCCTGATAGAAAAGCTGGGCAGAGACACAACCAATAAAGAGAATTTTAGACCAATATCCTTGATGAACATTGATGCAAAAATCCTCAATAAAATACTAGCACTGTCTGTTATAAGAAACTTTGTGATAAAAATATTTTTATTGTAAGATCTGGAAAATTAGTCACAGTACTAAAATCTTTTTGACAAGTACTGTAAGATGTTCCCAGAATCTGGAGTTTGAACCAGGACATCTTTGGATTTCCATTAGGCTGTCTTGAACACACTGGAAAAATATGTACAAAATAGTGGCTGGGTTATAGAGGAACTGAGATGGAGTCAGAAAAACAGTTTTGTTTCTTATTGTTTGGAAATTCATAGGGAGTGTGAGAAAGTGGTTACCATAAAAAAGAAACAGTCCAGTGGAGAAGGCAACATTGTGGTGTATTGCCTTGGGTAAGAAAACCCTACCAAAAAAATAAACCTCAAAAGCCAAGCATAGTCTCTAATGCCTAGAATCCCAGCACTTCAAGCAGTTGATGGGGGAGAATTGCTTGAGGCCAGAAGTTTGAGACCACCTGCACAACATAGCAAGACTTCATCTCTGCAAAAACTAAAATAAAAAATTAGCTCAGCATTTTGACATGTGGCTGTATTTCCAGCTACTGAGGAGCCTTAGGTGTGAGGATTGTTTGAGCCCAGGATTTGGAGGCTGAAGTGAGCTAAAATGGTGCAACTGCACCCCAATCTGGAATAGAGTACAAAACCCTGTAAAGAGAGGACAGCCAAGATGGCCGAATAGGAAGAGCTCCAGTCTACAGCTCCTGGCATGAGCGATGCAGAAGATGGGTGATTTCTGCATTTCCATCTGAGGTACCAGGTGCATCTCACTAGAGAGTGCCAGACAGTGGGCACAGGACAGTGGGTGGAGTGCACCCTGTGCGAGCTGAAGCACGGTGAGGCATTGCCTCACTTGGGAAGTGCAAGGGGTCAGGGAGTGCCCTTTCCTAGTCAAAGAAAGGGGTGACAGATGGCACCTGGAAAATCGGGTCACTCCCACCCTAATACTGCACTTTTCTGATGGGCTTAAAAAACGGCTCACCAGGAGATTATAACCCGCACCTGGCTCGGAGGGTCCTACACCTATGGAGTCTCGATGATTGCTGGCACAGCAGTCTGAGATCAAACTGCAAGGTGGCAGCGATGCTGGGGGAGGGGTGCCTGCAATAGCCCAGGCTTGCTTAGGTAAACAAAGCAGCCAGGAAGCTCTAACTGGGTGGAGCCCACCACAGCTCAAGGAGGGCTGCCTGCCTCTGTAGGCTCCACCTCTGGGGACAAGGCACAGACAAACAAAAAGACAGCAGTAACCTCCGCAGACTTAAATGTCCCTGTCTGACAGTTTTGAAGAGAGGAGTGGTTCTCCCAACACACAGCTGGAGATCTGAGAATGGACAGGCCGCCTCCTAAAGTGGGTCGCTGACACCTGACCCCTGAGCAGCCTAAATGGGAGGCACCCCCCAGTAGGGGAAGACTGACACCTCACACGGCCAGTTACTCCTCTGAGACAAAACTTCCAGAGGAAGGATGAGACAGCAGCATTCACGGTTCATGAAAATACGCTGTTCTGCAGCCACTGCTGCTGATACCCAGGCAAACAGCGTCTGGAGTGGATCTCTAGCAAACTCCAACAGACCTGCAGCTGAGGGTGCTGTCTGTTAGAAGGAAAATTAACAAACAGAAAGGACATCCACACCAAAAACCCATCTGTACATCACCATCATCAAAGACCAAAAGTAGTTAAAACCAGAAAGATGGGGAAAAAACAGAGCAGAAAAACTGGAAACTCCAAAAAGCAGAGTGCCTCTCCTCCTAGAAAGGAACACAGTTCCTCAACAGCAATGGAACAAAGCTGGACGGAGAATGACTTTGATGAGTTGAGAGAAGAAGGCTTCAGATAATCAAACTACTCCGAGCTACAGGAGGAAATTCAAACCAAAGGCAAAGAAGTTAAAAACTTTGAAAACAATGTAGACGAATGTATAACTAGAATAATCAACATAGAGAAGTGCTTAAAGGAGCTGATGGAGCTGAAAGCCAAGGCCCAAGAACTATGTGAAGAATGCAAAAGCCTCAGGAGTCGTTGTGATCACCTGGAAGAAAGGGTATCAGTGATGGAAGATGAAATGAATGAAATGAAGTGAGAAGGGAAGTTTAAAGAAAAAAGAATATAAAGATACAAACAAAGGCTCCAAGAAATATGGCACTATGTGAAAAGACCAAATCTACATCTGATTGGTGTACCTAAAAGGGACAGGGAAAATGGAACCAAGTTGGAAAACACTCTGCAGGATATTATTCAGGAGAACTTCCCCAATCTAGCAAGGCAGGCCAACATTCATATTCAGGAAATATAGAGAACACCACAAAGATACTCCTTGAGAAGAGCAACTCCAAGACACGTAATTGTCAGATTCACCAAAGTTGAATTGAAGGAAAAAATGTTAAGGGCAGCCAGAGAGAAAGGTCAAGTTACCCACAAAGGGAAGCCCATCAGACTAACAATGGATCTCTCAGCAAAAACTCTACAAGCCAGAAGAGAGGGGGATGCAATATTCAACATTCTTGAAGAAAAGAATTTTCAAACCAGAATTTCATATCCAGCCAAATTAAGCTTCATAAGTGAAGGAGAAATAAAATACTTTACAGACAAGCAAATGCTGAGAGATTTTGTCACCATCAGGCCTGCCCTAAAAGAGCTACTGAAGGAAGCACTAAACATGGAAAGGAACAACTGGTACCAGCCATTGCAAAATTATGCCAAAATGTAAAGACCATCAAGACTAGGAAGAAACTGCATCAATTAATGAGCCAAATAACCAGCTAACATCATAATAACAGGATCAAATTCACACATAACAATATTAACTTTAAATGTAAATGGACTAAATGCTGCAATTAAAAGACACAGATTGGCAAATTGGATAAAGAGTCAAGACCCATCAGTGTGTTGTGTTCAGGAAACCCATCTCACATGCAGAGACACACACAGGCTCAAAATAAAAGGATGGAGGAAGATCTACAAAGCAAATGGAAAACAAAAAAAAGGCAAGGGTTGCAATCCTAGTCTCTGATAAAACAGACTTTAAACAAAGATCAAAAGAGACAAAGAAGGGCATTACATAATGGTAAAGGGATCAATTCAACAAGAAGAGCTAACTATCCTAAATATATATGCACCCAATACAGGAGCACCCAGATTCATAAAGCAAGTCCTGAGTGACCTACAAAGAGACTTAGAATCCCAAATAATAATAATGGGAGACTTTAACACCCCACTGTCAACATTAGATAGATCGAGACAGAAAGTCAACAAGGATACACAGTAATTGAACTCAGCTCTGCAGCAAGAGGACCTAATAGACATCTACAGAATTTTCCACCCCAAATCAACTGAATATACACTATTTTTCAGCACCACACCACACCTATTCCAAAATTGACCATATAGTTGGAAGTAAAGCACTCCTCAGCAAATGTAAAAGAAGAGAAATTATAACAAACAGTCTCTCAGATCACATTGAAAAAAAACTAGGACTCAGGATTAAGAAACTCACTCAAAACTGCTCAACTACATGGAAACTGAACAACCTGCTCCTGAATGACTACTGGGTACATAAGGAAATGAAGGCAGAAATAAAGATGTTCTTTGAAACCAATGAGAACAAAGACACAACATACCAGAATCTCTGGGACACATTCAAAGCAATATGTAGAGGGAAATTTATAGCACTAAATGCCCACAAGAGAAAGCAAAAAAGATCCAAAATTGACACCCTAACATCACAATTAAAAGAACTACAAAAGCAAGAGCAAACACATTCCAAAGTTAGCAGAAGGCAAGAAATAACTAAAATCAGAGCAGAACTGAAGAAAATAGAGAAACAAAAAACCCTTCAAAAATTAATGAAGCCAGGAGCTGCTCTTTTGAAAGTATCAATAAAATTGATAGACCACTAGCAAGACTAATAAAGAAAAAAAAAGGAAAAGAATCAAAGAGACACAATAAAAATGATAAGAGGGATATCACCACCAATGCCACAGAAATACAAACTACCAACAGATAATACTACAAACACCTTTATGCAAATAAACTAGAAAATCTAGAAGAAATGGATAAATTTCTCGAAACATACACCCTTCTGAGACTAAACCAGGAAGAAGTTGAATCTCTGAATAGACCAATAACAGGCTCTGAAATTGTGGCAATAATCCATAGCTTACCAACCAAAAAGAGTCTAGGACCAGATGGATTCACAGACGAATTCTACCAGAGGTACAAGGAGGAACTGGTAACATTCCTTCTGAAACTATTCCTATCAGTAGAAAAAGAAGGAATCCTCCCTAACTCATTTTATGAGGCCAGCATCATCCTGACACCAAAGCCAGGCAGAGACACAACAAAAAAAGAGAATTTTAGACCATTATCCTTGATGAACATTGATGCAAAAATCCTCAGTAAAATACTGGCAAACTGAATCCAGCAGCACATCAAAAAGCTTATCCTCCATGATCAAGTGGGCTTCATCCCTGGGATGCAAGACTTGTTCAATATACACAAATCATAAATGTAATCCAACATATAAACAGAACCAAAGACAAAAACCACATGATTATCTCAATAGATGCAGAAAAGGCCTTTGACAAAACTCAACAAACTTCATGCTAAAAACTCTCAATAAATTAGGTATTGATGGGACGTATCTCAAAATAATTAGAGCTATCTATGACAAAACCACAACCCATATCATACTGAATGGGCAAAAACTGGAAGCATTCCCTTTGAAAACTGGTACAAGACAGGGATGCCCTCTCTCACCACTCCTATTCAACATAGTGTTGGAAGTTCTGGCCAGGACAATTAGGCAGGAGAAGGAAATAAAGGGTATTCAATTAGGAAAAGAGGAAGTCAAATTGTCCCTGTTTGCAGATGACATGATGGTATATCTAGAAAACACCATTATCTCAGCCCAAAATCTCCTTAAGCTGATAAGCAACTTCAGCAAAGTCTCAGGATACAAAATCAATGTACAAAAATCACAAGCATTCTTATACACCAATAAGAGACAAACAGAGAGCCAAATCATGAGTGAACTCCCATTCACAATTGCTTGAAAGATAATAAAATATCTAGGAATCAAGCTTACAAGGGACGTGAAGGACCTCTTCAAGGAGAACTACAAACCACTGCTCAATGAAGTAAAAGAGGATACAAACAAATGGAAGAACATTCTATGTTTATGGGTAGGAAGAATCAATGTCAAGAAAATGGCCATACCAGCCAAGGTAATTTATAGATTCAATACCATCCCCATCAAGCTAACAATGACTTTCTTCACAGAATTGGAATAACTACTTTAAAGTTCATATGGAACCAAAAAAGAGCCCACATCACCAAGTCTATCCTAAGCCAAAAGAACAAAACTGGAGGCATCAAGCTACCTGACTTCAAACTATACTACAAGGCTACATTAACCAAAACAGAATGGTACTGATACCAAAACAGAGATATAGATCAATGGAACAGAACGGAGCCCTCAGAAATAATGCTGCATATCTACAACTATCTGATCTTTGACAAACCTGAGAAAAACAAGCAATGGGTAAAGATTCCCTATTTAATAAATGGAGCTCAGTAAAGGGGTTAGCCATATGTAGAAAGCTGAAACTGGATCCCTTCCTTACACCTTATACAAGAATTAATTCAAGATGGATTAAAGACTTAAACATTAGACCTAAAACCATAAACACCCTAGAAGAAAACCTAGGCATTACCATTCAGGACATAGGCATGGGCAAGGACTTCATGTCTAAAACACCAAAAACAATGGTAACAAAAGCGAAAATTGACAAATGGGATCCAATTAAACTCAAGAGCTTCTGCACAGCAAAAGAAACTACCATCAGCATGAACAGGCAAGCTACAAAATGGGAGAAAATTTTCACAACCTACTCATCTGACAAAGGGCTAATATCCAGAATCTACAATGAACTCAAACAAATTTACAAGAAAAAAACAAACAACCCCATCAAAAAGTGGGTGAAGGACATGAACAGACACTTCTCAAAAGAAGACATTTATGCAGCCAAAAAACACATGAAAAAATGTTCACCAACACTGGCCATCAGAGAAATGCAAATCAAATCCACAATGAGATACCATCGCACACCAGTTAGAGTGGCAATCATTAAAAAGTCAGGAAACAACAGGTGCTGGAGAGGATGTGGAGAAATAGGAACACTTTTATACTGTTGGTGGGACTGCAAACTAGTTCAACCATTGTGGAAGTCAGTGTGGCGATTCCTCAGGGATCTAGAACTAGAAATACCATTTGACCCAGCCATCCCATTACTGCGTATATACCCAAATGTTTATAAATCATGCTGCTATAAAGACACATGCACATGCATGTTTATTGTGGCACTATTCACAATAGCAAAGACTTGGAACCAACCCAAATGTCCAACAATGATAGACTGGATTAAGAAAATGTGGCATATATACACCATGGAATACTATGCAGCCATAAAAAATGATGAGTTCACGTCCTTTGTAGGGACATGGATGAAAAAATGTGGCATATATACACCATGGAATACTATGCAGCCATAAAAAATGATGAGTTCACGTCCTTTGTAGGGACATGGATGAAACTGGAAATTATCACTCTCAGTAAACTATGGCAAGAACAAAACACCAAACACTGCATATTCTCACTCATAGGTGGGAATTGAACATTGAGAACACATGGACACAGGAAGGGGAACATCACACACTGGGGATTGTTGTGGGGAGCGGGGAGGCGGGAGGGATAGAATTAGGAGATATACCTAATGCTAAATGATGAGTTAATGGGTGCAGCACACTCGCATGGCACATGTATACCTACGTAACTAACCTGCAGATTGTGCACATGTACCCTAAAACTTAAAGTATAATAATAATAATAACAAAATAAAAAAAAATAAAATAAATAAAATAAAAGGAGATATACCTAATGCTAAATGACGAGTTAATGGGTGCAGCACACCAGCATGGCACATGTATACGTATGTAACTAACTTGCACATTATGCACATGTACTCTAAAATTTAAAGTATAATAATAGTAAAATTTAAAACAAACCCTGTAAAGAAATAAGGACAGAGAAGAAACAAAAATGGAAGGAGGAAGAGAGGAAAGAAAGAAAGAAGGAAGGAAGGAAGGATGGAAGGAACGAAGGAAGGAAGGAAGGAAGAAAGAAAGAGAAAGAAAAGGAAGGAAAGAAAGAACGAAAGAAAGAAAGAAAGAAAGAAAGAAGAAAGAAAGGAAAGAAAGAAAGAAAGAAAGAGGGAGGGAGAGATGGAGGGAGTGTGGGAAAGAAACAAGGAAGGCAGGAAGGAAGGCAGGAGGGAGGGAAGGAAGGAAAGAAGGGAGGGAGGGAGAAAGGAAGGAAGGAAGGAATGAAGGAAAGAAGGAAGGAAAGGAAATAAGGAAGGAAGGAGAAAGAGACAGAAAGAGAAAGGAGGGAAAGGAAGAAGAAAGAGAAAGAAAGAAAGAAAGAAAGAGAAAGAAAGAAAGAAAAAAAAAGAGAAAGAGAGAGCAGAAAGAAAGAAAAGCAGAAAGAAAGAGAAAAAGAGAAGAAATAAATCTCAAAAGGAGAAAACCAGTGTAATAAATAAATAGACTCAAAATATTTTGCCTTCACCACACACTATAATTTCTTGGTAGTACTCTCCATTGGCCCAATTTATGTAAAATCCAGTTAGCTAACGGATCAAATCCATACAGGACACCATCCCTGGGCAGTCAAGCTGAATTTCTTATGAGAATTGTTTCTTCATGTTCGAATGAAAATTCCCAGCACTATGTGCCCTCTGCGCTCATCAACATTTCTCCTCATCCACCATCTGGGATGGTATTCTATGTCCAATGTCCCCTCAATCATTGTGTCATTGAGGGTGGATTCCGATTTCAGTGAACTCCACATGAAATCTCACATGTCAACCACTCAACTCTTGACATACAAGAGAAAAGGTGGAGTAGGAGAAATAAGTAATATTGGGAAAGTCATTGCTGCATTAGACAGAATGTCTGTGCCTACCAAAACACACATGCTAAACTGCCACCCCCAAGGTGATGGTGTTAGGAGGTGGGGCCTTGAAATCATGGTCCCATGGAAGGCAATGAAGTTATGAGTATGGAGCATCATGAATGAGTACCTTATAAATGTGACCCAGAAAGCTCCCTGGCCTCTTCCACCATGTTAGGACACAGTGAGAAGGCACCATTTATCAATCAGGAAACAGGTTCTCACCAGGCATTGAATCTACCATGACTTGATCTTAGACTTTCAGCCTCCAGAGATGTGAGCAATAAAATTCTGCTGTTTACAAACCACCAGTCTATTGTTTTTTAAAAATAATAACTTGAACAAACTAAGACAGTTACAGACTGCAGCTCTGACACTGGTCACATGACCCAAGTGACAATTATATCTGACTTTTTTCATCCTGGTTTTCTGTTCCTCTCCCCAGCTGCCAGCAGACTAACTGGATGGTGCAAGTCAAACCCAGTAGAATTTGGCTTTTTATTCTTTTCTTTTTCTTTTTCTTTTTCTTTTTGAGATAGAGTCTGGCTCTGTCACCCAGGCTGGAGTGCAGTGGCATGCTCTTGGCTCACTGCAACCTCCACCTCCTCAGTTCAAGTGATGCTCCCTCCCTCAGACTCCCAAGTAGCTGGGATTACACGTGCATGCCACTAAACCCAGCTAATTTTTGTATTTTTGTAAAGATGAATTTCACCATGTTGACAAGGCTGGTCTTGAACTCCTGACCTCAAGTGATCTGCCTGCCTTGGCTTCCCAAAGTGCTGGGATTATATGCCTGAGCCAAAATGCCTGGCTACTTTTTATTATTTTCTAAATGTTTCCATTTTCATCCTCTTGTCAATGAGATGTGAACTAACTTGCTTATGGTTCTGCAATCCTGGCCAAGATTCTGCAGGAGAAAGAACACCTGATTTTAAAGAAGCTTTCACTATTGGCTTCCATCACATTGTTTGCCTAATCAAAAGTTGTAGGTGTCTCACCCCAGTTAAAATGGCTTATACCCAAAAGACAGGCAATAGCAAATGCTGGCAAGGATGTGGAGAAAAGAGAACTTTTATACCCTGTTGATGGGAATGAATGTAAATTACTACATTAGTATATTAAAAGTTCCAAAAAAACTAAAAATTTTCTGAGGAAGCTAAGATTTGAAAGCAACCAAGTTCCCATGAGCAGATAAATTGATAAAGAAAATGTGGTACATAAACACAATGGAGTATTATCTAACCAAACAAAAAGAATGAGATCTTATCATTTACAACAACATGGCTGAGACTGGAGATCATTATAAGTGAAATAGGCCAGGCACAGAAAGAAAATCATTATATTTTCTCACTTATTTGTGGAATCTAAAAATCAAAACAATTGAATTCATAGACATAGAGAGTAGAGAGATAGTTACCAGAGGCTAGGAAAGGTAGGCGGTGTGTTTGGGGCATGGAGGTGGAATGGATAACGGGAACAAAAAATAGAAAGGATGACCATGACTTACTATTGAACTGTTTGCAACTCAATGGATTAATGCTTCAGTGAATGGATACCCCAGTCTTCATGATGTGCTTATTGTATGCCTGTATCAAAACATCTTATGTACCCTATAAATATGTAAACTTACTATGTACCCAGGAAAATTAAAAAAAAATTTAAATTAAAAATTTGTAGGTGATCCTGGACCCTGGCAATGTCAGTGGCTGTTTCCTATGAGGAGGTGGGAAAGAACTGCATAGATTTCAGATTTCATGAAATATTGGTCATGCTATTCTTTTAATACATCTCAGTTAGTAAAGCAAGTATGTGTGAGTTTTTCTGAAAATGCCCTTAAAGAGGCTCTTGAGTTCTTTGCAGAAAAGCCATAGAAATGAAATAAATGAAGACAAGTTCAGGGTAGGCTATTAGGAAAACTAAATGCACAATTTCCTTTTATGTACTAGAACATATAGATTTTTTCTTAGTAAGGTAAACTTCACATAACATGAACATTATTAGATGTTTTCAAGTGTACAGTTCAGTGACCTTTAGTATATTCAAAATGTGTTGCAACTATCATGTCAGTATAGGTATGAAAAATTTATTCCCAAAGCAACACCATTCCTATTAAGCAGTCACTTCTCATTCCCACACCATCCAGACACTGTTGTGTGTGTGTGTGTATGTGTACGTGTGTAAGATTATATTGCCACATAGGAATAAAAAATCATTCCACTCATCTTGCTTTATTTTCAAATGGCTGACTCTGGTAACAATATTGTTGTTGGTATTTTTAAATCTTATTTTATATTGCTTCATTTTTAATTGGTAAAAACAAAACATATACATTTATTGGGTGTAATGTGATGATATGATATGTGTATACACTTTGGAATGATTGAATCAAGACAATTAGCATTTCCATCACTTTATATACTTATGTCCCAGTGGTAAGAATGTTTATAATCTCTTTTAACAATTTTGAAATACACAATGCATCATTATTCACCATTGTCACAATACTGTGCAGTGGATCACCAAAAGTTATTCCGCTTCTGTAACTTAAACTTTGTATGCTTTGAGCAACATGTCCCCCTCTCCCAATCCACTCCCTCTCCCAGCCCCTGGCAACCACCATTCTACTCTCTACTTCTATGCATTGAACGTTTTTTTTTTTTTTTTTTTTTTTTTTTTTTTTTTGAGACGGAGTCTCGCTCTGTCGCCCAGGCTGGAGTGCAGTGGCGGGATCTCAGCTCACTGCAAGCTCCGCCTCCCGGGTTCACGCCATTCTCCTGCCTCAGCCTCCCAAGTAGCTGGGACTACAGGCGCCCGCCACTACGCCCGGCTAATTTTTTGTATTTTTAGTAGAGACGGGGTTTCACCGTTTTAGCCGGGATGGTCTCGATCTCCTGACCTCGTGATCCGCCCGCCTCGGCCTCCCAAAGTGCTGGGATTACAGGCGTGAGCCACCTGCATTGAACTTTTTTAGCCTTCACATATAAGTAAGTTCATGCAATATTTGTCTTTACTTATCTGGCTTATTTCACTTAAAAGAATGCCCTCCAGGTTTACCCATGTTGTTGCGAATGACAGGATTCCTTCTTTAAGGCTGAATGATAGCATTATTCACAATGGTAAAGACATGGAATCAACCTGCATTTATCAACAGATGAAGGATAAAGAAAATGTTGTATATATATACACAATAGAAGGTCATTGTTATTTTAATATTTTTATATAAACTGTTTTATTATAAATAGTACCAAGTACATACAAAAAGAAAAAAGAAAAAGGAGGGAAACTCCATACATCTGTCATGGAGGTCACATAATAAACACTTCCCAAACTTTTTTGCCCTTTATACCTCTATTTCTATTTTATTTGTTGTCTTTTACAGCCAATTCCAGAAACTACACCTTCTCACCTATAATCCTTTCAACACTGATCTCTTACAGATATGAATTTTATAAATAAACTTGTATAAATAAACTCACACCTGCAGTGAGTTCGATAGTGACCCCCAAAGATATGTTCAGTTGGAATCTATGACTATGACCTTATTTAGGAAAAGAGCCTTCAAAATGGAAGTTAAGGATATGAAGATGAAATCATCCTAGATTATCTAGAAGGGTCCTAAATCTAATGACAGGTGTCTTTGTAAGACACAGAAGAGGAGATACAGACACACAGGAGAAGGCCACATGGAGACAAAGGCAGAGATCAGAGTGATGTGTCCACAAAGTAAGAAACACCTAGCCAATAGTACCTCCCAGGAGGCAGGAGACCAAGATTCCCTCTGTATCTCCACAAGGAACCAACCTTGCTCACACCTCGATTTCACACCCTGGCCTCCAGAACTGGACCTAATGCCTCCAAGTGATGAACCATGGGAGATAAATTACTCAATGTTTTCACATATCACATTTTAATTTTGTACTCCACACCATGTGTCTGATAGTACCATAAATAGCTTATTTGAAGGTCACTATGCACTGTTTAATGTATTAAAAGTAAAACTACAGTTAGGACTAAATGCTTTTAAACTTTGTAGGAAAAAAATCTTTTAAAAAATTAGTTAAAATTTCCTTCGGCTGCTCAAAAACATATTTCAGCACCTTTGAATTTTTGATATCAACATTTATACTGAATATAAATGTGATTTTGTTTTCAGTTTATACTGAATATAAATTTATACTGAATATAAATGTGATTTTTAAAATCATACATTTATTAAAATGAGATTTCTTTGGGATGTAGTGTCAAAAAGATATTTTAAAACTCATGTCATGGAGTTTTACTATTCAATTAAATCTTCAATACTAATATACCCATATATTGTGTTAATAAGAATTAAGGATAACCATGACAATTAATTATGAGCTTGTGGGTGGGTAACGTGTTTTTTTAAGTGGCATGCACCGATAATGAATATTTGAAATATTTCAACTGGATTACTTCCCTGAAACTAGAAGAAGCAGAGATAGTCATGCATTTAAGTAAATTTTAAAAGTGTAGGTGATTTTTGAGTAGAAATTCATTAACCCATTCCTCCAGATTTAACAGGTTTTGATTAGATTTAGTTTAAACATAGTTTGTTTAATTTAAACAAATTGAGATTGAGTAATGTGAAACAATTGTGCAACTTCATTTTCCAAGCTGATCCTGAACCCTGGTTTCTATCAAGAGTAGCAATCATAAAGAACAATATTTTATATGCACAAAGCAAGGGATAACTGAAAGTTAGGGGTTCAACTATAATAGAAGTAAATACCTGTACACGGTCCTTCATTTTTAACCTATTGCATATTAGGGCAAGTCTTCTTTCTTGGGATTTCCTAACTACTGTTTTATTTTTAATACATTAAAAAGTGCATTGTGACCTTCCTTCTTGGTATGCTCACATTTTTCTAGTGAACGATGCTATGAGTTTCCAAGGGATCACTGGCTGGCTGTGGCATTTCTCCTTTTGTCCAGATCTACACTTAAAATGGGTATCTTCTAATTCCATAAATCCATGTGGGTATGGACTTTAGTTTTATGAAAATATCATGATGATGTGTCAACCCTACTTCCTTTAGCTTGACTCTTTGTTACCAAGAAAACCAACCAGGTCCATTATTATAGTTGTCTTTATTAGAGTAAAACTAACCCAGTCTGAAAGGAGCCCATCAACAGCTTCAGCTTGCAGTAAAGAAGTTAAGAATATATTTTAAGAAAATTTGGCCAAATCCTTTGGCCAAACTATCTAATCTGTATGATGACTCTCCCCACCTGTGTGTCCCTAGGGACTTTTTTCAGTAACAACATAAAATGCAATGAGAGGGACATTTTACATTCTTATAGGTTAACATGTTTAACATCTTAATTTATCAATAGATAAATATCCTGGTTTCCAGTAGCTTCAGGGAAAACAAACATTTGAAACATTTCAAATATTCATTTTTTCATGTGAAATACCATACCCATTGTTGTGTCACTAACACATTGTGTCTCAGTTCGATAAAAGAGAAAAGCAATATTGTCTCATTATTGCTTTCTCCCATTCCTTCACTTGTTGCATTTGCATATTTCCATGCATCCTGCACATGTGCCACAGCACAGCATGTTTTAATTCAATAGAGTCTTCCTTACCTAAATAATTTACTAAAATTTCAAATCTCACACATGACACATTTTAGAACCAAAAGTTCCAAACAGGAGAAATGTTTAATTCATAAATATTTGTTGCATTCTGTAATTCTTCCATGATCCATTATCTGAACATTAAATTTAAGAAAGCATCTAAATTCTAAAGTACCATGAAATTCTGAAATACCAGGAATACTCATGCACATATTATTTTCAGTGGATCTTAAAAATATTAATAATTCAGCATTTTTTGAACGCATAGCAACTCTGATTCAGACAAGATAAAATGTTTTGAACTCATGTGTTTAGAGAAAACAGGAGGGAAACATCAGCCTCAGTTGAAAGCCAATGTGACATTATCTCTGATTTATAGTTACCAGATGCAAAGATAACTGGGGAAAACTATTTTTTTTTTTGCCTCACTACAGACTTAAGTAATTATACAAACCAGAACTAGTAAGGCACTCACTTTATTAAACCTTTTATTCTTAAGCTTGGGATTTATGGCAGCTGACTTTTCATAGTTGTTATCTGTGGAACACAGAGAGGATGAGATACAATTCCTACCTCATGGAATGGCTGTGAGAATTACACAAGGGAAAATCTGTGAGCCCACAGAAATATCTGCTGTCATGTTTTATTTTATAATTTATCCATTTTATGTTTCTGTCTGCTCATTGGAGACATACGAACACAATTATTTTTCTGATACTGGTTAATTGGCTTACCCATATTGAATATCAACATCATTCCTATAATATTGCAGGAAGGCTGTCATCTGTAGAAATCTACTGATGAACATTCTGGAATTTACATATTTTATGTAGTACTTTATCATGGCTACAAAAAGCAGTAGTGCTGTAGAAAACTTACAGTTTTGTAGACTTCCTAAAACTTCTGAAAATATGTAATTAAAATGGATGAATTGTAAGATTTGCAAATATTACTTATTAAAGATGTTTAAAGAACACTGATATTTGTCCTATTGCTCTACCTTCTCTTGCTGCCCATCCCCCAACAGGCCCTGGTGTGTGATGTTTCCCTCCCTGTGTCCATGTGTTCTCATTGTTTAACTCTCGCTTGTGAGAGAGAATACCTAATGCATGCGGGGTTTAAAATCTAGATGATGGGTTGATAGGTGCAGCAAACTACCATGGCACGTGTAACAAAAATGCATGTTCTGCACATGTATCCCAGAACTTAAAGTAAAATAAAAAAAAGAAAATGTGATATAACTTTTTACTCTGCCATTTGCTTGTTTTATGGTTTATTGTATATGAAACAATAAACCTTATAATTTCCTCATAAAAAAAGAACACAGATTTTATTTTACAGCAAACTGGAGTACAGCTTTACACATACCAAGAATGCTAAAGAATAGGCTAGACATTACATTTTTTATTTAAAAGTAACCCCTCCTTTTTACAACTGATTAAGGGATTGGTTACCTTCTCTAAATCATTTTCAGCCAAGGAAGCAGATGGTGTCTTTGCCTTATCTATAAGAGTTTCTTCTGCTGTTGTCTATAAGCTGCTAAATTTCTTTTAGGAAATCTTCCTTGCCTTGTCTCATGGTGACATGTTCTGGGATGTCATATTTATAGAAATGACAATTAAAACCAGTTTTGTAAAACTCTTCCTTTCTACTCATCTTAAGTACTATGTCTTCATTAGCATTGTTTCCTCAGAGCTTTGCATTATCCAATATGTCACATAAAATTTTGACCATTTTATCCTTATTATTGTAGGAATGAAACAATATCTCAAAGAGAAAAGAAAATGTGTGTCTCTTTAGAATTACATACATAGTAAAAGTATTCTTCAGAAGGAAATTCTAAAGAAGAGAGTGGAGAAAGAAAAAAATAGGGAATTTTAAAACAATACAGAGAATCATTGAACATGAAGTTTGGATGATTGAAAAAACAAAAGGGTAAACACTCTTTAGCTCTCCTGACCAAAGAAAAAGTATTAGTGGAGGCATCTTCTGAGAAACAGACAAACCAGTGTTTCATAAATGAAAAACGATCGAGTTAGAATTCTATTTTGTAGTTTTTAATTTGCTGGGGAGGAGTGTGAACAATGAATATTTGTAGTAGGAAAGGTGTCAATGCATGGAACACCCCAGAAAAGTTTGAACCCTTTAAAAATACATCATTAGGATAAGTGGCCTGAGGGCAAGGGATATTACATACAAATACAGTCAGTGATCTCATAGTTGCATTTGCAATGCTTGATATTGAAGTTTTTTCTGTAATTTATGTTGAAGAGAAATATGCGGACTTAGGTAACTGTTGGTCCATAATTTTTGAGGAGGTTTGTCAATGCATTAAGCCAACCAGGTATGGATTATGCCCGTATTTACTTGAAAATAAATTATTATTAATATTAGGTGCAGGACTCTCTTTTACTAAATTTATAGTATCATTTAATTTCATACCTTCTTGATTTCACATTGCCCTTTCCAAAAGCACTATCATTTCTGAAACTTAATTGCACAGAAAGTAAGTCCAATAGATGTCAGAAAATAACACTCAAAAAGTTCTGTGACCCCCATAAGCTCACTAAAAATTTAATAACACAAATATATTTGAATTTCCCAAATATTAAAAAGAGAAGGATGGGTGGATCTACTGAATAATAATGTATCTAGGGAAAGAAGAATGGTTCAAAATGAACCCTGTCCTAATTTTCATCAAAAGTTTTATGTTTTAAGATTTTCTTTCTTTGAAGAAGAAATCTATCTCCGCATAAGAAGCTATATATCTTGCTTTTTATTAATCCCATTATACCATGCCTGTGAAGACAAAATAAGTCTTAGACCAAAAGGGGGCATATGAAAGAGAAACAGCATAGTTTATTTTCATGCTTTATTTCTCTAGAAATGAGCTCTGCAGATGCCTTTGGTTCATCTCAAAATATAAATCCAAAGAAATATATCACTTTAATGTAACTGTGGCTTCTATTCTGAATTTTTTTCCCTAAAACTTGGGGCAGAAATCAGCAATTATCTGAACTGTCAAGGCTTTGCCTGTTTGTTCTTTTAAGTTAGAAATCTTCACTTTGAATGCATGGTTATAAAAAAAAGAAGATTCCCCTGGCTCCTCCTTCCTGTTTTATTTTTAATTATTTTAGTGAAACCATCTATGGCAGGTGATTGATTAAAAAAACCGTGTAGATGCTTTTTCCCTACTAGGTTCTTATTAATTCTCAGTAAAATGTTGATCTCTTCTTGAATTCCTGAGATATTTATGCTTTTTGAAAACATCTAAATTGATGTGTTCCATTTATATTCTGTGCAGAATTATTTCTTGTATGCTTAATTCTTTGTCCCTAAAACATTCAGACTTTCATTTCCCACTTTACACTTTACATAGAAAAATGTGTAATCTGCCTTTAATGGAATTCAGTAACAGTAGCCTAAATCAATTTGAATCCATTGCAAAATTTAGTTTCTAAGATTGTTTTATGTCCATCTACCATTTCTGAATTGAGAACACATCATAGTTTACAGAATAAATATATATGACAAGAAGTACATTGTATCTATTACTTGCTCATAATGTTTATATTCATATTGTTGTTGTGCTGGTATTTAATAGTCTCACACACACACACACACACTATATATATATATATATATATATATATAAATATATATATATATATATAAATATATATATATATATATAAATATATATATATATATATATATAAATATATATATATATACCTGATTAAGTGAATTTATTTCAAATAATGTCCCTTTCTGACATTTAGACATTAAATTGATACACACTATACAATTGTTTTATTTCAAGTCAATTGATAAAGCAAGCCTTCAGATAATTCATGTCTTTCTGCATCTTGTGAAAATGAAGAATACATTAAAGTTGTATATGAAATTAAAGAAGTTCCATCTAAAGAAAGAATGCAATATTTATAACCATTACTGGGGAACAAAATGTACTGGATATCATTTTAAAACAGCTAGTGACATGTTGCAAATGTAAATACTAGTAAGATGCTCTTTTGTTAGGTGCTAAATTGAATCTTCAAAACTCATATAGGGAGATATATTACAAGACTGTTTTTCCATCTTTTTGAAGAAAAATTCCGAACATTGTCTATGGTGCAACAATTTTGCTGCTACACAAAGTAAATTACATGTTTTCTTTTCTTTTGTTTCCTTGCAAATTAAATTCTCATAATTTTACTCCAGTGGAAGCAAATTCATACAGGTTCAGGCAAATGTTATTAGCACCACAGGCTCCATAAGAAAAACTTGAATTTGCTTTCTAATTTCTCCATTTTATTGTTTTATTTCACTGAAATTCCAGCTGAATTGGGAACTCTTTTCCCTGTATGACTCACCTCTTCAGGATATTTTCTTCTGTGCAGAACAGAAAAGTGCGCTTCTTTACGGTGTGTATTAATCCATTTTTTCCTGGATACTTCTTAAGGGCATGTAACAAAAGGAACCCCTGATAGACACCTATTATGTGCACATAAAAAATTAAATAATTAAAAATTAAAGAAACCTGTGTTAATATTCAGTTGGTTTATTATTTTATCACTGCTACATTCACTTTAAACCAAAGCTGGGAACTTACAGATACAAATATCAATTTGACAATATTTGATTCCCTTGAATGTAAGTTTCACTCTGTTTTCTAAATTATAAAACACACAAGAAAATCAATCTCACATAACACAAACACATACACACAACTAAACAAAATACACACATAAAGCTCTCAATCTTGTAAATAATTTTACTGTATGGAAAGAAAAATGCCTAAATACAGAGTGCATCAGTAAGCATAAAGAAGTTAAATATAATGGCAGATTTAATATAGACTTATTTATATCAACTGTGTCAGAATAATAAACCATCCTATGGGGGAGTAAGTGTGGATCTATTTTCAGAAATATAGGATATTAGATATGCCGGTGTGATATTGTAGTTACAGAAACTTTATTAGTAAAATCTTCAAATACAACTCTCATTTTATTCACTTAGATAGATGGCCTTACTCAGGGCATTGTGTGGATTGAGCCTCAAAGCTGCTGACACTGGACTGGGTTTTGTTATTATTCACCAAGGACAGTGGAGCACAGAATGATAAGGGAGAAAACGCACCTGGAGCCTCTCTTCCAAGTAAAGGGGCTAAGTCATATACATCTTTCCACCGTAGCATCAACAACTAGAGCACCTTGTACAAATTTCTTTTTCCTGTTTCACTACCTTTTTGCCTGCCATATTGGTCATGCCTGTACATTGGCCATATGGTTGCCATGGTTTCTTGCTTCTTTCTTTCCAATGACCAAGACGTGCTTCTTTCTTTCTTTCTCTCTTTCTTTCTCTTTTCTCTTTTCTTCCTTTCTTTCTTTCTTTCTTTCTTTCTTTCTTTCTTTCTTTCTTTCTTTCTTTCTTTCTTTTTATTATACTTTAAGTTTTAGGGTACATGTGAACAATTTGCAGGTTCGTTACATATGTATACATGTGCCATGTTGGTGTGCTGCACCCATTAACTCGTCATTTAACATTAGGTATATCTCCGAATGCTCTCCCTCCCCCCTCCCCTCTTCCCACAACAGGCTCCAGTGTGTGATGTTCCCCTTCCTGTGTCCATGTGTTCTCATTGTTCAATTCCCACCTATGAGTGAGAACATGCGGTGTTTGGTTTTTTGTCCTTGCAATAGTTTGCTGGGAATGATGGTTTCCAGCTTCATCCATGTCCCTACAAAGGACATGACTCATCCTTTTTTATGGCTGCATAGTATTCCATGCTGCATATGTGCCACATTTTCTTAATCCAGTCTATCATTGTTGGACATTTGGGTTGCTTCCCAGTCTTTGCTATTGTGAATAGTGCTGCAATAAACATACGTGTGCATGTGTCTTTATAGAAGCATGTTTTATAATCCTTTGGATATATACCCAGTAATGGGATGGCTAAGTCAAATGGTATTTCTAGTTCTAGATCCCCGAGGAATCTCCACACTGACTTCCACAATAGTTGAACTAGTTTACAGTCCCACCAACAGTGTAAAAGTGTTCCTGTTTCTCCATATCCTCTGCAGCACCTGTTGTTTCCTGACTTTTTAATGATCGCCATTCTAACTGGTGTGAGATAGTATCTCATTGTTGTTTTGATTTGCATTTCTCTGATGGCCAATGATGATGAGCATTTTCTCATATGTCTTTTGGCTGCATGAATGTCTTCCTTTGACAGGTGTCTGTTCATATCCTTTGCCCACTTTTTGAATGGGTTGTTTGTTTTTTTCTTGTAAATTTGTTTGGGTTCATTGTACATTCTGGATATTAGCCCTTTGTCAGATGAGTAGATTACAAAAATTTTCTCCCGTTCTGTAGGTTGCCGTTCACTCTGATGGTAGTTTGATTTGCTGTGCAGAAGCTCTTTAGTTTAATTAGATCCCATTTGTCAATTTTGGCTTTTGTTGCCATTTCTTTTGGTGTTTTAGACATGAAGTCCTTGTCCATGCCTATGTCCTAAATGGTATTGCCTAGGTTTTCTTCTAGGGCTTTTAAGGTTTCAGGTCTAACATTTAAGTCTTTAATCCATCTTGAATATATTTTTGTATAAGGTGAAAGGAAGGGATCCAGTTTCAACTTTCTCATATGGCTAGCCAGTTTTCCCAGCATCATTTATTAAATAAGGAAGGAATCCTTTCCCCATTTCTTGTTTTTGTCAGGTTTCTCAAAGATAAGATAGTTGTAGACATGCAGCATTATTTCTGAGGGCTCTGTTCTATTCCATTGGTCTATATCTCTGTTTTGGTACCAGTACCATTCTGTTTTGGTTACTGCCTTGTAGTATAGTTTGAAGTCAGGTAGCATGATGCCACCAGCTTTGTTCTTTTGGCTTGGGATTGACTTGGCAATGCGGGCTCTTTTTTGGTTCCATATGAACTTTAAAGTAGTTTTTCCAGTTCTGTGAAGAAAGTCATTGGTAGCTTCGTGGGGAAGGCATTGAATCTATAAATTACCTTGGGCACTATGGCCATTTTCACGATATCGATTCTTCCTACCCATGAGCATGGAATGATCTTCCATTTCTTTGTATCATCTTTTATTTCATTGAGCAGTGGTTTGTAGCTCTCCTTGAAGATACCCTTCATTTCCCTTGTAAGTTGGATTTCTAGGTATTTTATTCACTTTGAAGCAATTGTGAATGGGAGTTCACTCTTGATTTGGCCCTCTGTTTGTCTGTTTTTGGTGTATAAGAATGCTTTTGATTTTTGCACATTGATTTTGTATCCTGAGACTTTGCTGAAGTTTCCTATCAGCTTAAGGAGATTTTAGGCTGAGATGATGGGGTTTTCTAGATATACAATCATGTCATCTGCAAACAGGGACAATTTGATTCCTCTTTTCCTAATTGAATACCCTTGATTTCCTTCTCCTGCCTGATTGCCCTGGCCAGAACTTCCAACACTCTGTTGAATAGGAGTGGTGAGAGAGGGCATCCCTGTCTTGTGCCAGTTTTCAAAAGGAATGCTTCCAGTTTTTGCCCATTCAGCATGCTATTGGCTGTGGGTTTGTCATAGATAGCTCTTACTATTTTGAGATACATCCCATCAATACCTAATTTATTGAGAGTCAATACCTAGTTTATTGAGAGTTTTTAGCATGAAGAGTTCTTGAATTTTGTCAAAGGCCTTTTCTGCATCTATTGAAATAATCCTGTGGTTTCTGTCTTTGGTTCTGTTTATATGCTGGATTGCATTTATTGATTTGCATATGTTGAACCAGCCTTGCATACCAGGGATGAAGCCCACTTGATCATGGTGGATAAACTTTTTGATGTGCTGCTGGATTCGGTTTGCCAGTATTTTATTGAGGATTTTTGCATTGATGTTCATCAGGGATATTGGTCTAAAATTCTCTTTTTTATTGTGTCTCTGCCAGGCTTTGTATCAGTATGATGCTGGCCTCACAAAATGAGTTAGGGAGGATCTCCTCTTTTTCTATTGGTAGGAGTATTTTCAGAAGGAATGGTAGCAGCTCCTCCTTGTACCTCTGGTAGAATTCAGCTGTGAATCCATCTGGTCCTGAACTTTTTTTGATTGGTAAGTCTTTCTTTTCTTTTTCTTTTTTCTTTTTTTTTTTTTTTTTTTTGAGATTGAGTCTCACCCTGTCATCCAGGCTGGAGTGCAGTGGTGTGATCTCAGCTCACTGCAACCTCTGCTTCCTGGGCTCAAGCAATTCTCCTGTCTCAGCCTCTCAAGTAGCTGGGATTACAGGCATGTGCCACCATGTCCAGCTATTTTTTGTATTTTTAGTAGAAATGCGGTTTTACCATGCTGGGCAGGTTGGTCCTGAACTCCTGAGCTCAGGTGTTCTGCCGACCTCAGCCTCCCAAATTGTTAGGATTACAGGTGAGAGCGACTGCACCTCTTGAAGACTTGGTAATTTCTAAAGAAAAAAAGGGTTAAACAAACTCAGTTTTTCATTTCTGAGGAGGCCTGAGGAAACGTAAAACCATAGCAGAAGGGGAACACATGTCTTACTTACATGGTAGCAAGTGAGAGAAAGCGAGTTGTGAGGAGGAATTGTCTAGACACTTGTAAAACCATCACATCTCATGAGAACTCACTCACTATCATGAGAACAGCATGGGCCACACTGACCCCATGCTTTCATCACCTCACACCAGGTTTCCCCATCAACATGTGGAGATGATAAGCATTATGATTCAAGATGAGATTTAGGTGGGGACATAAAGCCTACCGATATCAGGCAAAAAACTGTACATTTTCAGAACAAACTCAGTAGTGCAGATGGAAGGCAAAAATGGGACTCAATGAATAGCATCAGAATCTGGAAGAGTCTTAGAAGACTTAAAGAAGGAAAATGTCATTATGTTTGGAATCACGTTCATTTCTTTCACTAATGTTTACAACATACAGGTCAAATTTTTTATTTTTTATTAAAAAAATTTTATTTTTTTATTTTAATTATTATGGGTACATAATTGTCATATATATATATATATATATATATATATATATATATATATATATGATACATGGGATTTTTTGACATAAACACACAATGTGTCAGGATTAAATTGGGGTAATTGTGGTATCCCTGAACCCAGAATTTACTATTTCTTTGTATTCAGAAAATTTTAAGTTCATTGTATTAGTGAGAGTTCTCTAGAAGAACATATATATGTGTATATATGTGTGTCTGTATATATATACACACACATATATATACACATATATACACATATGTGTGTATATATACATACATATGTGTGTATACATACATACATATGTGTATATACATACATATGTGTGTGTATATACATACATATATGTGTGTATATATACATACAAATATGTGTGTATATATGTGTATATATAGATATATAGATATCTATATAGATATATAGATATACACACACACATATATATATAGAGAGAGAGAGAAAGAGAGAGAGGCAAGTTTATTACCTCTTTACTCGCATGATCACAATGTCCCACAATAGGCCATCCCCAGGCTGAGGAGTGAGGAGAGCCAGTCCGAGCTCTAAAACTGAAGAACCTGGAGTCTGATGTTTGAGGGCAGGTAGTATCCACCACAGGAGAAAAATATAGGCTAGGAGGCTAGGCCAGTCTCTCTTTGCATTTTTCTGCCTGCTTACATTCTAGCCTCACTGGCAGTTGATTAGATGGAGCCTAGCCAGATTAAGGGTGGGTCTGACTTTCCCAGCCCACTGACTCAAATTTTAATCTCCTTTGGCAGCAACATCACAGAAACAGCCAGGATCAATAATTTGTATCCTTCCATCTAGTCAAGTTGATACTCAGAATTAACCATCACAAGTCTACCGTTTGTCAACTTGAACCCATACAAATCTCCTGAGATTATATATAATCTTTAAGCAAAGACAAGAATGTCATAATTACACCTAATATAATACAACTATATTTCATACAACCAGAAATGCATCAATCCCCAACCCAAATGTTATTACGTAAAGTTAACAATACTTAAATGGTGATGTGAAGTCAATAAATCTATGTCACAGGATAAAGGAGAAAGAAAATAAAATGAAGATATTTTAGTAGTACAAGTATATACATGCACAAACATGCTTTTAACAAAAGAAAAATACGCTCATGAAAATTACAGTCCTTATTTCTGCAGCTGGTCACGTGGTCGTGGCTGGTATTGATGAGTACCTCCTTCTATTACCAATTCTGTATTCCCTTTGCCTTCAGCAAGGACCTCAGCATGTTGTGTTCTTTTTTCCTGGTAGAGTGACTCAAACCTTCATTCCTGAAGTGTCTGTGTAATTTGTAGTTCTGCCTGTGTTGGGCTGTTGTAGTTTCCCATTGATCTTATTCACAGGGCATGGTAATGCTATGAGACACCCTAATAGGTCTCCTGTGTGCCATGGATACTCTTCCTTATCTCCATTGTAGAGTAGTAGACTGATTTCATCTTGATAGTCTGGGTCAATTACCCCGGCCACCACAGTATGTCCTGTCTTAGCCTGTTGACTTAAAGGTTGTAGGAGCCCAAAGTGTCCAGGTGGCAATCTTAACTTCCAGTTTAATGGAATTACTGTTGTGTCCCCTTTCAGGTCGTGGCAGCATTCCTCCCTCTGGAATAAAGACCTCGAGGCAAGCGGAATGTAATATCACGGGAACAGGAAGAAAAAATTTTGCTAGTGGGTCACTAGACGTGAAGGTGAATGATGACATTTCCACTTCCACCCCTTGATTCCTGGACCTGTGGATTCTGATTTTGGGAGAAAGAGTATCATATATTGGACACTGATTCAGAAGATACCCAGCCTTCTGAAGAACTTTGGCCCAGCCCTGCAAAGTATTCTCATCTATTTGACAATGTAATTGTGGCTTCAAAAGCCCATTCCAGAATTATATTAATCCAGCTGCTTCAGGATAATGGGGAACATGGTAAGACAAGTGAATTCCATGAGCATGAGCCGACTGTCACATGTCTATGCCATAAAGTGAATGCCTTGGTCAGAGGCCATGCTGTGTGGAATGCCGTGATAGAAGATAAAGCATTCATTGAGTCCATGGATGGTAGTCTTAGCAGAAGCATTGTGGGCCAACATATACCTGGGGTGAGTGTCTATTTCAGTGAGGACAAACTTCTGCCCTTTCTATGATGGAAGAAGTCCAATAAAATTAACCTGCCACCAGAGAACTAGCTGGTCACCCCGAGGAATTGTGCCATATCAAAGGCTCAGTGTTAGTCTCTTCTGCTAGCAAATTGGGCACACATCAGCAGCTATAGCCAGGTCAGCCTTGGGAGTCAATGTAAGTCTATGTTGTTAAGCCCATGCATAACCTCCATCCCTGCCACCATGGCCACTTTCTTCATGGACAATTGGGCAATGACAGGGGTGGCTGGGGAAAGAGGCTAAGTGGTGTCCACAGAACAGGT
The DNA here is from genome assembly GCF_000001405.40 of Homo sapiens. Lineage (NCBI taxonomy): Eukaryota > Metazoa > Chordata > Mammalia > Primates > Hominidae > Homo > Homo sapiens. The sequence goes on from NC_000024.10 coordinate 14,977,174, forward strand.
CATCCTATCCACTTGATTATTAAAATCCTCCTCTGTTGAGGTTACCCATTGCTGAGCTCTCACATGCAATACAAATAACTTCACAGTTTTTGACCACTCAGAGAGGTCCTTCCATATAGGTCTTCCCCAAGTTTCTTTGTCACCAGTTTTCCAATCATGCTTCTTCCAAGTACCTGACCATCCAGTCAAACCATTGGCTATAGCCCATGAATCAGTATATAATAGCACTGCAGGCCATTTCTCATTTTATGCAAAGTGCACAAACAGGGGCAATGCTCAAGGCTCTGCCCTCTGGAAAGATTTCTCTTCAACACTGTCCTTCAGTGATGCCCTGCAGCTGTCCACTTTCAGGTTTTGCCTGCATAACATGCAGCACCATCTACAAACCAGGCCTTCATCTTCTCTTCCTCTGTCAACTGATCATAGGGAACTCCCCATGAGGCCATCAGTGCAGGCAGGGGGAGACAAGGCAGGGAGGTAGGAGTGGAGACCATGGTGATTTGAGCCACTTCCTCATGTCACTTACTTGTGCATTGATGAGCTGTTTGAGCCTGACTATGTATATTCCACTTTCATTTGATGATAGAATGCTACTGTGCATGACTGATCCACTTTATGGCTACAAGGGTCAGAATGCACCCAGTTCATGATAGGGAGTTAAGGTCACATGGTGACTTGATCACCTATAGTCAAGTGTTCAATTTACACCAAATCCCAGTAATAGGCCAAAAGCCTTCTCTCAAAAGGAGAGTAGTTATCTGCAGACTATGACAAGGCCTTGCTCCAAAATCTGTGGAGCCTCTCTGATTAACCTACAGGGGCCTGCCAGAGATTCCAAGGAGGATACCTGTCTGCCACTGATATATAAAGCACCATTGGATCTGCTGGGTCGTATGGTCCAAGTGGGAGAGAAGCTTGTACATCAGCCTGGACTTATTGCAAAGTTTTCTCCTGTTCTGGACTACACTTAAAACTGGCAGCCTCTCAGGTCACTGGGTACATGTGTTGGAGTAACACACCCAAGTGGAAAAGTCTGTTGTCTCCAAAATCCATGTAGGATTTTGTAAATCCATGTAGGCTAAATCCATGTAGGCACTAGGCATTGTGCCTCTTTCTTGGTTGTAGAAGGGCCCAAAAGCAATTACTTATCTTTCACCTTAGAAGGAATATCTTGACAGTTCCCACACCACTGGACCCCTAGAAATTTTATTGAAATAGAAGTTCCCTGAATTTTAGTCAGATTTGTTTTCCATTCTCTGGCACACAAATATCTCACCAATAACTCAAGTATGTTTACTACTTCTTACTGGATTCAATCAGCATAATATCATCAATGTAATGGGCCAGTGTAAAATCTTGTGGAAGTGAAAACTGATCAAGGTATCGCCAAATAAGATCATGACACAAAGATGAAGAAGGCGAATTGACATGCCCCTGAGTTAGAACAGTAAAGACATATTGCTGGCCTTACCAGCTCAAGCAAATTGTTTCTAGTTGCCCTGATGGACAGAAATGGAGAAAAAGACATTTACCAAGTCAATGGCTGCATACTAGGTACCAGAAGATGTGTTTATTTGCTGAAGCAATGAAACCACATCTTGTAGAGCAGATGCAATTGGACTCATCACTTGGCTAAGCTTATGATAATCCGCTGTCATTCTTTAAGGTCCGTCTGTCATCTACACAAATGAGAGAGTTGAACAGGGAGGTGGTGGGAATCACCACCCCTCTGTCTTTCAAGTCCTTTATGGTGACACTAATTTTCACAATGCCTCCAGGGATGCGATTTTTTTTTTTTTTTTTTTTTTTTTTTTTGGTGTACTATTTTTCTAGGTAAAGACAGCTCTAATGGCTTCCATTTGGCTTTTCCCACCATGATACTCTTCACCCTGCCAGTCAGGAGGCCAATGTGGGGATTCTGCCACCTGCTAATTATGTCTATGCTAATTATGCATTCTGGCACTTGGCAAATGACCACAGGATGAGACTGAGGACCCATCAGATCTACTGCAAGTTGGACCTTAGATAAAACTCCATTAATTACATAACGTAAATACCCCCTACTTTAACTGGAGAACCACATTGTTGCTTTGGGTCCCCTGGAATCAACAACAGCTCAGAGCTAGCTTGCAGTAGTCTCTGAAATGTCTGATCATTTCCTTTTCCCCAATGGATGGTTACCCTGTTAAAAGGCTAGAGGTCTCCTTGGAGTAGGACGGGAGGAAAATTTACAGCCTACATTGTCAGTAATGTAATGGGGTCCTTCCTCAAGGGGACCTGGCCTCCCCTTTATTCAAGGGATTCTTGGTCTGTAAACTGGATCAAGACTGGAAATTGATGGAAGGGCTGTGATTCTCTGTTTTTATAATTCAAATGAGTCTTTTGTCCATTCGATCTAGAATTTTTCTGCTTATACAAGTTAAGTAGGAATCCAGTAATTCAGCTGTATCAAGCAGAGGAATCCAGTAATTCAGCTTCCTATCAATTTCACTTCAAGGAACACTGTGATTAATCAGCCAATGCCAGAGCTCTACCTGCATCAGACTATTCTAATTGCTGCTTTGCCTCTGCTGTCCATTACAGAAGCTTCACCCACCTTGCCTTTAATGATTGAGTGCTGCCACTTTCCCCTTACCACCGGAGGATTCAATTATTCCCATTGTATTTAAATGTTAAATTTAATTGTATTTAATTTTTAAGTTTTGTAGCTGAGTGACTGTGGTTCCCACTGTGAGATCTGTTACACAGAGAAAAGCAATTACAGGGCTCTTAAAAGATGCCGGTGCTATGCTCACAAATCTATTTCTCAAAGCATTGGTCAAGTGTATACCTTCTGAACTTTCCCAGCTGGGATGAGGAGGTCTAAAGTGAATAATTCACTCCGCCGTTCCAATCGCCCTGAACATTTTGATCTCTTCCCCTACACTAAATGAAGGGAGATCAGGCATTTCCAGCTCACACACGGTGGGCCATCTTGTAATTCATATTTCAGCTAACCAAGCAAATAAATTATTAGAACATTTTTTAACTCCCTGAGTTGAAACAGTAAATGCAGTGTCCCTACTTAGTGGGCACACATCAATAAATTCAGCCAAATCCAACTCTGCATCAGCCCTATCCAACTCTATCTTCCTTCCATTATCCCACACTCTTAATATCCATTCCTATGCCTGATCTCCAGATTTCTGTTTATATAAATTAGAAAACCTAAGCAGTTGTTTTTGATAGTAGGATCTCAACTTTATCTCTAGGGTTCTGCCAGGACTTTCATCTAGTTACAGGTCTAGAAGCAAACAGAGGTGTTGGGGGTGGTTCCTGGAGAAAATCAACATTCTCTTGCCTGGCAACTGCCTCAGGAGAAGCCATCATTGTTGCCTCAGGCAGTGCAGGGTTTATCTCCTTAGACAAATGTGGAAAGGCTGTCTGGAAAAAAAGATTCACCTGGGTTTGCAAACTCAGTGTCCCTAACTTCATCAGGGTCCTCCCACATGTCCCCATTCCAAGTTGAAGGGTCTCATTCTTTTCCAATCAATTCCCTCACTTTAACAACAGACACGTTGAAAGGGGTTGTGTGCACCTTTTGTTGCAGGTCAGCCATTTGCATAATAACAGCTTCTGTCTGTTTTTCCACAATTTCAACTCTTTCCCTATGGGAGATAAGACTCTCACACAGGTCAATCTTAGCAGACGTGGGGCTTAATATATACTTCTGAAGCTGGGAGATAGAATCCCCAAGTTCATCATTTTTTTTTTTTTGGCATTTTGTCCACTGAACTTAGGAGCAACCAATCAGCTTCGTTGTGTTCCTTGGTTCTCCACATGTGGTAAAAAGTATTATGTATAGAGTCACTAAACTCCGTCCCTCTCATGAGTGATGAATAAGTAGTGTCAAATGCATTTATTTTGCATAACTCTCAAAATAGTTCATGCCAAGGACTATCAGTGTTCTACATACAATTAGAAGTAGGGTCCTTAGAATTTTTGGGTCTAATTATATGAAGCAACCAACTGCAGAAACCCCCAAATCAACAAAAGAATTCCATTCTTAATATTCTGTTACTCTAGAACCATTCCTAGTACAAAAATCTGAATTAGTCAGAGTTATCTAAAGGAACAGAATTAATGAGAAATATATATATATATATAAAATGTATACATATATGTAATATATATATAGACACACACACAGTGGAACTCTGTGTTTGTGTATATACACACATATATCTGTATATATTTGTACATATATATGTGTATATATATATATACACACAGACACACATAATGGAACTATACACGCACACACATATATATATATACACACACATATATGTAGAAAAAGAGAGAGGTAAAGATATTATTATAGATAGTTTATTAACTATTAACTCATATTTTATTACGTATTAACTCACATGATCATAAGGTCCCACAATAGGCCACCTGCAGGTTATGGAGCAAGAAGAGCCAGTCTCAGTTCCAAAACTGAAGAAATTGAAGTCCAGTGTTTGAGGACAGGAAGTATCCAGTGTGAGAGAAAGATGTAGGCTGGGAGGTTAGGCCAGTCTCTCTTTTTAAAATTTTCTGCCTGCTTATATTCTGGCCACACTGGCAGGTGATTAGATTGTGTCTGCCCAGATTAAAGGTGAGTCTGCATTTCCCAGCCCACTGAATCAAGTGTTAATCTCCTTTGAGAAAACCCTCACAGACACACTCAAGATCAGTACTTGTTTCCTTCCACCCAATCAAGTTGACAATCAGCATAACCATCACATCCACTTTTTAGCTATTGCAAAACATACAAAAAAAAATACTAACTATAATCATTCTATTGTGCTTCCCAATACTAGATACTATTCATTCCACCTAAACGTATTTTTTGTACTTATTAACCATCCCCACTTTATGCCCCATTGTTCTCTACACTTCCTAGCCTCTGGTAACCGTCATTTTCCTTTATATGTCCATGACTTTAATTTTTTGACAGTTTTACCTCCCACATATTAAGGAGAACATGGAAAATTTGTCTGTCTAGCCTATGTTCTTTCACCTAACATAATGATCTCCATCTCTATCCTTGTTGGTGTGAATGACAGGATTCCATTGTTGGATACGCAGGTTGTTTCTAAATTTTGGCTATTGCAAATAGAGATGCAATAAACATAGGAGACAGATATCCTTTCTATATACTAATTTTCTTTCTTTTGGATGAATAACCAGTATTGGGATGGCTGGATCATAGGGTAGCTCTGTTTTTAGGTTTATGGGGAAACTCCATACTCTTCTCTGTAATGACTACACTAATTTACATTCTACCGTGGAAAGTTTTAGGTTATATTGATATTGACATTTATTTTAAGAGAGTTAATTAGTTAATTAAATTTTAAGGTTGCTGCACAGAGATGAGCAGCTGGCATGGAATATTAGCCACAATCATCACAATCATCTCAACCTTATTATTCTCCTTCCTCTCTTTCTCCGTGTTTTTGGGAAGAGGTGATGATCTAGAGATTCTGAAGCATGGTAACATCACATAGATATTGTTTGCTTATTAGTTCTTCTGACACCTGCTCTTCAATGGAATGAGGTTGAGAGGGTAAAAAGGAAATATAATGTAGACACATTTCCCTTTTTTAAAAATGTGACTTAGATTGATGAGAGGGCGGGGTAAACTTTTTCCTATTAAAGCAAATGTTTACTAGGGTGTCGTAACAAAGTACCACACGCTGAACGTGGTTAAAAAGTAGAACTGTATTATCTCAAAGTTCTGAGGAACTTCTGGAGTTCTGACCAAAAGTCCAATATCCAGGTGTCTGCAGGACTGAGGGCTTTGAGCAAGAATCCCTCCCAAGTCTTTTTTTCTTTATTTTTTTTTTATTTTTTTAATGTCAGGCATTTGGCTGACAATCTCTGGCATTGCTTGCCTTTTAGACACATCACCTGGATTTTTGCTTTTATTCACATATGTTCTTCCCTCTCTGCACATGTTGGTGTCCAAATCTCCTATTTTTATAAGGACTCTAGTAATATTGCATGGTGAGGCCAGCTAGACTTCCTGCATTAAGTGGGGACTTGGGGAAATTTCCTGTCTGACAAGAGGACTGTAAAATGCACCAATCAGGAACTTTCCTGTGTTAAAAGAGGATTGTAAAATGCACCAATCAGTGCTCTGTAAAATGCACCAAATAGCACTCCAAAAAACGCACCAGTCAGCACTCTGTAAAACGCACCCATCAGCAAGATTCTAAAAGTAGCCCATCACGGGGAGGATTGTAAAAAGGGCACTCTGATAGGACAGAAATTAAACATGGGCAGGGAAAATAAGGGAATAAAAGATGGCCACCCCTGCCAGCAGCAGCAACCTGCTCAAGTCCCCTTCCAAGCTCTGGAAGATTTGCCCTTTCGCTTTTCACATTAAACCTTGCTACTACTCACTCTTTGGGTCTGTGCCATCTTTAACAGCTGTAACACTCACCACGAAGGTCTGCAGCTCCATTCTTGAGGTCAGCAATATCACGAACCTACCAGCAGAAACCAGCTCCCCACACATCTTGGGGACTTGTCTGGGATATTGCCACGTGGTGAGTACCATCAGACCCTTTTAGCTTGCTATTCTGTCCAATTTTTTCTTAGAATTCAGGGGCTAAACACCAGGCACCTGTCAGCTAGTTAAAAGTGACTAGTGCTGGGGGCGGTGGCTCATGCCTGTAATCCCAGCACTTTGGGAGGCTGAGGTGGGTGGATCATGAGCTCAGGAGATTGAGACCATCCTGGCTAACATGGTGAAACACCGTCTCTACTAAAAATACAAAAAATTAGTCGGGCATGGTGGTGGGTGCCTGTGGTCCCAGCTACTGGAGAGGCTGAGGCAGGAGAATGGCATGAACCTGGGAGGCAGAGCTTGCAGTGAGCTGAGATAACACCACTGCACTCCAGCCTGGGTGACAGAGTGAGATTCCATCTTGAAAAAAAAAAAAAAGTGACTAGTGCAGCCACCAGACTAAAGACATGGGTGTCAGGCTTTCTGGGAAAGGGCTCTCTAACAATTCCTCGCTCTTCATAATCAGGATTGTTAATTTGCCTGGAACCAGCTTCTGCTTTTCCTGCACTTCTGGGCTGAGCTGAGGGTCAACAGAGAGGAAAGCCATTCAGCTCTGGGTTCCCGACAAAAACTTGATTGACCCTGCAGCCATGAATGGAACTCTCAAAGTTACTTTGCCCAAGCAAGACTCACCCTTCTATCCTATCTATCCTAACCCTTGCCTCCTGAGTCCTAATGCCTGTCAGACAAACTTCTTCTCACCTCTCTTCTCTGAGACTAGTTCTGCTTCTAAAAACTACTCCCAATCCCTGGTGCTCATCTAGTTTCTCCTATAACGATGATTTCTAATATAAATTTCAGGACTGTTCCATTCCTTAGGCACCCGAGCTCACCAATCAGAAAGACACAATTTTTGCCTGAAGCCCCATCATGAGGGGACTATCTGGAATTTTAGGATCCCTCCTAAGACTAGGAGGCCTAACAAAGGCTGTTCCTGAAGCTAGGATATGGGGAGCCTGAGAAACTATAGACTCCAAAATTAGGGGGATATTCATATAGTGAGAAGTGAGAATAAAAGACATCACTCTTCCAACCCTGGAGATCACTTCCCTCCCTCAGGGTATGGCCCTTCACTATATTTTGAGGCATATCATCTTTATAGGACAAGGGTAAGTTCCCAATACTAAGAGGAGAATGCTTCAGATTCTAACAGGTTTTCAAGAATGCATCAGTAAGGGTCACTAAGTCTGATTTTTCTTGGTCTTCTTTGTGGTCTAAGAGGAAAGGCAAGGGTGCAGGTTTTTGAGAATGTGTCAGTAAGGGCCACTAAATCTGAACTTCCTCAGTCCTTTTTGTGATCTAGGAGGAAAACTAATATTTCTGCTGCTGCTTCAGTGAGTGCAACTATTCCGATCAGCAGGGTCCAGGGGCCATTGAGGGTTGTTGGGCAGGGGAAAAAAAAATATGGGTGTTTTTTTGTTTCAGATGGGAAACACTCAGGCATCAACAAGCTCAAACTTGAAATGTATCCTAAGCCATCAGGACCAATTTGACCTGCAAACCCTAAAAAGAAGCAGCTTATTTTTTTCTGCACTATGGCCTGGCCTCAATATTCTCTCTCTGATGGGGAAAAATGGGCCACTTGAGGGAAGTAAAAATTACAATACTATCCTGTAGCTTGACTTTTTCTGTAAGAGGGAAGGCAAATGGAGTGAAAAACTTATGTCCAAGCTTTCTTTTCTTTGAAGGATAATCCATAACTATGCAAAGTTTGCAATCTACATTCAACAGGAGGAACTCTCAGCTTACCTCCATATTGTAGCCTCCCTAACAGCTCCCCTTCCTATTAATGATAAGCCTCCTCTAATCTCCCCCACACAGAAGGAAACAAGCAAAGAAATCTCCATGGTACCACAAAACCTCCTGGGCTATGTGTTATGCCCCTTTCAAACTGTAGCAGGAGGGGAATTTGGCCCACCTGAGTACATGCCCCTTCTATCTCTCTGATTTAAGCAAATCAAGGTAGACCTTGGAAAGTTTTCAGATGATCCTGATAGGTATATTGATTTGCTTCTGTGTCTAGGGCAAACCTTCAACCTCACTTGGAGAGATGTCCTGCTGTTGTTAGATCAAACCCTGGCCTTTGAGGAAGAGAATGTGGCTTTAGCTGCATCCCAAGAGTTTGGAGATACCCGGTATCTCAATCAAGTAAGTGATCGAATGACAGCTGAAGAAAGGAACAAATTCCCTACCAGCCAGCAAGCCATCCCCAGTATAAATCCCCACTGGGACATCAACTCAGATCATGGGGACTGGAGTGGAAACATCTGTTGACCTGTGTTCTAGAAGGACTAAGGAGAATTAGGAAAAAGCTCATGAATTATTCAGTGATGTTCACCATAACTCAGGGAAACGATGAAAATCCTACTACCTTCCTTGAGCTGCTATGGGAAGCCATAAGATAATATACTCCTTGTCACCTGACTCTCTCATGGGTCAATTGATCCTCAAAGATAAGTTTATTACCCAATCAGCCAAAGATGTCAGGAGAAAGCTCCAAAAGCGAGCCCTGGGCCCGGAATGAAATTTGGAGGCATTATTAAACCTGGCAACTTTGGTTTTCTGTTATAGGGAGCAAGAGGAACAGGCTGAAAAGGAAAAATGAGATAAGAGAAAGGCCACAGCCTTAGTCATGGCCCTTAGACAAACAAACCTTGATGGTTCAGAGAGGACAGAAAATGAAGCAGGCCAATCACCCAGTTGGGCTTCTTATCAGTGGGGTTTGCAAGGACACCTTATAAAAGATTGTCCAATGAGACACAAGCCACCCCCTCGCCCATGCCCAGTATACTGAGGCAATCACTGGAAGCCACACTGCCCCAGAGGACAGAGGTTCTCTGGGCAAGAAGCCCTAAAACAGATGATCCAATAACAAGACTGAGGGTGCCAGGGCAAGCGCCAGCTCACATCATCACCATTATTGAGCCCTAGGTAACTTTAATTATTCAGGGCCTGGAAATTGACTTCCTCTTGGACACTGGTGTGGCCTTATCTGTTAAGCTCCTACCTGGGACAGCTGTCCTCAAGGTCCATTGCCATCTGAGAAATCCTGGGACAGCCTAAAACTAGGATTTCTCCCATCTCAGTTGTAACTGGGAGACTTTGCCCTTTTCACATTCCTTTGTTTTCATGTCTGAAGGTCTCACACCCTTATTAGGGAGGGACATGTTAGCCAAACCTGAAGCTATTATCTACATGAATATGGTGAACAAGTTACCCATTTGTTTCCCCCTACTAGAAAAGGGAATCAACCCTGACGTCTGGGCATTGGAAGGACAGTTTGGAAGGGTAAAAGATGCCTGCCCAGTCCAAATCAGCCTGAAAGACTCCATCACTTTTGCTTCTCAAAGGCAATATCCCTTAAGGTCTGAATCTCATAAAGGATTACAGGATATCGTTAGACATTTAAAAGTTCAAGGTTTAGTAAGAAAATGCAGCACTCCCTGAAACACCCCACTTCTAGAAGCACAAAAACCAAATGGTCAGTGGAGTCTGGTGTAAGATCTTAGACTCATCAGTGAGGCAACAATTCCCTTATATTCATTTATACTAGTTGTACCCTATACCTTGCTCTCTCAAATGTGAGAGGAAGCAGAATGGTTCACTGTTCAGCATCTCAAGGATGCCTTCTTCATTACCCTGCACTCTGACTCCCAGTTTCTCTTTGCCTTTGAGAATCCCACAGACCACATATTCTAACATACATGGGCAGTCTTGCGTCAAGGGTTTAGGGATAGCTCTTATCTGTTTGGTTAGGCACTGGCCCAAGATCTAGGTCACTTCTCAAGTCTAGGCACTCTGGTCCTTCAGCATATGGATGATTTACTTTTGGCTACCAGTTTGGAGGCCTTATGCCAGTGGCTACTCTAGATCTCTTGAACATTTTAGCTAATCAAGAGTACAAGATGTTTAAATTTAAGGCCCCACTCTGCCTACAACAAGTCAAATATCTACACCTAATCTTAGCCAGAGGAACCAGGCCCCTCAGCAAGGAACAAACAGAGCATATGCTGGCTTGTCCTCCCCATAAGATATTAAAACGGCTGTGGGGGTTCCTTGGAATCACCAGCTTTTTCCAACTATAGATCCCTGGATACAGCAAGATGCCAGGCCCCTGTATATTCTAATCATGGAGAGCCAAACACAAATACTCATGTAGTTAAATGGGAACCAGAGGCAGAAACAGCCTTCAAAACCTTAAAGCAGGCCCTAGTACAAGCTCCAGACTTAAGCCTTCCCGTAGGACAAAACTTCTCTTTATGTATCACAGAAAGAGCAGGAATAGTTCTTGGAGTCCTTATTCAGACTCGTGTGACAACCCCACAACCAGTGGCATACCTAAGTAAGGAAATTCACATACTAGCTAAAGGCTGGTCTCACTGTTTATGAGTAGTTGCAGTAGTGGCTCTCTTAGTGTCAGAGACTGTCAAAACAATACAAGGAAAATTTCTCACTGTCTGGAGTACTCATGATGTAAATGGCATACTAAGTGCCCTAGGAAATTTATGGCTATCAGACAACAAGCTGTTTAGATACCTTAGCTAATCCTGACCTTAACCTATAAAATGATTAAAGTTCATTTTGGGAGAATGGGATATGAAGGGAAGGTTATTCCATAGTTAGTGATGTTACAGTACTTGAAAGTAAGCCTGTTCACCCAGGGACCAGCACCCAGCTAACAGAACTAGTGATACTTACTCCAGACTTAGAACTGGGAAAGGAAAAAAAATAATAATAAATGTGTATACAGATAGTAGGTATGCTTATCTAATCCTACATGCCCATGCTGCAACATGCAAAAAAGGGAGTTCCTAATCTCTGGGTGAAACCCCATTAAATACCACAAGAAAATAATGGAGTTATTGCATGCAGTGCAAAAACCCAAGGAGGTGGCCGTCTTATACTGCTGAAGCCATCAAAAAGGTGAAGGAGAAAAGGTAGAAGGAAACTATCAGGCCGACACTGAAGCCAAAATTGCTGCCAGGTGGAACCTCCCATTAGAAGTATTTATGGAAGGACCCTTGATATGAAACAACCCTCTCCAAGAGATTAAGCCCAAGTAATCCTCGACTGAAACATAATGGGGAATTACACAGGGCATAGTTTTCTCCCCTTGTGGTGGTTAATGACAGAAGAGGGAAAATTACTCATACTCAAAGCCAGCCAGTGGAAAATACTTAAGACCCTCCACCAAACTTTTCATATGGGTATGGAGGACACTCATCCAATGGCCAAATCCCTATTTACTGGGCCAAATCTCCTCTGGACCATTCGACAAGTAGTCAAAGACTGTGGGGTGTGCCAAAGGAATAATTTCTTTGTCCATCATAAGGCACCTCTGGGGGAACAAATAATAGGGCACTATCCTGGAGAGGACTAGTAGTTAGACTTCACCCATATGCCTAAGTCAAGATGATTTCAATACTTGTTGGTCTGTGATGATAGCTTTACAAATTGGATAGAAGCCTTCCCCTGCAAGTCAGATATTGCTCAGTAAGTTGTTAAAGTCATAAGTCATAAAATCATTCCTAGATTTGGGCTTCCCCAAAGTTTACAAAGTGACAATCATCTGGCTTTTAAAGCCACAGAAACTCAGAGAATTTCCAGGGTGCTAGGGATACAATATCACCTTCACTGCACCTGGAGGCCACAATCCTCAGGGATGGTCAAGAAGGCAAATGATACACTCAAGAGGCACTTAAGGAAACTAACACAGGAAATTCATCTCCCATGGCCTACTCTCTTGCCCATGGCCTTGTTAGAATCTGGAATTCTCCTCACAAAGTGAGGCTTAGTCCATATGAAACACTGTAGGGATGACCTTTTCTGTAGGGATGACCTTTTCTCACAAATGACCTCCCACTTGATCAGGAAACAGCCAGATTGGTCAAATATATAACTTCATTTGCAAGACATCAACAAAACCTTAAAAACCTACCCAAAGGATGTCACAGAGAAAAGGGAACAGAGTTGTTCCAACTGGGAGATCTAGTTTTGATCAAGTACCTCCCCTCTACCATCTCCATCTATGGTTTCTTGGTGGGAAGGACCATACACAGCAACCCTCACTACCCCCACTGCCGTTAAGCTGGCAGAGTGTACTCTTGGATTCACCACACCAGAGTTAAACTTTGGACACCCCCTGAGGAACCTGTGGGACCATCAGCTCAGGAGTCCCAAGATCAGCCAGACCAGCCTCCATACACCATTGGAAGACTTGCATCTCCTATTTCATAAGGAAACATCCCAGACCAAAAAGGCTCCTACAGCTGATCCTGAGAAAAAAACCTTTCCTACTTAAAATAAATAGATGAGTGAAAACCTACATAATCTTTACCACCTCTCCTTGCCCCTTTAATGAAATCGTTTTACTGTTTCATCACATTATTAAGCAGCATACTAACCATGCTCTTTGCAGTAAGACTATATAAAGTAGCTCCTTCTGGGATGAAAATCCTAATCACATCAACCTTTTTTCTATCATCCTTCCTTCTGATAGCAATTTACTCCTACCTTTAACTCAGACTAGATAAAATGATCTCATCTTACAGGGAACACTCTTTGTCTTTCTACTTAGTCTTTGCGTATCTATCCCTCCTTTTTCCTTGGATACCCAACACAGTCTCCTCTCCCCTTCCACTACCTCCTAATTATCTCTACAAGACTCTCAACTTAATCCACTCTCTGTTAAACCAATTAAATCCTTCCCTGGCAAATGACTGTTGGCTTTGTATCCCTCTATGAACCACTGTTTATGTTGCCACTCCCATTCCTGCAAAAAATTGTGTCTCTATTAACTTAATCTACCACACTACCACCCCCATTATGAAGGAAAATATCTTCTAAATCTGCAATCATTAGCCAACTTCCCTGTCTCTGATAGGACCAAAACTACTCTAAAAGGATGTGCTATCCAGCTTTTAAGTTCCTACCTTTCCTACCTCACCTATTACACAAGCAATGAGAAGCCCATACATGGCCCTGTAACCATGTAAACATGTTAACTTTCCAAGCCCACTTATGCATCCAACACAACCTGTTACCAGGCCTGCCCCTAAGGAACCTAATATCCCATCAGTGTAATTACAGCCTACAACTTCAAGCCACAATTGATACTGTAATTTATTCTCACCCAAACAGCTCCATTCAGAGAGTTTGTCTGCTTCTCAGGGCCCCCAGAAATCATCACCTCCTCCCTGCTTATGAAGAGTCTGAGTTTTGTAATGGCAAACATACTCCCTCCAAGACCATTCACCCCTGGACACCCTGCAACAGCGCCCCTACCGCAAGTGAATGCCTTCTTATCCCCTCTTTAAATTACTGTCTTTAATGGTTCCTAGTAGATACAAAATGGTTTTTTTCTCCAATGGGAAAACAGAACACAGGGAACCACTCAGTTTGTTCCCAACACCCCTTTCCACCTACTCACTGGAGCTACCTTGGCAAGTACTCTAGGTGTATGGGAAAATGAAAACAACAAACTCACACACCTTTTTAACATACACAACCAGTTCTGTCTACCCAGCCAAGGTATATTCTTATGTGGAACTTCAACATATATCTGCCTGTCCACCAACTAGACAGACACCTGCACCTTAGTCTTCCTAAGTCTCAACACTGACATTGCCCCAGGAAATCAGACCCTATCAGTGCCCCTAAAAGCTCAAGTCCATCAGCATGGGACCATACAACGAATACCCCTACTTACAGGGTTGGAAATGGCCACTGTTACAGGAAGCAGAATAGCCAGTTTATCTCCTTCATTATCCTAATACCACACATTCTCAAAGGATTTCTCAGCAGTTTGCAAGAAATAGAAAAAAAAAATCTATCCTTACTCTACAATCCCAAATAGACTCTTTGGCCGCAGTGACTCTCCAAAACTGCTAAGGCTTAGACATCCTCATTGCTGTGAAAAGAGGACTCTGCACCTTCTTAGGGGAAGAGTGCTGTTTTTACACGAGCCAGTCAGGAATAGTATGAGACACTGCCTGGCATTTACAGGAGAGGCTTCTGGAATCAGACAATGCTTTTCAAACACTTATACCAACCTCTAGAGTTGCACAAAATGGCTTCTCCCCTTTCTAGGTCCCATGACAGCCATCTTCCTATTACTCCCCTTCAGGCCCTGTATTTTTTACCTCCTTGTCAAATTTATTTTCCTCAGGATTGAGGCCATCAAGCTACGGATGGTCTGACAAATGGAAACCCAAATGAGCTTTACTCACAACTTCTACTGAGGAACCCTGGACTTACCCACTGGCCCTTTGACTGGCCTAGAGAGTTCCCCTCTGGAGGACACTACAACTGCAGGGCCCCTTCTTTGCCCCATCCAGCATGAAGTAGCTAGAGCGATCCTCACCCAGTTTCCAACAGCAGTTGTGGTGTCCTGTTTAGAGGGGAGATTGAGAGGTGAGGCCAGCTAGACTTCCTGGGTCAAGTGGGGACTTGGTGAACTTTCCTGTCTTACAAGAGGATTGTAAAATGCACCAATCAGCTCTCTGTAAAATGCACCAGTCAGCACACTTTAAAACCCACCAATCAGCAGGATTTTAATAGGACAGAAACAGAACATGTGAGGGGGCAATAATGGAATAAAAGCTGGCCACCTCAGCCAGCAGCAGCAACCTGCTCAGGTCCCTTCCATGCGGTGGAAGCTTTTTCCTTTCACTCTTCACAATAAAGCTTGCTACTGCTCACATTTTGGTTCTGTGCCATCTTTAAGAGCTGTAACACTCACCGCGAAGGTCCGAGGCTCCATTGCTGAAGTCAGCAAGACCACCACCCCACTGGCAGGAACAAACTCTGGACCCAATATTGCACTTAGAGCGGAATCTACTTCAATATGACCTCATATTAATGAATTGTTCCTGCAATAGCCATATTTTCAAATCAAATCACATTCTGAGACAGTTAGAATTAGGATTTTCACATATGGATTTGGTGCTAGGAGACATAATTCAACCCAGAACAGAAATCGTGAAAAATAAATGAGAATTTTGAACTGTAAGTGAATACGACTAGTGTAGAAAGATTCTACTGTAATAACTTTGCCAAGTTGGTCATAGCCTACTGCTGATTATGGTTTTGATGTTTTTGATTAACGTCTATTATTACGTCTACATGAGGAATGCAGTTTCTGTTTTGATATTACAAAATCTGGGAATATCAGTAAAATTTTATTTTATTCTATTTTTAATTTTAATTATATTTTTAATTGAAAAGCTATACTTATATACACTTGGGGTTACAATGTGACACGATTCTATATGAATATAATGTGAAAGTATCCAGGAGAAGCTGAACTTTTATTATTATTACTAGTAGTAGTAATACTAATATTGAGACAGGGTCTCCCTTTGTCACCCATAATGGAATGCAGTAGTACCATCTTTGCTCACTGCATCTTCTACCTTCCCAGCTGAAGTGACCCTCCCTTCTCAACTTCCCATGTAGCTGGGATCAAAAATGTTTGCCACCACACCCAGCTAATTTTTTTTTTATCATTTGTAGAGAGGAGTTCTCGTTATGTTGCCCAGGCTGGTCTTGAACTCCTGGGCTCAAGCAGTCCTCCTGCCTTGACCTACCAAATTGCTGGAATTACAAACATGAGCCAGATCAGGCATGCCTGATCTGATCTAGAATTTTAGAATCACAAATTTGATGAAGAGTTTAGAGAATAAAGATAGGAATTGAAATATAAAGATTAAAAAAAAAGCAGGTCCTGTGAGGTGTTACATGCCATTACTTTCCAATTAAATTTATGAGAAAAATTATCAAAAAGTGTATAGAAGATAAATCAATGAATGAACTATGTGAGATGATGGATATGGTAATCAGCTGGGCTGTAGTAATCATGTGACTACATATATGTATACTGAAATGCTATGATGTGTTTCTCACATAGATACAGTTTTTAAAAAGGTACACCAATAAAAAATTACACTATGAAACAAAATAAATATAGATGAGATCAAATCCTATTTCCAGCTAGTTCCTAGTTATAATAAAATTTTGTATGTCAACTTGTACACCCATCTTCAGAGCCCAACTGAAGACAATGATCTACATCTAACACCACAGAGCTCTTGGAAAACTTGGGTAAGAAAACTTATATCTCAAAGTACGTTACATACATCTCAGCTGATTTGGCCATTTTCCAAAAGTCTGCATAGCTTTCTGGGAAGAGAGGGTTGATGATTCCAGAAGGAATGCAATGTTTGGAGCATCCTGCATGCATGCTTTCTTGATGTTTGAAGTTTCCAAAGGTACCATGCAGAGAGTAAGCCCTCAGTAAATATTAGCTATTGTTATTGTGCATGCCCCACATATTGTTGGTTTGGCTGTGGCACTTTCTGGTTCCAGTAGCTACTTAAGAATTTTGAGGGATGTAATAGAATCATTGGTGACTTGAATCTATAATAAAAAGTGGATATAAATCTGGACACATTGGGGGGTCATTCTTTGGTGAATTATTTTTATTATATTAATGAAATTAGTCCTGTGGGTTTTTTTTGTTTTTAATTTTGTTTTTGTTTATGCTTGTATTCTTTACAATGCACATTTTTGTCATCTATATCCTGTACTCTATGGTAAGAATGTTATGTTGGCATTATGCAATGTTTAAAAATGCTTCTTAAAACACCACCCATATCCACCATTGTGGAAAGCCCATAGATGCTTATCTAGACATCCACTTAGTTCCATAGTGGCTGTTCACTGGAAATTAAAATCAGAAGTAGCCTAGAGAATGTAGAAAGATCTCATCTCTGTAAAAAAATATAAATATATATATAGAGAGAGAATAGCTAGGTGTATTGGTATGTGCCTTGTGGTCCCATCTACTTGGGAGGCTGCAGTAAGAGGACTGCTTGAGCCCAGGAATTTGAAAGTGCAGTGAGCTATGGTCACACCACTGCACTCCAATCTGGGTGACAGAACAAGTCCCTGTGTCTGAAAAAAAAATACTTAAAAATTTAAAAATCAGAAATTACAAAAGGAAGTGAACTGCAGATACTATAATACATGATCTTTGGGGTGTGTTCTCTTGAGTAAACCTGCAAGGTTTTATGCAAGGTGAAAGGGTGAAAACTAGAATGACAGATAAATCCTTTCCTCATGTTAGAGAAATACCTTAAAGTGTTTGAGCAAGTCTTTCAAAATTGTGGTATCCATCTCCCATGTTTCCCATCCCTTTAATTTTAACTGATATACAGGGCCTTAAAAATGCTGGATGAAATAATCATTTCCTTCATATTAGGAAAAGTGATTTCTGTTACACACACACACACAGGTGCTAAAAGTGCATTTTTTCAAAGTAGGAAAATGGAACACCTTTTTAAAAAAAGAAAACTGATGGTAAAATTACAGTTGAAGAAGCTCTTGAAGGGAGGAAGGAAGAAAGAAATGAGGCAAAGAAGGGAAAAAGGAAGAAAAGAGAAAGTAATGAGGAAGAAGGGCAAAAGGAAGGAAGAAATAAGAAAGGAGGCAGAAAAGGAGACAAAAAGAAGCCAGATTAAAATTAGTCCTTTGAACTAGGATCTCAAGGAAAACACAGCGCAAGGCAATGCAACGCTGTAAAATACCGCTGTCTTAAGTTGAATATGTGTCATGAGTACGTAACTCCTTTGAGAAATTAGTAGTAAGACTTCCATTTATAAAAAAGCTTCTATTTTTTCAAAGTTAACAGTTAAATATTCATCAGTAGCCCTTTTGTTCTTTACAGTAATGTTTTAATGAACAGAGAGCAGGTATTAATACCACTGATTTATTAAGAAGGACAGTGAAGCCTTATTTCTCATCTTCCAGCTCACTTCAGAATACAGGATTCTTAACTCTCGGTCCAGAATGTCCCCAGCTTGATCTTTCTATGCTTCCTTGCAGGAGAAATTTTATCTCTTTAAAAGTAAATGCCTTTTCCTGAGAGGCTAATTCTGGTTTCATATAGAATTTCATTTATTATCAAGGATAAGTGGAGAGGAAATTGTCCATACAAGCAATCACTCCTTTTAGCTTCTGTAATTTGCATCATCACTATCTTGATAAATGTTTTAATAACTTTAAGCAATTTTGGAAGATGAATAGTTTAGGAAGTGCCAGTGCAAAGTAAATAATTCAGATGATTCCATGGTTGTGAATTCTAAGAGGATTATTAGACCAGTTTGTTTTTTTCTTATTTTTTGAATTTTATATCTCGATAATATTGCAATGGCACAAATAGACCACTTCTTATTTCTGACATTAATTATATTAAAAAGCAGTTACATCTAAGTCTTTTCAGATAATTGATACCTACATACTTATTTTCATTTCCAATGTTTTAGGTGATAATCATCCCTCCCTCCCTCCCTCCCTTCCTTCCTTCCTTCCCTCCTTATTCCCTACTTATGTGGCTCAGTGGGGCACATCTGCTTGTTCATATGTGTGTTTAGATTCTGGGTTCCCCTGTTCTTGTCAGAAGATTATTGCTTTCCTTATTGTTTATTCGATTCATTCCTCAAATGGACTATTTCTATGTGCTAATTATTTTCCTTCCAGGTTTCTGAATGTTGCGGCATCAATACCACAAAATTACTTAAAGTGATGGAAAGTTATTCAGTCAAATAGAAGACTTTAGAGAGTCAATGAATCCCTTACCATTTCAGGAAACATCTTACATACATGTGTATATACAGATATTTTTTCTCCATATATATATTTTTTCTAGGAGAATGTATATAGCTTTCATCAGCTTTTCAATGGAGAACTAATTAAATCCCACCACACAAGATTTTTTTTCTTGTATTCGTGTTTGTATGTGTGTGTGTCACATGTATTAATTTTTAATTGTGATAAAATACACATCTATACTTTACCATTTTAATCATTTTTAAGTATACATTCAATGATATAAAGAGCATTCACATTGTTTTACATCCATCACCTTCATCCATCCCCAGAATTCTCTCTTGCAAAACTTAAACTCTATACCCATTAAAATACTTCCCATTACCTACTCTCCAGCCTCTGGAAATCACTATTCTACTTTCGTTCTCTCTGATTTTGTCTACTCTGGATAGCTCATATGAATGGAATCCTAGACTATTTGTTCTTTTGTAACTAGTTTGTTTCATTTAGTATAGTGTCTTCAAGGTTCATCCATGTTGCAGCATGTCTTTCCGTTTCAAGGCTGAATGATATTCCCTGTATTGCACATCACAATTTGTTAGTCAATATTTCCAAGATTCTAAGTAAGAATAGACCATGTAGATGGCACATTTCCAGAGACGTACTCTTGTTAGAATGGCAAACCACCTTACTAGAACATTGGATGTTATATCCAGGCTTATTCAAACATCACTGGATTATATTGACATTTGAGTGTGGGTGATATAAATTATCAGTGTTAACCAGGAATTTTAAGAAAATGTATTGATAATTAGGAGTCACACACAGGCCCCCCCAACACACACACACACACACACACACACACACACACACACACACACACACACCATTTACTCTATAGCCCCATTGTGGAAGAACTTACATCTTTAAAGATTCCAATCTATGAACTTTGTACACCCCACAATTGCTCAATATGTTCTTCAGATTGCTCTTTAGATGTTCAGCACTTTTTTGGTTAGACTGGGTCCTGAGAATGTGATGTTATTTATGCTATTGGAAACATCATCATAAAGGTAAATGTAATTTGTTTTTTACTAGCATATAAAAATAGAATGGATATTTTTGGTGTTCTTGCTTTTATTAACTGCTAAATTCACTAATTCTCCTAGCTGGGTTATAGATTAAACTTACACCATAATGTTTTAAGACAGGCTTAATCCTTCCTTTTCAATAATTTTACTTTCAATTTTTACTTTACTATGTTACTACAATTACAATAACTAATTACAAGTACCTACCAGTATATCATGTAGAGACTTGCCCACACCAGACATCTTTGCCTTATTATTGATGTCCGGGGAATTTTCAGCATTTCATATGCTCCTTGCTGTGTTTTTGTTTCTTTGTTTGTTTATTTTCATTTCTTGTTGAATTTTTCAGGTAAAAATCATTCATATGTTTAAGGAAATTTTATTGTATTCCAGATAGTGTACTTCATTAATTAAAACTTATCATCCTTTGAAAATTTATTTTTTGCCTTTATTGAGATGCCATATTTATATTCTTTTTTCTTTTAATGCAATAATTTCCCTCAAATGACTTACAGCTCCTCAGTGGGCATAGTGGATCACTCTTGTAATCACAGCACTTTGGGAGACCTAGGCAGGAGGACTGTCTGAGGCCAGAAGTTCAAGACTGCCCAGGGAAATGCAGCAAGACCTGATCTGTATTTTTAAGAAATTTTAAGTTAAAAATAATTCACAACTCTAAACTATCCTATTACTCTGAATTCCTGAAATAAATCCCACTTGAATTATGACACATTCTGTAAAATTGCTTCCTTTTTGTTAACCACTAGAATATATGGCATATTTTTCTCTGTATAGATATAATTTTATAAATTTGGCATTACTTAGAAAGATTATTAAAAAATTATCTCTAATTTCATTTTTTATTGTTGTTTTTGTTTTTGACACCCATTTTTGTTCTGTTACCCAGGCTCTAGTCCAATGGTGTGATCTTGGCTCACTGCAATCTCTACCTCCCCAGTACAAGTGATTCTCCTGCCTCATCTGGGACTACAGGCACATGCTATACACTCACAGCTAAATTTTGTATTTTTCATAGACAGAGTTTCACCACATTGGCCAGGCTGGTCTCAAACTGCTGACCTAAGGTGATCAGCCCTCCTTGGCCTCCCAAAGTGCTTCATTTATTTTTATTTTTTATTTTTTTAGGGGGGTCAGGTTTTGGTATTAAGCTTATGCTGATCCCAGGAATATCTTGGAGTAGATTCAGTTGTCTTGAACTTCTGGTCAAATTTATTACTACTATAAATTCTGCCATTCTTCTGTTATATGTTCTTACAGTCTTTTTAATACATAAAAATATTATATGCCTTAGTTATAACTTACTTGCCTTATTTGCTATTTTTGTTGACAACCTTGGATATTCTATTTGTATAATAAAAATCTACAAATAATAACAAAACATTACTTTCCTCCTTCCAATGTGTATGCCTTTCATTTTCTTACATATTTAGTTGTGCTAGCCAGTACCTACAGAAAAAAGCTAATAGAGTAGAAGTTTCTTATTTATTTAGCACTATGATAGATGCTTTTTGATTGATGTTTCTATATATTTTATATATTGTCACATTGTTAGTATTTCTGCATTATATAAGTAATTTATATTATATACCTACATAATAACATAACATACAAACATATCTTAACATCTTGTACATATAAATATTTTTACATATGAAGAAAGACACCTATATTTCTGCATTGTCTTGAAACAAAGAATGAGAATGAACTTTTATTAAATGAATTTCATCACTTATAGTCATAACCTGTTTTCCATGATTATATTAATATTTTAAATAAATTTCCTCATACTGAGATTTGCATGTATTGAAATAAATCTCAAGCTATCACAATGAATTTTTCTTCAAACAACAGCTGTAGTCTATCAGCTAGTTGTTAAAAAATATTCCCATCAATTAGTTTATGCCTGTGCTTTGTTTTTAAATTTTATGTTGATGTTTTGCAAGCTTTATAATAACATTTTAGAACTATTTTTCTTCTCTAAATCAATTTAAATATCAAGGAATTTATCTTTTTTTCAAATAAAATACTGTTAAAGAATTTGGAACTGATGTATTTGATGGGGAGAGTGTTTGAGGTGAAGAATGAGGTTTGATCACTTTGGGATGATATAATTAGTCTGTTTTGAGTTTCTGTTTCTTCTAGAAAAAATATGTATGGGTCTGGAAAATTATCCATTATATCTAAGTTTTCAAATGCATTTCTATGGGATGGATCAAAGGAATTGGTTTTGATTTTTTAATCTTTTCCCATAGCTAGGATTTCCTCTCATCATTTGTTTTATGCATTTTTTCATCCCCACTTTTATTTGATGATCACTATATTAAACAGTGTTTCTGTCATATTTTTTTTCCTTACCAAGGAACTAATGATAAGAATTTCATTCGCATTTATATCCTTCTTGGTTTTTGAATCTTTACTAATTCCTTTCTAATTCCTGCTGTGTTCTTGTAGTTTTGATGTTGTTGTTATATTTTGTTTTTTCTTGAGAAAATACAACTGTAGTGAGAATCCTTCCTTGGAGATGGCACCAAGGTGTAGTTTCTGAAAAATAATTACTAAGCAAGTTATGCTACGTGGTTCTTCATGGCCCCAGTACTCTTGGCTGCAACAGTCTGAAATGTTAGTATTTAAAATTTCATCACCACTTATGCGTAGGGCATATTGCAAGCATATTCAACATGAGGGTGAGAAAATAGCATGGATTTCAGCCAGCAGACATAAGAGTGCAATTTGTATACATTCTGGGAATGTAAATCCAGTATCATCCATAACTCAAGCGAGGGAGGAATATTTAGTTCAACACCTTATGAAGGGTTTAAAGTTGCCCTGGCAACAGAACTCTAATAAAGAAAAGTTCTATTCTGTGTTGAGTAATGCTACAGTTTTTATCCCCAGTTCTCAAATGTTTCCTTTTCTTTTTGCTTCTACTAGATTCAAATACTCTATATTTGACTTGAGCATGAATTTCCCATTGTATGCACGATTATAAGAACTCCCAGATATTTCCAATATGGATTTTATTGTTGAATCTGAAACAGAAAGAATTCATTTCATGAACCCAGTCCCCACCTAGAGGCAACTAACTTTTGTGGTGCTGCTAAGAATATTTTCCCAGCCTTTTTTTTCCTACTGTCAGGCCCAATATTCAATTTTACCATTAATATGATGTTGTCCTACTATGATATTAATTATTTTACAATGTCTGTGTAAAATGTTATACTGAAAAAAATGTGATTGCCTATATTAGCCTGAATGAAAAATGTCTCAAAGCAAACCATTTTCAATAAACGTGCATTAGGACTCTTTGAACTGTGCTACCACTGGTGTTGAAGGTGCTGCCCAAAGAAATTATGTGATTTATGAAATTTTAGTCCAATTTTTCTTTGGTATTTAACAAAAAATCTTGTGAAACTAAGAGATTAGAAGCAAACTTCTGCTTTATCTCTTATTCAAAGTAAGGCTTCTTAAGGTATATCTCAATCCATTTATTAACTATTTGAAGACTTTAAACTTTGGATCACAAATAAATTTAAGACAGGGATATTAGATGTGCACATTTGTTTATACTGTGATAATTCTCGGTAAACTACATGTGAGAGTTTCTTTAGTAATTTAACTCAACAAGGAAATGAAATGGCTGTAAAATAAACACAAGTTATCTAAAGGAAGAAATATTTTTTTGTGGTTTACATGAATTGTTTCTTTTAGAACTTTTGAATTATATAAGCCCCCAAACAAGAAAAATTACCTCAAGATGGTTTGTTGTCAAACTCAAAGTAATTTGAAGTAAATCTGAGTGCTTATTATTTTCTTAAGGCAATTTTCATGTTGGCAAATAATTGTCTCTAATATCTTTATTTCTAACACACCTGGGATCATTGCATAATAGCCTTGATTGGAGGGAAGGGAATAATGCAATAATCAGATAGTTAAGTCAGAAGGATGGGGTGTGTGTATTAGAATCCTCTACGATTTTGTAGGGACACAGATTTTGTATGACTGCCAGCTAACACTTTCAATGATAAAGAAGTTTCCATGTCTCCAACTGACATATTTTAGTTTCCTCATTGTTTCCCTGTTTCGGATGGTAGCACTAATAAGTAGAAAAATGGCCTGGAGACTGTCAAAACAAAACAAAACAAAAAGAATATTAGAAAAAGAATAGATGATCAAATGTTACTGAATTTTTAAACCATTGAGAAATGATACCTTGTTTTTATCATCCCTTTGTCTTTGTTTTCAAGAAAATTATTCCTATCTTATTCTTTCAAATGAACTTCAAAGCAGTTTGCATCGATCTTGCCGGTTAATAAGAGAGAGGGAGACAGAGACAGAAATAGAGACAAAAAGAGAGAAAAGGAAAAGGAGGAAGAGAGAGACAGAGCAGAGAGAGAAAGAGGGTAGGAGGGAGAGAGAGAAAAGGAGGGAGGGAGGGGGAAGGATGAAGAGACATATACAGAGAGAGACAGAGGAAAGAAGAGAGAGAAAAGGTAGAGAGACAGGACAGAAGGAGGAGAGAGAAAACAGAGAAAGAGAGGGAGATAGAGAGAGAGACTGGCTGAGTAATGCTTTCAAGATCATATTTTAAAATCCTGGATAAGAGAGTGCCTGTTTTATGGTCAAGGAGTATTTACCAATTCACAAAAGTCATACAAAGAAAGAAATGGCACTAAATCAAGAGCAATTCATAACAACACATGGAAAAGAAAGAAAAAGGAAAATAAAGTTCTCTCTTCTAAAGTCAACATATCGTGTACTTTGGGCCCTCTCCTACTCAATGGAGGCTCCAAAAGAATTCACCCTGTATTTCCTACTCTTCTTCATTTGGTGTTCAGATATTACCACAGTGCTCCCTATTTTGCATCCCCAAACAATATACCCAAATCCTTTACCTTGGATGATTTCTTGTTTTGTTTATTCATTTCTCGTTTTTCAACATTGTAGCCTAAAGTTTTTTCCACATTTCCCCCAAATGCCTCCACAGAATCCAACAATGACTTCTTTCTTTGCTCGAATTTTGTGATCTTTCTATTGTATGCTTTCTGTTTGACTTTTGGTATGATTGATTATCTTCCTTGAAATAGCATGGCTTCCTTGACTTGGGTTCCATTGGTGACTCCTGCTTTTTCTTCATGGTTTTTGTAAGCCCTTTTGAATAGGTTTATGTCTCTCCTATCTCATATCCACTTAGCCACTTAATGTCCCTTGTAGTTATCTGTTCTCAAGGCTGCTAGTCATGCTTCTATTATAGATCCCTAAACTACTTATCACTTTATGCCTAGTTTCTGTACAACATTTTAAATTGATTCCAGGACAATTACACACACACACACACACACACACACACACACACACACGCCTTGTTATTATCATTCTTTTATTGTCTTTGTTTTTGTGAAAACTATTCCTATATCATTCTTTCAAACACGCTTCAAAGCAGCTTGCACAGATCTTGCTGGTTAATAGGAGAGGGAGACAGAGACAAAAAATGTGTATGTATATATAATTGTCCTAGAATCAATTTAAAATATGGCATAATATATATAATCAAATATAATACACATTTTATATTTTTTATATATACACATATATAATTGTCCTGGAATCAATTTAAAGTATATATATTTGTATTTAGTGACAAGATCTTGCTCTGTTGCCCTGGCTGGAATTCAGTGGCATAATCACAGCTCATTGCAGCCTCAATCTCCTGAGCTCAAGCAATGCTCCCACCTCAGCCTCCTGATAGCTGGGACTATAGCTGTACACTACCATACCCAGCAATTTTTAATTTTTTTTTTTTTTGTAGAGACAGGGCCTCATTATGTTTCCTAAGCTGTTCTCGAACTCCTGGCCTCAAAAAATCCTCCTGCTTTGGCCTTCAAACAGGACCATTTTATTTGAGGGCTCTATTCTTATCTAAAAACCATCAGACCCCTACCACTTTCCTGAATGTTTTGTCAATAATGAAGAAATGCTATTTCTATTAATGTCATTGACATAAATTGAGCCACTTAAAACAAAAAAAAGTGATAGAAGTACCTATCTTTTATTCTTTGTATCCAATCCCTATGTAATCATTTCTTATATTTCACATTCAACTGAAGTCCATGTGAATTTCATAAAATATGGTGAAATTTTTCTCTTTTGTTTCTCTTTTGTTTCTAGTGTCATCTTTCAGAACAGATTTTTGTTACCTGGGGTTTGCATGACTGAATTCATCTTCCAGCAGCTCTTTAGATTTTATTGACTTCCACAGGTCTCTTCTGCAAGCTCCATTCAAAGCTTCCTTATAGGAGATATTGATTCCACAAATCATTTCCATTATGCCATTCAAACAGCTCCACAGAAATTCTATTCAATCTGTCTCACATCCTCCAAATACTCTTCATAAGATGCCCTTTCTTAACCCCAACTGTTTGCTGTGAGTATTCTTTCTCATTTAGTCTAGACTTTCCTTGCCTGATGTTCCAATCCTGTGAATTCTGAAGGTGTGACCTTATGAAACCACTCTATTCAGAAACTCTCTTTTTTAATAGTGTCACTTAATGGATTAGATAATCAATCCAAGGGGATATGTTCAAAGCCTCCCTCATCCACTTACTCCTTGAGTGATCTAAGCAAGCTATTTAGAATCTCTCACACTCAAGTTTCACTACTTTAAAAACAAAACAAACTTGTGACTTATAGCATGTGCTTAAATGGATTGTTATGAATATTTCTGTTATTTTATTTATCTAACCCAGATTGATGTAGACAGTGAATGCTTAATATATTGAATTAAATTATTACTAAGTATATACAAAAAGATATTTGATAATGTTTGTACTATTGTTTCACAAACCACTACTCCACTGAGGTGCTGAACTGCTTCGTCAAGCCCAGATAGATTAGACAGAAGGGCTGGAAGCTGCAGTATGTGTCCACTGCCAAATTCAGAAGCTTCCATACGGATACGGAATTTCCAGGAAAGGGTTATCCTCCCTGTGGGTGAAGGGTTATCCCCTATGAACAGAAGACTAGGAAAAGCTGTCTACTGAGGACTGTGAACTAAGGAGAAGAGAGAAAACCTAGGTAGAATCAGTGACAAGAGAGAATCAGGTGA
This sequence comes from Homo sapiens, assembly GCF_000001405.40. NCBI lineage: Eukaryota > Metazoa > Chordata > Mammalia > Primates > Hominidae > Homo > Homo sapiens. The sequence continues at coordinate 15,004,589 of NC_000024.10, forward strand.
CACATGCCCATATACCCATATCATTTCAATCTTGCTTCCAGTCTTATCTGAGTCCCAGTTATGGTCACATCTTGACCAATTTGGAGTCTGTGACACAATCCTATGTCTGTGCAATAAATACTGTCCCTTGAGCACTTGATTATCTCCTTCAACTTGTAATTTATTTTATTTTGCCTTTCCGATTCACCCTTAGAAGAGTAAAGGGGGGTTGAGAAACCTTGTTAGTTGATTATGAAACTCAACCAGTAGTTTGAAGGAGCTATTTATCTCCAAGAAAGAAACACTTAGACATATCAATCCGTGGTCTTAATCCTTTCCAATGGAAAATAACTAATCCCAGTTGTTTCTCATTGTATTACTGGTTCAGAGAAGGATAAGAAATGATAGAGTAATAAAATGGTTGACATGAAACAGGTTAGCAGTTTCTTCTCCTTCTTGCATATCTGGAGAAAAAAGCACAGAGAGGTTAATTGATCAAATTGCTTTTGGTCAGCTGACTGGAGTGGGACAATGGATTGAAGGTCTCTAATGAGAAAATAATGCATGTGTCATCCCTTCTTTCAAATAAAATGGTCACACCTATTTAATCCAGTAAATAAGTTAACAAGACCTACAATGCACACCATTCCCCAAAGGCTGGATATGCCTTGGGGTAGAATCAATGCAGCCATTAAAATATTCCACAGATTCTTCACAGGTAGTATGCATAGTTCACCTTCCTTAAAGCATTGGATTACAGAAAACATGAACACTTCTTTTGGTAGAAGGACTAGAAGGAAGTCACTAAATAATTGAACATTTAAGCAAAAATAATAGGTCCACTGAATGGGATAAGTCAAGAGTATCAATTGAATTAAATCCATTGGCAAAAACTAGTGGTTCTTAAACACCATGGAAGAAGGAAAAAGAACAGGTCATTTTGGTATTTTCTTTAAATGTTTCTTCTTCTTTTTAATTTTTTTTTAAATTGAGACAGGGCCTCATTCTGTCACTCAGGCTAGAATGCAGTAGTGTGATCACAGCTTACTGCAGTATCAACATTCCAAGCTCACGTGATTCCCCCAGCTCAGCCTCCTGAGTAGCAGGGACTACAGGCATGCACCACTGTGCCTGGCTAATTTTTTAATTATTTGTAGAGACAGGGTGTTTTCATGCTGCCCAGGCTGGTCTTAACTCATGGACTTAAGTGATTCTCCTGCTGTGACCTCCCAAAATGGGGTATTTCCTAAAAAGAATGCCTCTCCTTCAGCATGTAACTTCTTTTATTCTGCCTTCCTAATTCACCCTCAGAAAAGGAAAGGGAGTTTCGCAGACCTTCTCAGTTGATTTTGAAACTCATCCACAATTTTAAAGGAGCTATATCCAAGAGAAAAACCTTTGGTGGGTATAAATCCAACGTTGTACAGACTTGGGTAATGCTAATTATAGTTTCTTGAGTTTTTACAGGTGTCTACCATGGTTAGAAATTTGCACCCATTATTCCTGTACTTTGAAAAGTCCTGCAAAAGTAACCTCACATCTTCACAACCCAAGACTTTTCTCAATCCATATTGGTGGTTGTGACTTTCAAATCCTCTCCATACTATAGTTATTTTCAATCCATACATACATACATATATAGGTCTTAGGAGATCCAAGAGGTATCTATGCTTTGGGAGACAGGAAAATGCCATGAACCAGGGTAACTTTCTCTCTCCAGTGATAATTCTGGGAAGCATGCCCTGTTCTTATGCATCAGAACTTAGTTCTCTACATGTAGCATTGCAACAGCTCCATGACAGCCATACCAAATTTTTAAATTCTTGCCTATGGAAATCTTCCCCCAACATCATGCAGTAAATGACAGACCAGGAGTTCAAATGCAGACCTCTTCTGTTTACAATCAGTACAAAATAGGTGGTGCATCTTAGGATTTGTCTTCTTCTTCTTTTTTTTTTTTTTTTGAGACAGAGTCTCACTCTGTTGCCCAGGCTGGAATGCAGTGGTGCAATCTTGGCTCACTGCAATGTCTGCCTCCTGGGTTCAAGCAATTCTCTGCCTCAGCTTCCTGAGTAGCTGGGATTACAGGTGCATGCCACAATGCCCAGCTAAGTTTTGTATTTTTACTAGAGACAGTGTTTCACCATCTTGGCCAGGCTGCTGTTGAACTCCTGACCTCATGATCCACTCACCTTGGCCACCCAAAGTGCTGGGATTACAGGCATGAGTCACTGAACCTGTAGAGGGTTTGTCTTCTAATTGGAGCCAAAAGTTAATAGGAAAAAAAACTTAGGTTCCAGTTTAATTGACTGCCTTCCAGCTGGGAGATATTGGACTAATCACATCCTCATGTAGAGCTATATTCCTGTCTGTATAAAATTGAGCTAATAAAGCATATCCTCTTCTCAACTTTTTTTTTCACTGAGAGAATCAAAAGAAAATATTCATGGGGAAGAACTGTGTAAATTTTGACCACATTATTAAGATGGAAGGTGGTAGCACTGCAGTTATTTTTCTGCTTCACTTAAAAGCTCAAGAAATAGTTTTTTTTTCTTTTACTACAAAGAGAAGTATGCTTCTTCCTGGAGGAAATCCTACTACTAAAAAAAACCTCAGATTATTATTTTTTATCCTTAATGAGAAATAAATGAATTGGCTCCATTATTTTGCCCTCTGGCTTAAATGGAAAAGGGAAAAATGGACTTTTGTGTGAAAAGCATATTCTATAACATGAGCTGCAATACAATAGAACTTGGACAATTATCCAACTATCATGACCCGGAGATTGACATATTACAGTCATGCATTCATAGAACTCAGTGACACAGTGGGGGCAGGGAGGTGGACCTCCTGCATGAAGGTTTACTCAAGTGGAAAGATACAGGAACTTGATGTTCTGTTGGGAAGTATTCAGTCTGATATCATTCTATGCCCCATGATTAATTTTTGTGTCCACAGATGATTTATTTTTATATTCATGGGAAAGAGATATGTCTTCTCATGTATATAATCAAGCTCAATGTTAGAAAGGGGCTTTATACAATGTGACTTCATTGTATCCTTGTCAAATAGGAAGAACCAACAGTACGTGACTTCTGTTTTTCTTGATTTCCCTAATACCTGCATTTCTCCCTGGGTCTGATTTCAATTCACGACTTTTTCTACTCTAAACTTATGCTGAAGCTATATCCAATGACTGATGGTTATAAATATTTATTTACAAACATTGCACATTTACTTCCAAACACTGATTTTGTGATAAAGCACAGATTATTGTTTCTAGTTTACTGGCATCTTAGAACTGATATTTCATGACATTAAATGGGATCACTAAATGGTGATGTTTAGTATGATTTCATCGGATCAAAAACATCGGCTAGGCATTTGAATCTTTTCTTCTTGTAATAGATGTTGGAAATTCTAATTTTTTTCTTTTGTTATTGTTGTTTTATGTGAGTAAGATATATGTAACACAAATTCAGCATTTTAACTCTTTTTGTGTCATCGAATACATTTACATGCTTGTGGAGCTATTACCATCATTCATCTTCAGAATGTTTTCACCTTCCCAAACAGAAACCTTGTCCTTATTAAACAACAACTCCTTATCCCCCTCCCTCAGTCCCTGCCTCTTTTCATTCCACTTTCTGTCTCTATGAACCTGACTCCTCTAGTATCTCATATCAGTGAAAATGATATAGGAGTTAAAAAGAAATTATTTAGGCAGATTATAAAGGTAAAAGGAGTCCTCGGCAAGGCTTGCTTTTTAATAAAAGTAGCCCCCAAATCACTTGTTTTCTAATAAAGAGCCATCTATATAAGTGAGCTTCAGACACAGTGAAACAAGCTAGAAACTTGAACGCCGGTGAATGCCGGCACTTGTGCTAATAGGAAACGGCTACCTGGGGTCCAGTGATGTTTAACATGGCAGCTCCATCTTCCCTTTTGTTTGCCAACCACATGTGTGGTAAGGAATAGACAACATGGCACCAGCCATAGAGAGACCCCCATCTGCATAATAAAAGATTAGGGTGGGATGGTCCACTTCTTCACACACGATCCAAATGTCACATATCTGGTCTGACCAATCTCTTGGGCCCTGTATATTTCAGACACCTACCCCTCCAGTTCATCTATAAAACCCTGTGCATTTTTTTTTCAACATGAAACTGGAAGACCCACTCAGGTGCCTCTCTCTTCATGTGAGAGAGCTGTTCTCTTTTCTCATTCTTTCACCTATTAAACTTTTGCTATTAAACTCACTTGTTGTGTGTCTGCATTCTCAACCTCATTGGGAGTGAGACAATGAACCTCAGGTATTTAGCCCAGACAATGACACCACTTCAATACCATGCAGGATTTGTCCTTTTGTGACTGGCTTATATCCGTCACTGAGCAAAATGTCTTCAACATTTTGTTCAGTGTTATCCATCAGTGAGCAAAATATCCTCATGAACAACAATCCATGTTGTCATCTGTGTCAGAACTTCTTTCCTTTTTAAGGCTGAAGAAATATTTCCAGGTATTTGGATTTCAAGAGGGAACATTTTCAATATTAGAAGATAATTGTTCCTAAATTTCATGTTCATGATAAGCTGTATTCTTCAGCTCCATGGGAAGTCTATAAGACATAGTGATGTAAGTTGGACACAGGTGAACACTGTTAACTTGGATGATGACTTTGCTATGGTTTATGAAGCTTTATCTGTAACTGGACTGCAGGGCTACTGAGACACATGACATGTTCCATTTATATCTGTTTCTGGTATGGTGCCTTCCTACAACATTTTTCACATAATAGGAACTCAGAAAATTAGTGATATCTTGTACTAGTCAATGCTCTAGTGAAAATAGTAAATGTGTTTATGTTTCACTATGGGTTGAACTGTTCCTCTCCCAAAATTCATACAGTGAAGGCTTAACTCTAGTGTCTCAGAATGTGACTTTATTTGTAGGTAGTTCTTTCAAAAAGTGATTAATGTAAAATGAGGTCAGTAGGGTGGGCCCTGATCCAATAGGACTGGTGTCTTTATGAGAAGAAGAGACGAGGACACAGACACACACAGAGGGATGACCCAGGGAGGACACAGGGAGAAGACAGCATCAACAAGCTAAGGAGAGAAGCATGAGGAGGAACCAGCTCTGCTTACACCTTGATCTCAGACTTCCAGCCTCCAGGACTCTCGGAGAGTAAATGTGTATGTTTACAAGCCATCCAGTTGCAATGTGGACACAGGCACACACAGAAGGATGACCCTGTGAGGACACGGGGAGAAGATGATGTCTACAAGCCAAGGAGAGAGGCCTCAGGAGGAGCCAACTGTGGCAACATCTTGATCTTGGACTTCCAGCCTGCAGGGCTGTGAGAGAGTAAATGTCTATTTGTTAAGCCAGTTTGCAGCATTTTGTTACATCAGCCCTAGCAAATGAATACATGCTTACATTTAAAATTATATGAAATATAAATCATATTTATATTATGGTCAAGATGTACATAGTTGGAAACCTTGAAGAGGGCAATTTCTGACCATCGCTGGCCATGGGAATGGAATTGACATGGCTGGTGAGAAATGAAAAATTGGAGACAATGATACTGCAACCTCACTTTTCCCCTATTTTCTTTATTTTTCAAGTGCTACCCTTCTAAGAAAGGTGCTGGAGTTTCTCCATTTGATGAGAGTAAGATGGTTGTGTGATTCACTGTGGAAACACATGCGGGGATCCCCTGGAAGCAGGGTGGAGGAACATCTTTACTGCATGCCCTTTTCATTTTTTTTCATTGTAAGAATGTTTATCTTATTTTTTTTTATACTTCAAGTGATAGGGTACATGTGCACAATGTGTAGGTTTGTTACTTATGTATACATGTGACATGTTGGTGTGCTGCACCCATTAACTCGTCATTTACATTAGGTATATTCCCTAATGCAATTTCTCTCCCCTCCCCCACCCAATGACAGGCCCCAGTGTGTGATGTTCCCCTTCCTGTGTCCATGTGTTCTTATTGCTCAATTCCCACCTATGAGTGAGAACATGCGGTGTTTGGTTTTCTGTCTTTGTGATAGTTTGCTGAGAATGATGATTTCCAGCTTCATCCATGTCCCTACAAAGCATATAAACTCATCATTTTTTATGGCTGCATAGTATTCCATGGTGTATATATGCCACATTTTTTAATCCAGTCTATCACTGATGGACATTTGGGTTGGTTCCAAGTCTTTGTTATTGTGAATAGTACCACAATGAACATATGTGTGCATGTGTCTTTATATCAGCGTGATTTATAAAACTTTGGGTATATCCCAGTAATGGGATGACTGGATCAAACAGTATTTCCAGTTCCAGATCTTTGAGGAATACCACACTGTCTTCCACAATGGTTGAGCTAGTTTAGAGTCCCACCAACAGTATAAAAGTGTGCCTATTTCTTCACATCCTCTCCAGAACCTGTTGTTTCCTGACTTTTTAATGATCTCCATTCTAACTGGTGTGAGATGGTATCTCATTGTGGTTTTGATTTGCCTTTGTCTGATGGCCAGTGATGATGAGCATTTTTTTATGTGTCTGTTGGCTGCATAAATGTCTTCTTTTGATAAGTGTCTGTTCATATCCTTTGCCCACTTTTCCATGGGGTTGTTTGTTTTTTTTCTTGTAAATTTCTTAGAGTTCATTGTAGATTCTGGATATTAGCCCTTTGTCAGATAAGTAGATTGCAAAAATTTTCTCCCATTGTGTAGGTTGCCTGTTCACTCTGATGGTAGTTTGTTTTGCAGTGCAGAAGCTCTTTAGTTTAACTAGATCCCATTTGTCAGTTTTGGCTTTTGTTGCCATTGCATTTGGTGTTTTAGACATGAAGTCCTTGCCCATGCTTATGTCTTGAATAGTATTGCCTAGGTTTTCTTCTAGGGTTTTTATGGTTTTAGGTCTAATATTTAAGTCTTTAATCCATCTTGAATTAATTTTTGTATAAGGTGCAAGGAAAGGATTTATTTTCAGCTTTCTACATATGGCTAGCCAGTTTTCCCAGCACCATATATTAAATAGGGAATCTATTCCCCATTTCATGTTTTTCTCAGGTTTGTCAAAGATCAGGTGGTTGTAGATGTGTGGTATTATTTCTGAGGATTCTGTTCTGTTCCATTGGTCTATACCTCTGTTTTGGTACCAGTACCAAGCTGTTTTGGTTACAGTAGACTTGTAGTGTAGTTTGAAGTCAGGTAACATGATGCCTCCAGCTTTGTTCTTTTGGCTTAAGATTCTCTTGGCAATGTGGGTTCTTTTTTTGTTTCCATATGAAGTAGTTTTTTCCAACTCTGTGAAGAAAGTCATGGTTAGCTTGATGGGGATGGCATTGAATCTATAAGTTACCTTGGGCAGTATGGCCATTTTGATGATATTGATCCTTCCTATCCATGAGCATGGAATGTTCTTCCATTTGTTTGTGTCTTCTTTTATATCATTGAGCAATGGTTTATAGTTGTCCTTGAAGAGGACCTTCACATCCCTTGTAAGTTGGATTCCTCGGTACTTTATTCTCTTTGAAGCAATTGTGAATGGGAGTTCACTCATGATTTGGCTCTCTGTTTTTCTGTTATTGGTGTATAAGAATGCTTGTGATTTTTGTACACTGATTTTATATCCTGAGACTTTGCTGAAGTTGCTTATCAGGTTAAGGAGATTTTGGGCTGAGATGCTGGGGTTTTCCAAATATACAATCATGTCATCTGCAAACAGGGACAATTTGACTTCCTCTTTTCCTAATTGAATACCCTTGATTTCCTTCTCATGCCTGATTGCCCTGGCCAGAACTTCCAACACTATGTTGAATAGGAGTGGTGAGAGAGGGCATCCCTGCCTTGTGCCAGTTTTTAGAGAGAATGCTTCCAGGTTTTGCCCATTCAGTATGATATTGGTTGTGGGTTTGTCATAAATAGATCTTATTATTTTGAGATATGTCCCATCAATACCTAATTTATTGAGAGTTTTTAGCATGAAGTGCTGTTGAAGTTTGTCAAAGGCCTTTTCTCCATCTATTGAGATAATCATGTGTTTTTTGTTTTTGGTTGTGTTTAGATGCTGGATTAGGTTTATTGATTTGTGTATGTAGAACCAGCCTTGCATCCCAGGGATGAAGCCCACTTGATCATGGTGGAAAGCTTTTTGATGTGCTGCTGGATTTGGTTTGCCAGTATTTTATTGAGGATTTTTGCATTGATATTCATCTGGGATATTGGTCTAAAATTCTCTTTTTGTGTGTGTTTCTGACAGGCTTTGTTATCAGGATGATACTGGCCTCATTAAATAAGTTAGAGAGGATTCCTTCTTTTTCTATTGATTGGAATAGTTTCAGAAGGAATGGTAGCAGGTCCTCCTTGTACCTCTGGCAGAATGCGGCTGTGAATCCATCTGGTCCTGGACTTTTTTTGTTGGTAGGCTACTCATTATTGTCTCAATGTCAGAGCCTGTTATTAGTCTATTTAGGGATTCAACTTCTTCCTGATTTAGTCTTGGGAGGTTGTATATGTCCAGGAATTTATCCATTTCTTGTTTATTTTCTAGTTTATTTGTGTAGAGGTGTTTATATTATTCTCTATTGGTAGTTTGTATTTTTGTGTGATCTGTGGTGATATCCGCTTTATCATTTTTTATTGTGTCTATTTGATTCTTCTCTCTTTTCTTCTTTATTAACCTTGCTAGCAGTCTGTCAATTTAAAAAAAAAAACCAGTTCCTTGATTCATTGATTTTTTGAAGGGTTTTTTGTGTCTTTATCTCTTCAGTTCTGCTCTGATCTTAGTTATGTCTTGCCTTCTGCTAGCTTTTGAATGTGTTTCCTTTTGCTTCTTGTAGTTCTTTTAATTGTGATGTTAGGGTGGGGCACCCTCTGAGACAAAGCTTCCAGAGGAATGATCAGGCAGCAACATTTGCTGTTCAGCAATATTTGCTGTTCTGCAGCCTCTGCTGCTGATTCCCAGGCAAATAGGGTGTGGAGTGGACCTCTAGCAAACTCCAACAGACCTGCAGCTGAGGGTCCTGACTGTCAGAAGGAAAACTAACAAACAGAAAGGACAGCCACACGAAAACCCCATCTGTACATCACCATCATCAAAGACCAAAGGTAGATAAAACCACAAAGATGGGGAAAAAATAGAGCAGAAAAGCTGAAAATTCTAAGAATCAGAGCTCTTCTACCCCTCCAAAAGAATGCATCTCCTTGCTAGCAACAGAACAAAGCTGGATGGAGAATGTCTTTGATGAGCTGACAGAAGAAGGCTTCAGACAACCAAACTTCTCCGAGATAAAGAAGGAAGTTTGAACCCATCGCAAGGAAGCTTAAAACCTTGAAAAAAGAATAGATGAATGGATAACTGGAATAACCAGCATAGAGAAGTCCTTAAATGACCTGATGGTGCTGAAAACCATGGCATGAGAACTACGTGATGAATGCATGAGCTTCAATAGCTGATTCGGTCAACTGAAAGATATGGTATCAGTGATTGAAGATCCAATGAATGAAATGAAGTGAGAAGGGAAGTTTAGAGAAAAAAGAGTAAAAAGAAACCAACAAAGCCTCCAAGAAATAGGGGACTATGTGAAAAGACCAAATCTACATCTGATTGGTGTACCTGAAAGTGACGAGGAGAATGGAACCAAGTTGGAAAACACTGTGCAGGATATTATCCAGGAGAACTTTTCCAACCTAGCAAGGCAGGCAACATTCAAATACAGGAAATACAGAGAGCACCACAAAGATACACCTCGAGAAGGGCCACTCCAAGACACATAATTGTCAGATTCACCAAAATTGAAATGAAGGAAAACATGTTACACACAGCCAGAGAGGAAGGTCGGGTTACCCACAAAGGGAAGGCCATCAGACTAACAGCAGATCTCTCAGCAGAAACTCTACAATCCAGAAGAGAGTGAGGGCCAATATTCAACATTCTTAAAGAAAAGAATTTTCAACCCAGAATTTCATTTCCAGCCAAACTAAGCTTCATTAAGTGAAGGAGAAATAAAATACTTTACAGACAAGCAAATGCTGAGAGATTTTGTCACCACCAGGCCTGCCCTACAAGAGCTCCTGATGGAAGCACTAAGCATGGAAAGGAACAACTGGTACCAGCCACTTCAAAAACATGTCAAACTGTAAAGACCATCAATGCTAGGAAGAAACTGCGTCAACTAACGGGCAAAATAACCAGCTAACATCATAATGACAGGATCAAATTCACACATAAAAATATTAATCTTAAATGTAAATGGGCTAAATGCTCCAATTAAAAGACACAGACTGGAAAAGTGGGTAAAGAGTCAAGACCCATCAGTGTGCTGTATTCAGGAGACCCATCTCATGTGCAGGGACACACATAGGCTCAAAATAAAAGGATGGAGGAAGATCTACCAAGCAAATGGAAAACAAAAAAAGGCAGGGGTTGCAATCCTAGTCTCTGATAAAACAGACATTAAACCAACAAAGATCAAAGGAGACAAAGAAGACCATTACATAACGATAAAGGGGTCACTTCAATAAGAAGAGCTAACTATCCTAAATATGTATGCACCCAATACAGGAGTACCCAGGTTCATAAAGCAAGTTTGTAGAGACCTACAAAGAGACTTAGACTCCTACACAATAATAATGGGAGACTTTACACCCCACTGTCAACATTAGACAGAACAACTAGACAGAAAGTTAAAAAGGATATCCAGGAATTGAACTCAGCTCTGCACCAAATGGACCTAATAGACATCTACGGAACTCTCCACCCCAAATCAACAGAATATACATTCTTCTCAGCGCCATATCACACTTATTCCAAAATTGACCATATATTTGAAAGTAAAGCACTCCTCAGCAAATGTAAAAGGACATCAATTATAACAAACTCTCTCTCAGACCACAGTGCAATGAAACTAGAATGCAGGATTAAGAAACTCACTCAAAACTACTCAACTACTTGGAAACTGAACAACCTGCTCCTGAATGACTACTGGGTACATAATGAAAAGAAGGCAGAAATAAAGATGTTCTTTGAAACCAATGAGAACAAAGACACAACATACCAGAATCTCTGGGACACTTCTAAAGCAGTGTGTAGAGGGAAATTTATAGCACTAAATGCCCACAAGAGAAAGCAGGAAAGATCTAAAATTGACACTGTATGCCCTTTTCTATAAAGAGTACATATTGGGCTGGTTGCTGTGTGGAACCCTCAAAATGACCTCTTGGTCTTTCTTGTAAGGACAGAGTTGGACACTGTTCACTTGAGAGACTTCTTTACTAGGGTTGATGCAGCTGTTTCTCTAACTAGACTTGAGGCCTTCACCTGCCTTTTGTAGATAACAAATTAAAAATTAATACAAAACAACCACTAAATGTGGGTGATGTGTGAGTTGGATAGCTGCAGTTGAAATCCCTGCTTCACCTTTATGGGGCTATCTGGTAGTGGATAAATTATTCAATTTCTCTATGCCTCCTCAGCCTCCTGTATCTGTAAAATTTGGAGAGCAACAGGACCTACTTAACAGGGCTGCTATGAGTATTAAATGCATTACTACATAAAAAGTGACGTTTAAAGAATTCATGTATTGGATACAATATATTCAACTCCAGTGATGGACACACTGAAAGCCCAGACTTCAACATTATACAATTCATCCATGTAACCAAGAACCACATGTACCCATAATGCTGTTGAAATTTTAAAAATAAATGCATTTAAAAAAATAAAAAATAAATGAAAATATTTTAAAAAGTAATGTTTAGAGCACCAGAAACAGGATGTACTGATAAACATTAGCCATTATTACCATATCAAATATCAGACCTAGAGAAGTTACACAATAATTCTAATACTTTCCCAATGTATTGATAATGACGTTTTAAAATAGGTCACTCAATCTTATTTGCATGTATAATTCTTCAGGTAAAATTTAAAGTTGGCTTTTCAGAAATGTGACTAAGGAGAAAAAAAACAGGTTCAAGTGATTTTCTGGATGCATCCTTCCAAATACTAAAAGGAAAATTAACATTAATTTTACACAGTTCTTTCAAAAAGTAGAACAAAAGAAGACACTTTCAAAATCTTTTTTTTTTTTTTTTTTTTTTTTTAATAGGGTCTGGCTCAGTCACCCAGGCTGGAGTGCAATGGTGTGATCTTGGCTAACTGCAACCTCCACTCCCATGCTCGAACCATCCTCCCAACTCAGCCTCCTGAGTAGGTGGAACTACAAGCACATGACAACACAAACCCAGATAAATGTTGTGTTTTGGACAGGGTGTTGCTATGTTGCCCAGGCTGGCCTCAAACTTCTGACCTCAAGCAATCCTCCTGCTTTAGCCCCAGAAGGGCTAGGATTATAAGTATGAGCTACTGTGACCCACGAAAAATCTTTTTATAAGGCTTGTATTCATTATCCTAATATCAATATCAAAGACAATGCAAACGAAATAAAATGTAAGATTGTAGCCATGCACAGTGGCTCATGCTTGTAATCTCAGCACTTTGGGAGGTTGCGGCAGGAGATTGCTTGAGGCCAGGAATTTGAGACCAGCCTTTCTTCTTGCATTGCAAAGATTCTTGCATTGCTGTTCAGTAGTGCATGGTGAAATCACATCTCTACCAAAATTAGCTGGATGGTGGTGGCATGTGTTGTCATCCCAGCTACTACTCCAGAAGCTGAGTTGCGGGGATGGTTGGAGCCTGGGATGTGGAGGTTGTCATGAGTCAAGATGGCACCACTATACTCCAGCCTGGGTGACACAGTGAAAATATGACTTAAAAATAAACAAATAACATAAAATAATGCAAAAAAAGAAAGTAAGTATGAAATTACAGATCAATATGTCTCTTGAAATAAGACACAAATCTCCTCAACAAAATGGTAACATAAGAATGGTTTGGACATTATGACTTTGGAGTAATCATTTTAAAATTAAAATCTCTAAAAGCCATACTATCTTCCTGCTGTGAGGGTGGCTAGCCAATCAATGAAGATTCAGGCCTTCAGCCCATTACAATGAACACATACAACAGGAAGGAGAGATGAATCTTTATATTTTCATTTACCAGACTTTGAGGATACTTGTTATCATGGAAAGACAAATTCACTCTGACTGATAGCCTCTAATTGGGAATGTTTGGGGATGTTGAATTATAGTTAGCTAATGAATTTTTGTATGATTTTATTTTATTTTAAGATTCCTGCATTACTGTTCAGTAGTGCAAACAGGTAGTCATTTTCTTTTCAGTGTGCTCTTTTCTGGTCACTTTTGGTGTGCCATAAGGTCTCACTGGAAGGGCTATCACTGGAGTCATTTCTTACATCATCTGGCAAATAGACTTCAATCTCTGAGATGCAAGAGCAAAGAGATATTGTCAGTTTCTGTCTTGCAGCTTTTTTTCTGTGATTGCCATTTTCTATTTTTCTTATTAATTTCTAGCATACTAAATTGTGAATAGAAATTATGCACCTTTCCTAACCTTTCAAAATTACATAAGGTACTTAAATCCATAGAATAATATATTTTTAAATATTTTAAAAGCTTTCTGTATATTTATTTTTGCTATGGAGACAGTAGATTAAAACAATACGTGAAGTAATCTCTTCCCATCCTTTGTTCTTTCTTGAAAAACTTTGTTGTTTCACTTTTCAGTAAAATTCTTTTTAAAAGTCTTAATTTTTACAGATGATTTGGTTAGTCAAATTTGAAAAATAATGTGGTCTTGGGAATAATTGGACTAAAACCACCAAAATATTTCTTATTGAATAAAGTACATACCTACTTAGAAAAAATATTTGACTCAAAGACAATACAGACATGCTGAGGGAATGATTATTAAAGAAATTTTAAAATAAAATGACAAATCTAGGGAATAAAAAGAAAGAGGTGTTCATCCGGTATTTGATTTACTGACTAAATTTGAGAATCTCTCCCTTTCCTTTTCTACTTTTTTTTTTTTTTTTTTTTTGAGACAGAATCTCACTCTGTTGCCAGGCTGGAGTTCAGTGGTGTACTCTCAGCTCACTGCAACAGCCACCTCCCACGTTCAAGCAGTTCTCTTGCCTCAGCTGAGTAGCTGGGATTACAAGTGACTGCTACCAAGCCCGGCTAATTTTTGCATTTTAAGCAGAGATGGGATTTTACCATGTTGGCCAGGCTGGTCCGGAACTCCTGACCCCAGGTGATCCATCCACCTCAGCCTGCCAAAGTGCTGGGATTACAGGTGTGGGCCACCGTGTATGGCTTCTACTATTTTTCTTTATTCAATGATCAACCACAAACACACGGATGCATCAAAATACATGAAGCAGATTTGAATGATCGAGTGAACATTTTCTGCTATTATTGATAATGTGTTGTCTTATAATGAGAAATTTCTATAGCAGTTTAAAACTAAGTAAAAACTTACACAATACCAAATTAACTAGTTAGAAAACAGCTGGGTGGAGAGCTTTGCCTAACACTTTAATGTAATTATGAATCTTTCTATCCACATTGATATGAATGAGAATTTAGCCTTGGTGTGATATAAAGACTGCTTTAACATATTTCAATTTACCCTTCTTTAGTACCTGTCATATCTCTCCAATCTGAATTGAAAATTAAATTTACTAATCTGAACTTTGTGCTAATATTTAAAAATCCTGCTTTTATTAAATGTCAGCTATTAGTCATCCATGAAATTATATTTTTTTAATTCCTTTATGGAAGATGAGTTACTGGAGCAAGAAACTAATCAACATTATAAATTCAGATAATCTTGGTTGGGGAAAGACTGTGAATACACTTTACTGTAAGAAAGCTCCTTATTGCTGCACAGTTTTGTTTATACATGTGTGTGTGAAGGTAATAATGAGTATTTTCAAGTAGAACCAAATAAGGAAAAATGAGGTTTATATATTTTGTCTCAATTTCTCTCTCTCTCTCGCTCTCTGTTTGTGTATGTGTATGTGAGGGAGAGAGAGACAGAGAAGGACAGGGAAAGAGACAGAAGGAGTCTGTTTTTGTCTCCACTAAATACATAGAAAATGTATGCAAATTGTCATTTGCATACATTGCAATGACATGTTTTAAATCCTATGAAATATGCATTTAATTAAAAAATGAGAATGATGTGAGTCATCAAATTTTTCCAGTTAATTTTATGAGTGAATTACTCATTACATTTTAAAAAAGTCATTAAAATAATCTGTGAAAGTGAAAATTTAAAACAAGGCGTTCAGTTTTGCATTTGTTTTCTTGTTAGATATTATGATGAATATATGAATCACAGGATGGTTGCCATGAGAAACTGTCTTTTATGAGTAAGAAAACACATATCCTGTTAATTAGAAAGACATTCTATCACATCATTGTAGGAGGAAATCCAAATAACTTGGTAAGAATCAAAGCTTAAGCAACAGGTGTTATAGGACCAATAGGTTAATGTGCCCGCTGTACAGTACCTGCTCAGTTACACTGAGACAGCAGGGTTTGCAGCAGAGAAAATTTTGTGATTGCAGTGCACTGAGCAAGGAGATGGGAGAGTTCTAGGATGGGGTTTTTAAGGAGATCATGGAGCATAAGGGACTGGAACTTTGGGTTCAGTGATTGGTTGGGGTAATGAGGAGGAAGTCATCAGGATATAGAAACTGCATTCTTTGGAGAGTCAGATCCTCGTGGGATCCTTCAGACAAGCTGAGGCAGTAGTTTGATTGATATGCAGGAACTGAAAGAAGATCTCAAACGGAAAGCGTAATGTTTCATAATGTCCCTTTGGTTATCTGTAGAGCAGTTAAGGGGGACTATAACCTTGTGACAGGGTCTGTGTGTTTCTGGGGCAATAGACACTGTACCAGTATGAGGAAGGAGGTCAGAGAGGAAGCTGCAAGCTTGGTTTATTTTTCAGGGATGGTCTCACAGGCTTAGAATTCAATCAGCCATGTAGAGCATAACATGTAAATTTCAAATAACCTTTTATTTTTCTAGCAAACTGTGGGATATGAGTCAAATTGCCTGTTTAGGAATGCCAGATTTCTTATCATGCTGTGTGCTTCAAAATGATAAGAAAAGATAATTAATTGGTATTGATTACTCCTTGTCCCATAAATACAAGTACTGAGGGATGGTTGCTGTCATTACATTTATATAGTGAGATTCCCATTAGTTGTTTCCATTATACTAACCACTATGGCTGAAATGATTAACTCATAGCCTCAATATTTCCAGTTATCATACTTTTCTACTAATCATCTCTTTAATTAACCAGATAGTAACGGTCACATTACATAAAACATATGACTTACTCTTCCGTATTATGACATATCAGCCAGTAAGAGGTGTACATTTATTATCCATCCTGTATCACACATTTAATTATAAACATGTGCTTTTTGTCATCCCTGATGAGTATTGGCTAGTAACTCATGATGATTTTTTATCATATTTAAGCAGTGTTAAATGTGTACAATGTTAGGATATTCAAGGGCTCAAATAATTTTTGAATAATTTTTCGATTGCTATTGAATTCTGCTATTGGCAGACATCATTTATATCAATATCTTCTTTCAGATATTTTAGTTACATGTTTAAAAGCTGTACTGGAATATCAGCATAGAAAAATTCTCCACATAAGAGAGCAATTCAGGTTCTATGAGATGTTATATTTAAAAATATATCTTTATTCTATGCAGGATTTCATAATGCATGTATTGTAGATTTCTTATAGCCTAGCAATAATGATATTTAAGAGAAGTCACAGAAAGAGTCATGTTAAGGGCAAAAGCCACAACAAAACAGATTATACCTAGTAATAAAACTAAAGCTATGATTGTATATGTGCTAACAAAAGATGCCTCTTCTATGGCTGAATCACTTTTGAAAGTATATGCTTTTCTTTACTTAAAACATATGCACACTTTTAAGAAAACATCTTTGACTGTGTATTCACCTATTTAAGTGTCATGTTTTTATTATTATAGACTGAAAATATCTAAGTGAAATGCTCTGGATTAATCGCACACATTTTAGTTGGATAAATTAATTTCTGTTACCTATAAACTACTTCCACATTTTACTTTTTAACACCTACTTTAACCTTTACAACCACATTAGCCTCTGCATTATTACCATTGGTGCACACCTGGATAAGACTCCAGAATCTGTAAATTAATTTCTGGAATATGTAAAATAGCATTCACATGTTCATTTTCTCTTGCCATCAGATCTTTTAAGTTGCTACAATGTTTAATATTGATTTGCCTTTTTCAAACCTAAGAAAAGATTTTAGATGTTGGCAATAACATTGCTTTGTAATGTCTTCTTTTCTGAGACAGGGTCTTACTCTATCACCCAGGCTGGAGTGCAATGTCACGATCATGGCTCTTTGCAGCCTTGAACTCCAGGGCTCCAATTGATACTCCCACTTAAGCCTGCCGAGTAGCTGGGACTACAGGCATGTGCCACCATGTCTCTCTAATTTTTATTTTTATTCTTTATACAGATGAGGTCTCACTTTGTTGCCAAGGCTGGTCTTGATCTCTTGGCGTCAAATGAAGCTGCTGCTTCAGCCTCCCAAAATACTGGGATTACAGCATAAGCCACCACACCTGGCCTTTGCTTTGTATTTTTAATATGTTCCATGTCTGAGTTGACTTTGTGGGGGTTCTTCAATATGCTATCAGTACTGAACCTTTGTGGGTCAAAAACTGTTTTAAAATGTAGGTTTTATTATTACTGAGATATGGCAAGTCCAAGAGATCAAGAGATAACTGCTATAAACAGTTTGTGCTCACAGTTCCTATGGGTTGAAGGCTTGCCACACCATGGAGGGCCACATAGGAGAGCACCACCAGCATTGATCAGGAGTCAGGATGGGTGTGGTCAAAAAAGGTATGGCATGGTAAGAATTTTGAATTGCATTTTTCACATAAATGAATGGGTGAGGCAAGGTAAGCAGGTTTAGGATTGGCTGGTTTGAATAACTTCAGTAGAATCCAGTGTGAAGGGGCTTCCCCTAGATGTCTCATACCTGGTCCTGGGATGATGAGGACAGTGAAATAGAAATGTGGAGTATGAGAGACCAGTAAAGGAGGTGGTTAGGGTGTGGCCTCTGGACTGGTTGGTTTGCATATAAAAGGCAAACATGCACTTGGTTCTTTACGATGTTTAGGAACTGGCTAATTCTAGGAGGTATAGCTCCCTCAAGGTCAGCAAAACTCCAAAATGTCAAAGTGTTAGAATTAAATTCATGCTTAAAACAAAAACATCTGCCCTAAACATCTTTCCACAGTGTATTCCTTTTAAGATCATTTCCATTTGCTTCTTGGGTTGTATTTAAGACTGTAGTTATACAGATACCTATTATTTCTTTAATAGTCCATGTTTTCTCAGCAGGAGGAATCTCTTTCCACCTTTTATTTCCTCAGTCCACTTCTGATCTGGCAGCAACCAAAGTGAACAACTTCAAGTGATCTCTGACTCATCTTTAATCCATGGCATTATACTTCAAGAAAACACTGGGAATCTTTCTGCATTCTGGCCCAAGTTCTTCCATTCCATGTGAGCTCATGGGGTCTTTGAAAACAGCTGAGAAGTTGAAGAGAGAGAGTCACAATCCCTTAGGATAAGTGCCCATACACGGTGGGCAAGATTCAATTTTCTTATGATATCCCACATCTCTCAGAAGCAGCTGGCATCATCACAAAAATAAAATGTGTCCACTACAGCATCAGTTAATATGTTTGCCCTAGGATAAAATCCTGCAGGGATGGGACACCAACTTTCAAGACACATTTTATGCAGCTAAACAACGACCTGTATATGATGCTCTGTCATCAATAACTAGTGGTACACAGGTATCCAGGAACTAATGTGTGATAGTAGGTGTGTCCTCTTTTCTCACAATTTTGAGTTACCCTTTTGCAGAACTTGGGGCTTCCTTGTATGCAACTGGCCCGTCTGCAACATGGCAGTCCTGGTTCCAAGGCATCAAGATACAGCCAAGGGTTGCTCTCAATCTGAATGTACTCTTATCACTTATCACCTTAGGCTCTTCATGGCAGTGGGCCAGAAGCAAATAAATGAGATATTATATTGATAGAAGTTTATCCTTAAGTGTTAGAAATGATGGATTATAATGGGGCAAGGAAGAGCATGTCTGGAACTTGGGACATTTACTAGGCTGTGGTCCAATAAAGCAAGGCAATGAAAGGGACATGCCTTGTCTCAGATGAGACTATAGACTTTGAGCATTTGAGTTAATGCTGGAGTGGGCAAGTTTGGGGGACTATTTGGAAGACCTCATTGTATTTTGCAATGTGAGAAGAACATGAGATTTGTGAGAGGTCAGGGTAAAATGATATAGTTTGGTTATTTGTCTCTGCCAAATCTCATGTTCAATTGTAATCCACAATGTTGGAGGTGAGGCCTGGTGGGAGGGGTTTGTGTCACAGGGGGTGGATCTCTCATGGCTTGGTGCTATCTTTGCAATAGTTCATGTATTCGCATGATATCTGGTCAGTTAGAAGTTTGTGGCACCTCACCCTTGATCTCTTTCTTGTTCTATTCTTGCCATGTGCCGTGTCTGCTCCCTTCTGCCTTCTGTCATGATTAGAAGCTTCCTGAGGCCTTTCCAGAAGCAGATGCTGCTCTGCTTCCTGTACAGCCTGCACAACCCTGAGCCAATTAAACCTCATTCATTATAAATTGCCCAGTCTCAGATATTTGTTTATAGCAGTGCAAGAATGGCCTAAAACACTGATATTTCTGTGGAAGAGCTGTGAAGATGTATATCACTATTGTTTCCAATCCAAATACCAACTTAGATATATTTATTTCTCTATTAAACAAAAATAATTATTGCCTTCTATCCACTATTTGTGTAGATATCTGACAGTATCTTCTGATATTTAAGGCTCATAATATATAGAATAGCAGCTTATAACATGATTGTGTAAAATTAAACTTTCCAAGCTATAAAACTACTCACCAGTCATTTAGGGAGAAGTGGCCTTTTCATTTCATTTATGTAATTATTTATTTATTTATTTATTATTGCCTTGGCAGAAACAAAATATCCTTTTTTTATTTCTTTTGTAGGAACGAAACTGCCATCATCTTTGGAATTTGCATGTTCTTGCTCCTTGAGGCTATTTTTGGATTTTATACCCCACAAATTCAAAGACTTATTATCTTATGAAAAGTGAAACCAAAAGGAAAACATATTGATTTTCAAAAGGTGTGAATGTAATTTCTCTCTGGCTTCTCTTCTTTGTTTAATGCTTTTGTATTTGAATGGTAGAATGTATACTTTTAGTGTGGAGGATGCTTGTTTAATGATATTTACACATGTGAAATGCCTGCCACCGTATTGATGTATTTTATTAAAACAAGAGCTCTATTAGAGAATATAAATTTTTCTTTAAAATTTAGACTGGTACATAGAGGAAATATTAAAATGCAAATTTCAGTTTGGTATTTTGTTCCTATTTACCTTTTCTTTTTTTTTTTTTTTTTTGAGATGGAGTCTCGCACTGTTGCCCAAGCTGCAGTGCAGTGGCATGATTTCCACTAACTGCAACCTCCGCTTCCCAGGTTCGAGAGATTCTCCTACCTCCCAGCTAATTTTTTGTATTTTTAGTAGTGACAGGGTTTCAATACATTGGCCAGACTGGTCTTGAACTCCTGACCTCTTGATCCACCAACCTCAGCCTCCCTAAGTACTGGGATTACAGATGTGAGCCACCACACCTGGCCCCCATTTAGTTTGTTTTTAAAAACCTCTGAAGACTTTCAAAGACCCTTCTGAATTGGTTAGGATAAACCATAATAAATAAATCTAATTTCAGATTCTAGACCTCTTTTCCCTATTAAGTTACTGATTTCAGGAAAACTACCCTGATTTTTCTCCTCCAGCATTGATAACTCTTCTATTGCTTCCTCATTTTCATTGTTTACTTCCAACCTCCCATTTCCTGACCCAATATTCAAAAAATAAAATGACATAGCTCTGATTTTTTTACAATGCTTATTACAAACATCGTAGACATTAAAAGTAGAAATATTCATGGTTTTGTCATTGGATTCACTTGGGATCAGTGTTCTAAATGTTGTTTTCTTCACTTTGTATCAAATCCAACTTCAATTTCTATGGGAAGACTTGCTTTATCACTCATATAGCATTTCCCTTCTCTCTTGCTGCATCTTATCTTTATCCCAGGACTAAACATGGAATATGATTTACTGAAAAAGTTCACAAATTCAGAAGTTATCATAGAGAAACAGGTAAGGGTTTGAGAATAGGGTATGTGTTTTTATTACAATAGAATTGGCTCACCCTTCAATGGCTATTGGTTGTGTTAATGCTGGAGGGGTTACCGAATCAGAATGCTTAAAAACGCTAAATATGGAAGGCTAGTAGACTGTAACTGAGAGCTGGCATTGTATCATGGGGTGGGATGGTGAGGGGATGCTTGACAACCAAATGTTGTTGGAATAGTCAAACTTTCATTACTGGAATTGTGCTGCTTAAGAACAGGGAAACAAAACCATTCCTCCAATGCATGAAGAAAAACATCTAACTTATTGAATTTATATTTTTCAGAAGCAGAGAGAAATGTTCCTAGTGTTATGAGCCCTCTTCAGGTTGCTTTGTGTTTGTGCTGTCTCACCATTTTCTGATCAACATTAATCGATATATGCCTTTTGTGTATTTTCTCAAATCTTGAAAGAAAAATTCAAGTCTCCAACATTTCTTTCTTTGTAGCTTTTCTCATTCCTTAAATGAATAAATGTGCATCTTGATCTTAGTCAAGTCCTAATGGATTGTGTATTTTCTACAAAGCGGAATTTTAAACATGCCATCCTCATAAATGCTGAAGGGTAAAATTAAAATTTCTGCTGTATCGAACATAGACCTTTTAACGTCCCCAAAAATGTAAATATCACTCTTGGGCTAAATTAATAAGCTATTTAAATCCCTGCAGAAACTTATTTCTGTATATTCAATATCAAAAGCACAAAATTGCAGTTTTGGGCTGAAGAGGCTAACACAAATGACATAGCAGGTGCCTGTGTTCTGTGTGGGGAATTCTAGATCTCAAATTAACTTTGTATATCAAGGAAGAGCCAAAAAGGAAAAGAAATGTAATTAAAAGGAACCAATGTAATTTTAAATATTTTAGTAGAAAAAATTTAAAGTTAACCTCATGAAGACATTTTGCCATCACTGGAGAGAAGATGATGTTTCTTTTTGTTTGTTTGTTTGTTGTCTGCATTGGATTCCTGAATTTTTCTGCCATCCTACCAAGAAGAGTGCAACTTTCTATGTTCTTGCTATTTGCAAAAATTTCAAGTCTTAGTGTCTTCATGTTTCTCTCTTTCTTGCTATTGCTAAAGCTTTAAAATCATTGTCTATGTTGCAAGTTGAATTGTGTCACCCAAAAAGGTTTGTTGATACCCTCCATCTTGAACAACTGTTGCTGTGACTTTATTTGGAAATCAGAATGCTTAAAAACATTAAATTTGAAAGACTAGTGAACTGTAGCTGAGAGCTGGCATTGTATCATGGGGTGGGATACTGAGGGAATGCTTAACTTCCCTATGTTGTTTCAATAGTCAAACTTTCATATCCAGAATCATGCTACTTAAAAAGAACAAGGAAACAAAACCATTCCTCCAATGAATGCTTGGAAATAGGATCTCTTTAAATAAGTAATTAAGATGAAAGTTAAGAGGAGGTCATGCTGGAGTGAACTTCAGCCTTAATCCACCATGACTGGTATCTTTGTTAACAGGAGAAGATAAAACTGACATTACAAAATTATAACTGCGAGAGTGAAAGACATCTGACTTAACCAGCTCCGTTTTGCTTGTAACTTCTAAACTCTCCTTGTGCATTCCTGGGTGTAGGCTGAAATAACTTTGGGAGGAATTTAGTTTATAGTTTAAGACAAAGAAGATAATAATCCTTTCCCAGAACAAACCTCCTACTTTCCTGGGGATTAGACTACCTTTGAACAACTAACAAATTAGCCACAAGATTAGAAATTATGGCATAGGATTCATGCAGCTGGAGGCTACAAGATTCTGACCCTCCTTAATCTGCTCCTAAGATCAGTGATACAGATATTTTGTAGACCCTGCACTTGATGAATTAGCTAGAACCACCCAGATTGATAGACTGGCTCATCTGCTCTTCTGTCCCCCACCCAGGAACAGACTCAGTGCAAGAGGACAGCTTCAGTTCCCTACTGTTTCATCTCTGACCCCACCAGTCAGCACTCTAAACTTACTGGCCTTCCCCCACACACCAGATTATCCTTAAAAGCTCAGATCCCCAAATGCTCACAAAGACTGATTTGAGTAATAATAAAATTCCAGTCTCCCACACAGCTGGATCTGCATGAATTACTCTTTATTGCAAGTCCCCTGTCTTGAGAAACTTGTTCTAGCTAGGCAGTGGGCAAGGTGAACCAACTGAGTGGTTACAAAGAGACACAAAGACAGACACACAATTAAAAGACTGTTATGTTAAAAGACAGACACACAGAGACAACATCATAAAAAGGCTAGAGAGAAGCAACTGTAAGCCAAGGAACACTAAAGACTGCAAGAATCCCAAGAAATCAGGAGCAGGGAATGGAATAGATTCTACCCATATTCTCAGAAAGAGTGAGTCCCTGCCAACACCTGAAATTCAGACTTCTGGATTCCAGAACTGTGAGCGAATTCATGTCTGTTGTTCCCAGCTATCCACAGTCCCAGGAATCTAATTCAGTCATTATTTGTGTGTTTTTTCTCCCACATTTCTGTGTCATATGGTTGAATCTTTGTCAATTGTCATTTTTTGATTCATAATCTATCTGGCTACTTTTCTTTTATCCACTTCTGATTTGTTTTCCCTGTATCCTCCCTAACTGTCAAGACACTGAATCAATTGGGAAGAGGGAGAAGAGCATGAAGAACACTGTGGTTTTCTCCCCTCATGATTCATTGCTGGAGAGGACATGGATCTATACCCTTCTTTCCTTCCTGTGGGGTAGTTGAGTGGATTCCACAGGAAAAAATATATACTTCCTTTTTTTTTTTTTTTTTTTGAGTCAGAGTCTTGCTCTCTCACCCAGGCTGGAGTACAGTGGCATGCTCTCCATTCACTGCAACTTCTGTGTCCTGGGTTCAAGTGATTCTCATGCCTCAGTCTCCAAAGTAGTTGGGAATATAGGCATGTGCCACCACTCCTGGTTAATTTTTGTGTTTTAGTACAGGTGGGGTTTCATTATGTTGGTGTGGCTGGTCTTGAACTCCTGAACTCAAGTGATCCACTTGCCTCAGCTTCCCAAAGTGCTTGGATTATAGGCATGAGCCACCATGCCAAACCTGAGAAAATACATTCTAATAGATAAAGCAACACTCAAAACCAATTTTCCTGTTCTTGTTAGCAACATTATGTCTCACTTTCCTATCCTATCTCCTCAGAATTGAGAAACATACTTCTCTATTTTATTATGGTCTTATACAAATTATGACCATGATTTTCATCTTAGAGAGCCTAAGAAATGCTTTTATTTTCATGTTTTGGAGACACCTACAAACTTGATGGTGACATATGATGATTAAGATATTACATTTAGTTTTAGATACTATCATATCCACGTACTCTGAAATTTATAAAGAAAAGTTGCTTTTCATTTCACCTAGTCTACTGAGAAAACAATATTCCTTTCTGTACCTAAGTCAATGAAGAGGTAAGTATAATATCTGCACCATATCCTCAACACTGTATTTGGTCTATATTTCAAATGAACTAGTTCATTTTCTTCCCAGGTCTAAGTGAGACAAACTTCTATACATTTTGAGACATTAACACAAATCCAGAAGTTTATCCCATTAAAAATCTTGTTAAAAACATAAAAGAGAGGGAAACAAAAAATTAATAAGGCACAAAATTTAGATTGAAAATAAAACAAAGACAGATGGTGATACCAGAATTACAAATTAAGCCAAACACTTTCCAAAACCTCTGTTGGCTTTGGAGTTTAGATCTATTGTTTCCAGTCATAGCAGAAAAGCCTATTGTATCTAAAAGCTTAGGATCCTGTTGAAAGAAAGTGTAAATCTACCAAGCATAATGTTTACTTTAGGAAATTCTATTTTATTTGGTATGAGAATATATATGTACACCAACATTCACACACAAGAGAATAAAAAAGTGTCAAATTAAAAAAATGAATCCACAATACACTTGTTAGCCTGGGTGACACAGAGAGACTCTGTCTCAAAAAAAAAAAAAAAAAAAAATACAAGGGTCGAATAGCCCAAATCTGAAAATCTAAAATCCAAAACTTGAGTGTCAACATAACACTCAAAGAAAACGCCTATTGGAGTATTTTGGATTACTGGGTTAGGTATGTTCAACTGTAAGTATAATGCAAATATTCCAAAATCTGAAAAAAAAAAAATCCAAAAAAACTTCTGGTTCCAAGCATTTTGCGTAAGGGATATTCAATCTCTGTGTGTGTGTGTGTGTTTGTGTGTGTGTGTGTCTGTGTATGTGTGTGTATATATATTACATGTCAGCTGTCCCCAACTGTTTTGGCACAAGGGACCAGTTTCATGAAAGACGATTTTTCCACAGTCTAGGGGGTGGGGGGTGATTTTGGGATGATTCAAGCACATTGCCTTTATTGTGCATTGTATTCCTATTATTATTACATTGTAATACATAACAAAATAATTATACAACTCACCATAATGTAGAATCAGTGGG
Organism: Homo sapiens; assembly: GCF_000001405.40. NCBI lineage: Eukaryota > Metazoa > Chordata > Mammalia > Primates > Hominidae > Homo > Homo sapiens. The sequence goes on from NC_000024.10 coordinate 15,030,320, forward strand.
AACCCTGAGCTCATTTTCCTGCAACTAGATTTTCCCATCTAAGGGTGATGGGAGACAGTGATAGATCATCAGGTATTAGATTCTTATAATGAGCATGCAACCTAATCCCTCACATGCACAGTTCACAATAGGGTTTGTGCTCCTATGAGAATCTAATGCTACTGCTGATCTGAGAGGAGGCAGAACTCAGTCAGTAACGCAAGTGATGGGGAGTGGATGAATCTTTACTTGCTAGCCCGCTGCTCTCCTCCTGCTATGTGGCCCAGTTCCAATATATGGATATAGGTATATGCATATAGGCAGTGGCACGATCTCCTCTCAATGCAAGCTCCACCTCCTGGGTTCACGCCATTCCCCTGCCTCAGTCTCCAGAGTAGCTGGAATACAGGTGCCCACAACCATACCCGGGTAATTTTTTATTTTTTTGTGTATTTTTAGTAGAGATGGGGATTCATTGTGTTAGCCAGCATGGTAGCGATCTCCTGACATCGTGATCCACCCGCCTTGGCCTCCCAAAGTGCTGGGATTACAGTCATGAGCCACAGTGCCAGGCCATATTGTTTTAAAACACAGTGTGTTCATAGAAATTTTGAGGCCAGCAGCTCTGGAGACAACTGCTAATGAAAAAAATAGCCTCTTAATCATGAGTCCCAAGAATAAAGGGCATACCATGCCATGGGGGGTTTCATAGGAAGCACCAGGTTAGTCAGGAGGCAGAGGAAGATGGGTGTATTGTGGGCAGAGTCTTTAATGTGGTTCCTATGGGAGAAAGGGTAAGGCAGGGTGAGTAGGCTAAGATTTGCTATTTAGGGACATTTCAACAGGCTGTGGGGCACAAGGATCTCCCTCCTAACTGTCTGATAACTGGCCTTTGGGTCATTGAGGCAGGTGAAGAGAACCCAAATTATGAGAGCCTCATAGAGGAGGCAGTTGGAGGTGTAGAGTTTTGACTAGTTGGCTTGTAGATGTTAAAAAAAAAATGTGCTTGCAGACTAGTTCTTCACTGTCTCTAGGAATTGGCTAGCCCTGGGAGTGGCTGTCACTCCAGGGTCAACAGGGCTTAAGATGTCAAAGCATGGGATGACAGAAAATTAAATACATGGTTAATTCTCTCTCTCTTAGCACTATGCCATCTTAAGCTTTAGTTATACAGTATTTTTGCTAGAATGGAACCAAGTGGCCAACTGTGGCAGTGTTTTACATGTTTTACATTTACATAATAAATGTTTTACATTTATTATTTATAATAATAAATGCAGGGCTGCATTGAATAATTGAGTCCTTGAGGTTTCAACTGCAAAATTCTGTCTTCTTTCAACAGGGAGGCATTACTTTAATGTAGTTCAAAATTCTGGCAGATAGATTCTCAGGTAATTACAGCAATATCAAGTGCAATAACATTGACTGTTTTATTGTCCCTGAAGTGTTGGAAGAGGACATCGGGGTCTTCCAGGAGTGGTTTGACCTCTAGAGACTTTCTGGCAAGCACAGTGACACTGAATATCAACAGCAGCAGATGTCTTGAGGGCTTCCATGCTGGGGTTTGAGAAAAATGTATTCTATGGAGAAAGAGGGAAGTCTATGTATATACCCTCAAACAAAAGATCAATGGCAGATGATAGCCAGGGGCAAAGCCCAGCCCAACATCTGGTTTTGTAAATAAAGTTCTGTTGGAATACAGCAATGTTCAAATTTTTTTTTTTTTTTTTTTTTTTTTTTTTTTTTTTGAGACGGAGTCTCGCTCTGTCGCCCAGGCTGGAGTGCAGTGGCGGGATCTCGGCTCACTGCAAGCTCCGCCTCCCGGGTTCACGCCATTCTCCTGCCTCAGCCTCCCAAGTAGCTGGGACTACAGGCGCCCGCCACTACGCCCGGCTAATTTTTTGTATTTTTAGTAGAGACGGGGTTTCACCGTTTTAGCCGGGATGGTCTCGATCTCCTGACCTCGTGATCCGCCCGCCTCAGCCTCCCAAAGTGCTGGGATTACAGGCGTGAGCCACCGCGCCCGGCCGGAATACAGCAATGTTCAAATTTTTACCTGTCGCCTTAAATATACACACACAAGCTATTTTACACGAGACTGGAAACTATATTTTGTATGCATTTTCATTTTTGTTTAAAGGAGGCTTTGTGAACTCAGTGGTTATTGAACTCATTAAGTCCTTTCCGTTCAGCACAGAGATTAAAGGGTAGATTTTTTTTCCATGCTTACTGTAACAGTACTCATAAATATGTCTGCTGAAGCCAGTAACTTCATCAGTTAAAACTTTGGTTTGCTTTAAACATTATCATTTGAGACTTAACATAGATTAATAGGTTAAAAAAAGTACAATTACCATAATAATTAGAGTAACTGTAATAATGCATGCTTTAATCTTTCATGACATTGTCATTGAGTATATCATATTAAAGAAAACCTATTTGGTCTCATTATAGCCCTAAATGATTTTTTCAAATATTTTATAAGAAAAGAGTATATTCTGTCCAAAAGTTTTGTGCGTGAGAGGATAGCAAATGACTTTCAAAGTAGCGACCAAATAAATCAAAAGAAAATGTCCAATAGTACATATATATTCTGGCAAAAACCCAATATGTACATAGAATTCTTGCAACAATCATTAAAATCCATAAATATGTTTTTGAAGAATGTTTACTCTATTTAATTTTCATGTAGTTGTAGGAATTGTATGCATGAAACATGTCTTTTCACTAGCTCTTCTCTGTCATAAATGTTGACTCTGACAATTTGTTTTCCTACAATTTCTAGGTGAGTGCTTCTCAAAATTTAACATGCATGTGAATCATCTAGAGATTTTATCAAACTAGAAGCCCTGCCTGTATTGTTCAGGAGTGAGGTGCATAGAATCTGCATTTCCAATAAACACTGAGGTCAAGCTGACACACATGCAAGGATTTGACCTGCAGTGTCCAATATGGTGGCCATTAGCAACATATGGTCAATTAAATTTAATAAATTGAAATTAAATAAAATATCCAGTCATTTATTTTTAGTAGTGCATGTCAGTTATTAACAGCCAAGAGTGGCTTGTGGTTACTATAATACACAGCTCAGATATACAATATTTTCATAAGTGCTGAAGGTTTTATTGGAAAAGTCTACCCTTTAAGATGAGAGAAGAAAGAGTGAATACTGTTTCTAAAATGAATAGCATATTTATGTTTTTCAATATAGTGACATATTTCCTAAAGTAAAAATACTTTCAAAAGCATTTTTGACTATTATGTAGTGGTTTAAAGAATTAGAGTATATAAAATACATATGAAAGCATAGTTGAACCAAGATATTTTCTTTATCTGACAGCTGATTACTCATTGAATTTTTTAAATAGTCGATTTTGAAGTATTCATCATGTATATGTCTAGAGACTTCATTTGAATCGAGCAAATATGCCTAGAAGATAATCTCTTCATGCAAGGTAAGTAAGTGTGGTGGCATTACCATACTGTGTATTTTATTTCTAAATTTTTCAGTTTAATGCATAGTGAAAAATATTATGCCTATCTTTTTTAGAAAAAAAAAAAGAGTTTTTTTCCTAAAACTCAATAAAGTGTTATCAAGTGAGCCCTGGAAGGCATTTAGTAAACCTTTATAAGCCAGAGTGCTGGAAGAGCAAATCAGTGGGATATTGGTTTCCAGGGTCTAACTTCATATTCCTGAACTAACTTAATTTGTGTGTTTTATAGACTTGATGTTCAAGGCAAAGTATCAGATTTCACAGAAAAAAAAGTGAAGATATCTTCCAGATCTCAACAACCATTCCTCATGCATTTTGAATTAGTGTTAGTCATCTAAAGATGAACAAGCTGCTTTAGGATAAGAGGCTATTGGTAGAGACTCAGAGGTAGGTCCCTGAAGAAGTGTCAGTGTCACTTCAGAATGAAGTAAAATGAAAATGTATTTTCTCTAGTCACCCTCACTCTTTCAGTTTCCTAGATATCTACTCATCCCTTATTCATCAAGTGGTATCTTTTAGGAGAACTTCAACGATCTTCCTCTTTTGCAAGATCCATCTCATTGGGCATAAGGAAGGAGATGCAATGTTGGGAAACAAAGCATTGCAGTGGCTCACCTCTGTAATCCCAGTATTTTGGGAGGATGAGGTGGAAGGATCCCTTAAGGCCAGCAGTTTGAGACCAGCCTGGGCATCATGGCAAGACCCTGTCTCTACCAAAAATAAAAAACAATTAGCTGGGCATAGTGGTGTATGCATATGGCTCCAGCTACTTAGGAGGATGAAGCAGAAGGAACACTTCAGCCTGTGAGATCAGGGCTATGTTGAGCTTGAACACACCACTGCCCTCCAGCCTGGGTGACAGAGCAAGAGCCTGCCTCAAAAAAAAAAAATAAATAAATATATAAATAAAAAAAATAAAGCATATGGATGTTTCCCTGAGAAGTGCCTTTCTGTTAAATCAAGAGTTGATTGTAGGAAGGATGTCTTGTTCCTCCAAATATGATCAATTATTATAATCTAGTTCAAAATGAAGACAACATTTTTAAGAAATGCTAACAAAATATTTATTTTGAACTGTTAGCATATTGAAATTTTTATTTCCTCACAATTTCAGTAAACAGACATTTTAAAAATTCTGACTTTTTTCTATCTAACTTTGTATTTATACTTTTTTGCACACATTATATGCCTTTTACATGCTCTACTCTATGTAATTCATCATTCCTTTTGTGTATTAGAAAACTTATTAACATCTGTTCATCATTTTTCTCCATTATAGATTCAGTTAAATGTTTTTTTGAAAACACTTGTCTAAACTTTAATTGTAATATTTTTTCTGTTTGTTTTTGAGACAGGGTCTCTCTCTGTCACTCAGGCTGGAATGAAGTGGAGTGATCACAGTTCAGAGCAATCTCTGCCTCCCAGGCTCAAGCAATCCTCCCATCTCAGCCTCCCAATTAGCTGGGACTACAGGCATGCACCACCTTAGCTGGCTGATTTTTTGTTTGTTTGTTTGTTTGTTTGTATTTTTAGTAAAGAGGGAATTTTATCATGTTTCCCAGGCTACTCTCAAACTCCTGAACTCAAGAGATCCACCCACTATGGCCTCCCAAAGTGCTGAGATTAAAGGCATGAGTCATCACACATGGCCTAATTGTAGTGTATCATAGAAATGTTAAAATATGGTTGTCTGTTAATCCCTCTTCCTCCCTTTCTTTTCCCTTTCTTTCTTTCTTTTTCTCTTTCTTTCTTTTTTCTTTCTTTCTTTCTTTTTCTTTCTTTCTTTTTCTTTCTTTTTTTCTTTCTTTCTCTTTCTTTCTCTTTCCTTCTTTTCTTTCTTTCTTTCTTTCTCTTTCTTTCTTTCTTTCCTTCTTTCTTTCTTTCTCTTTCTCTCTTTCTTTCTTTTTCTTTCTTTATATTTTTCTCTCCCTTTCATGTAAATAGTCTTAGAAATATTGTTTGTAATGCATGTAAATAGTCTTAGAAATATTGTTTGTAATGCATGTGACTTGCCAATATTCTCAGTGGTGATTGTTAAAAATGGTGGCGTGCATGTTAAAGAGTCTTACCAAGGGAATTTTGTGAAACTAAACTTTGAAATTCTCTATCTCCTTGTAAAGTTTACGGACCAGATTTTGACTGAGCAATTGAGTGAGTGTGAATCAGTCACCAGGTAACTTTTCTTTCACTGTATTTTACTTGGCTCTTTACCATATGAGCTGTTCCCTGGGCTCTTATCTCTGAAGCCAATTGCATGATCAGTGACTAAAAATATAATTTTATATAACTTTGATATTTGGAGACCATTTATTTACCAGTTTTCACCCCAAACAATGCTGATTATTTTCCTCTGTGAATTCTGAAATTTGCAATTTTTGTTAAAGAAACTGATGTTGAAATCAGAAAATGTATGCAATAAGTTAATCTTGGGCCTCCTTATAAGGAACATTTTTAAATATGTGAATTATCAAATTAAAAAATAAAGCCCAAGATAATGATGTTTTAGAAATGTCCCAAAAACTGGCAACTTGATTTCAGTACAATGAATGATACCTGAATATATGACAATAGGATCTCCTTTATTTCTCTTATCTCAAAGTTTAAATGTCTGCTCCTTTCATTATGAGTCTGATGGCTGACTTATGACTCTGTGCATGTGAAAATTACCATGCTCAGAATGTTTAGTTTTCAGTGACTAGGGCAGGTCATGCAAATAATAGTTCAGCTCAACATCCCAATTATGTCAATATGTTTACTTCTTTAAATTAATTACTTAAGGTTGCATCTGTTATAAACATAATATTTTAATTTTGTGATCATGAGAAGGGAGGCAGCTTTAATGTACACAAGCAATTTATAGGTTTATTATAATCTTTTCCCCACCTAAAAATGCATGGAATTGGTTAGGTACTTGTGAAGCATTCTAACCATCTGTAAATGAGTGCATACATTGTATATATGATGGCTTTTTATTTGCTTTGGGTTTAATCTTGCTGATAATCCAGCTCAAAGGCAGTTATCTTTTTCCTACATAGTTTCTTTGAAATGGGTGCAGAAAAATCTTTTCACATATGTTCCTAAGTAGCAAATATTCACACACATCATCACGCATTTATTAAGCTTGATATTGTCTACATACAGGTTTCATTTATGTCAATATGGGAAATTGCTCAGACGATTCCAACAGCTGTATAGAGTTCTTACACAGATCAGAAGGTCCGTAATCCATGATATTGAATAGTCTTACGGAGCCATGTTGGGAGAAACTAGTTGAACTTGAGACAAACATTATTCATCAGATTTAAACATGATGGTACAAAAATGGATCTGAAATGCATAAATCCCATTCTGGAGCCAAAAAGAAAAGAATATTTCAAATAGAAAATGGAGGAGAGAAGGTAGGATGTGAATTTGCTTTGCCTACATCTCCTTCTCAAGATACTGGCTTTAAAACCAGTGAGCCACTCTGAATCTTTGAAAGGAAAAGTCTAAGTTCCAGCACACTGAGATTGGCTGTTATAGATGTGTTTCTGATTTTGAGACTTTCCCATTTTAGGGAACCCTTAGATTAAGATGGGGGGAATCACTAAATGATTATTCTCACCTCCACTGTATACTGACTGCTCCTTAAGAAAGTGTCATTAGACTCCTAGGAGAAATCTTGTAGGGGAAAAGATGTTTCCTTCAATCTCATAGCATCAACTCTCTCATTTTTGAGAAACAAACCTGGGCTTAGATTAAGATTATGCCAAATTATAGGATTCAAGAAAAAGCTTATCATGCTCAACTATTGAATGACAGTATGTGACAGCCAACCAATTAAAGGTAATTTAGGAGAATAAAATATTTGGAGAGCTCTGGAGTAAGGACAGTCATTCCATTTATTAAATGGACGCATTTAATAAAAATGACCATAAGCCTGAAGTGACTAGGGTGGGGAAATGTCCTTGGTGAGAATAGAGTGAAGCATGAGCCATGCAACATGCTGGGATAGATGGTGCTGATGGAACATTTTGAGGAGACCTAAGCTGTTGGTGGAGGTGATAGGAGACCCAGGATAGCAGAAAGTATGGGATTTTGAACACACAGAAATGGTCCTGGTATGGTTTGACTGTGTCTCCACCCAAATCTCATCTTGAATTCTAGCTCCCATAATTCCCACGTGTTGTGGGAGGGACCCAGTGGGAGGCAACTGGATCTTGGGGGCAGGTCTTTCCCATGCCATTCTCATGATAATGAATATGTATCACAAGATCTGATGGTCTTATAAAGGGGAGTTCTCATACACAGATTCTCTCTTGCCTGCTTCCAGGTAAGATGTGACTTTGCTCCTTATTTGCCTTCTGCTGCAATTATGAGGCTTCCCCAGCTATGTAGAGTTGTGAGTCAATTAAATCCCTTTCCTTTATAAATTATCCTGTCTCAGGTATGTCCTTATTAGCAGCATAAGAACAGAATAATACCAAAGGTCTGTTCTGACTAGTAGAGAAAATTGACATAGCATCACAGAATGGTCCCAGACAGAGCTAGCAGTGTGTGTTTGCACCAAGAGCAGTACAAGCTACTCTTGGTAAGCTTCACGGGGACTGCTACCAGCCTAAATCCAAAAATCACAGTTAATAAGTCTGAGTGGATATAGAAGAGAGATAACAGATTTGTGACTTGTTCAAATAACCACAAGGACATCTGTATCATAAATGAAAAATATAGCTGGATTCCCAGATGCTGACCTCCATGCAGGGAAAGGCTTAGTAGTTCAGGGAATCCCTAATTCCTTCATGGGCTTTGATAGCTTTTCAGGTACTGAGAGGGAAATCCCTAAAATACATGGATCTTATATGCTCTTGTGAAGAATGTTGGTTTCACAAGGCAGAAGGAAAAGAGAGAAAGAGCTAGTAGGAGAGCAACATATGAGGTTGCTTCTTTCTCTTATAGAAAATTTGTGGATATTATTTTCAACTCAGACCTACAATGTGCACCATCATCTTTCCTCATTACCTGCTACAGACCCACCAACCCACTCACTCCCACACACATATTTAAGGAAAAAAAAACAACAGATACTCTGTTGCTCCTAGGTACCTTCTTTCTTATTCAGAAATCCATGTATATTCCTGCATTTTGGAAGAGATCACCAAAGTGACCCAGTATGAATCTATCCATTTATGAGTCATGTTTCCATAACTCAAACAATTCAAAAGTTTTAAAACCCAGAGACTCAAACAATTAAAGCAAAAATATTTTTTTGATTTTCATTTTTTATTTTAGGTTCCAGGGTCCATGTGCAGGTTTGTTACATGAGTTTATTGTGTGATGATGAGGTTTGGGGTCCAAATGATCCCGCTGCCCAGGTGTTGAGCGTAGTAACCAAAAGAAAGTTTTTCAACCCCTGCTCTCCTCCCTCTTTCCCCCTCCAGTTGTTCCTACCTTCATGTTATGGGTACCCAATGTCTAGCTCCCACTTATAAGTGAGACCATGTGGTATTTGCTTTTCTGTTCTTGCATTAATTCTCATAAGATAATGGCCTCCAGGTGCACCCATGTTGTTGCAAAGGACATGATTTCATTCTTTTTTTATGGCTGCCTAGTATTCCATGGTGTCCATGTACCACATTTTCTTATCCAGTCTACCGTTGATGGGTACCTAAGTTGATTCCATGTCTTTGCTATTGTGAGTATTGCTGTGATGAACATGCAAGTGAATGTGTCTTTTTGATAGAATAAGACACATTCTTTTTTTTTATTTTGTGTGTGTACCCAGTAATGGGATTACAGAGTCAAATGGTAGTTCTGTTTAAGTTTTTTGAGAAATTTCCAAACTGCTTTCTGCAGTGGCTGAGCTACTTTACATTCCCACCAGTAGGGTGTAAGTGTTCCCTGTTCTCTAAATCCTCACCAACATCTGTGGTTTTTAGACTTTCTAGTAATACCTGTTATGACTGGTGTGAGATGAATTCTTTTTTTAAAAGTATCTTTTCTCTTTCAAGTGCGAGATAGAAATTAACAGCAAATGCATATATACTTGGACAAAATAAGCCATGGGAAGAACTTGTCACACTTGGTTATTTCCTGCTAGAATAAGTAGAATTTCTAAGCTAATTTGTGAAAGACATCAAGAAAAGACATTCCAACTCCCATTAGCATAACCAGGTTTTATAAAATCAATATTTTATTGTTAAATGTTGCTTTATTAGCTGCATTTCTTCCTAATTGCATACATTTAGAAATTTAGTTTAATTTGGCTCATCCAGAGGTTTTGTTAGTCTTTGCTTGGATGTGTTTGTTTATTTTAGCTATAACAATAATATAATCTCATAATAGAAAATTTAAAAACAAACTTACTTTGCAAATATTTTTATCTAGCTGACTATCACATATCTTTTTAGGGTTTTAAGTTGTGCAACTTAAATATGCTTCACTTTTCAATACTGTATTTTCCCTCAATATACAACACTTCCCACATTTACAGATGTGCATTCCTCTTATCATTTCCATCGCTAGCCCATGAATTGTTTCTAACAGTAGGTAAGAATTAGACTATGTGCAATATTTTGACATGAACACATTTTTGCTACAAATTGTTCAGTATTTCAGAAGGAATACTTACTATGTCTACTCAGTAATGCAATTGTCAGATTAAAGGGTGTGAATAGTTTCTTGGCTTTTCCTTCAAATTTACAAACTGTTTTTGTCAAATCTGCACTAGTTTACTAGTTCCCAAATATGGCAGGAAGAGTTACCCAGTCCTCATGTCGGCAGAAATAATGAAATCTTCATGCAATTAATAGAAGAAATGGGGGAACATGGTTAAGTCTCAATGATTGTCCACTTGATGAACACTATTGCTTATTAATACATAAGTTACTGTCTTGATATCTTAGTATTTTTTTCCAACAGAACTTCAAGGTGCTATTTATAAGATAACTTTATAACTTACTTTTTTTATAGTGTTATCCTTCCAACCTCCTATTTATTCTGTTTTACTTCTCATTTTTAATTGAATTAGAAAATATTTCAGTGTCTAAAACCCTGAAACCCATTCATACTTAATATATATGAATGCATGAACCCATAGTTATTTCAGACCCATGTTTTTTTAAATTATAGATAATATTTACATATTTTTATATGTGGATTCTTACTAATTTGAGAAACATTTAAACATAAAGAGTAAACATTATGGCACATAATAACACAATAGATTGTATTCTGTAAAGTGTGTTCAGCATTCACAAATCAATTAATATGACCCAATATTTTAACATACAAAAAGGTTAATTGAGATATAATTAATAGAGGACCATATTCAAGGCCTTCAAAATAATTAATTTATAGATATACACATATATGTTTATGTGTGTGACAACATCATGATGATAAAGATTATAAACACAGCCATCACCTCCAATTTTTTTCTGTGTTTTTGTCTGCCATGTCTATCAGACTTGAATCCCTTTCCCTAGGCAAACTACAATCTGTTCTCTGTCTCTGTAGATTAGTATGCATTTCCTATAATTTTGTATAAATTGAATCAGACAGTACTTACTCTCCCTCTCTTTCCTTGCAATCTGACATTTTTTCACTGAGCATAATTATTTTAACACTCAACTTTTTGCAGGTATCAATACCTTATTTCTTCTTATTGCTAAGTAGTATTTCTTTTTTTTTATTATAGTTTAGGTTTTAGGGTACATGTGCACAACGTGCAAGTTTTTTACATATGTATACATGTGCCATGTTGGTGTGCCGCACCCATAAACTCCTCATTTAACATTAGGTATATCTCTGAATGCTATCCCTCCCCACTCCCCCCACCGCAAAACAGGCACCTGTGTGTGATGGCTCCTTCCTGTGTCCATGTGTTCTCATTGTTCAATTCCCACCTATGAGGGAGAACATGTGGTGTATGTTTTTTTGTCCTTGTGAGAGTTCACTGAGAATGATGGTTTCCAGCTTCATCCATGTCCCTACAAAGGACATGAACTCATCATTTTTTATGGTTGCGTAGTATTCCATGGTGTATGTGTGCCACATTTTCTTAATCCAGTCTATCATTGTTGGACATTTGGGTTGGTTCCAAGTCTTTGATATTGTGAATAGTGCTGCAATAAACATAGGTGTGCATGTGTCTTTATAGCAGCATGTTTTATAATCCTTGGGGTATATACCCAGTAAGGGGATGGCTGGGTCAAATGGTATTTCTAGTTATAGATCCCTGAGGAATTGCCACACTGACTTCCACAATGGTTGAACTAGTTTACAGTCCCACCAACAGCGTAAAGGTATTCCTATTTCTCCACATCCTCTCCAGCACCTGTTGTTTCCTGACTTTTTAATGACGGCTCTTCTAACTGGTGTGAGATGGTATCTCATTGTTGTTTTGATTTGCATTTCTCTGATCGCCAGTGATTATGAGCATTTTTTCATGTGTCTTTTGGCTGAATAAATGTCTTCTTTTGAGAAGTGTATGTTCATATCCTTCACCCACTTGTTGATGGGGTTGTTTGTTTTTTTTGTAAATTTCTTTGAGTTCTTTATAGATTCTGGATATTAGCCTTTTGTCACATGCGTAGGTTGCAAAAATTTTCTCCCATTCTGTAGGTTGCCTGTTCACTCTGATGGTGGTTTCTTTTGCTGTGCAGAAGCTCTTTTTAGTTTAATTAGATCCCATTTGTCAATTTTGGCTTTTGTTGCCATTGCTTTTGGTGTTTTAGACATGAAGTCCTTGCCCATGCCTATGTCCTGAATGGTATTGCCTAGGTTTTCTTCTAGGGTTTTTATGGTTTTATGTCTAATATTTAAGACTTTAATCCATCTTGAATTAATTTTTGTATAAGGTATAAGGAAGGGATCCAGTTTCAGCTTTCTACATATGGCTAGCCAGTTTTCCCAACACCATTTTTTAAATAGGGAATCCTTTCCCCATTGCTTGTTTTTCTCAGGTTAGTCAAAAATCAGATAGTTGTAGACATGAGGCATTATTTCTGAGGGCTCTGTTCTGTTCCATTTGTCTATATCTCTGTTTTGGTACCAGTACCATGCTGTTTTGGTTACTGTAGGCCTGTAATATAGTTTGAAGGCAGGTAGCCTGATGCCTCCAGCTTTGTTCTTTTGGCTTAGGATTGAGTTGGCAATGAGGGCTCTTTTTTGGTTCAATATGAACTTTAAAGTAGTTTTTTCCAATTCTGTGAAGAAAGTCGTTGGTAGCTTGATGGGGATGGCATTGAATCTATAAATTACCTTGTGCAGCATGGCCATTTTAACAATATTGATTATTCCTAACCATGAGCATAGAATGTTCTTCCATTTCTTTGTATCCTCTTTTATCTCATTGAGCAGTGGTTTGTAGTTCTCCTTCAAGAGGTCCTTCATGTCCCTTGCAAGTTGGATTCCTAGGTATTTTATTCTCTTTGAAACACTTGTGAATGGGAGTTCACTGATGATTTAGCTCTCTGTTTGTCTGTTATTGGTGTATAAGAATGCTTGTGATTTTTGCACATTGATTTTGTATCCTGAGACTTTGCTGAAGTTGCCTATCAGCTTAAGGAAATTTTGGGCTGAGACGATGGGATTTTCTAGATATACAATCATGTCACCTGAAAATGAGACAATTTGACTTCCTCTTTTCCTAATTGAATACCCTTTATTTCCTTCTCCTGCCTGATTGCCCTGGGCATAACTTCCAACATTATGTTGGAGATAGGGCATCCCTATCTTGTGCCTGTCTTGTGATCTCTGAATAGACCAATAACAGGCTCTGAAATTGTGGCAATAATTAATAGCTTACCAACCAAAAAATGTCCAGCACCAGATGGATTCACAGCTGAATTCTACCAGAGGTTCAAGGAGGAGCTGGTACCATTCCTTCTGAAACTATTCCAATCAACAGAAAAAGAGGGAATCCTCCCTAACTCATTTTATGAGGCCAGCATCATCCTGATACCAAAGCCTGTCAGAGACGCAACAAAAAAAGAGAATTTTAGACCAATATCCCTGATGAACATCGATGCAAAAATCCCCAATAAAATACTGGCAAACCAAATCCAGGAGCACATCAAAAAGCTTATCCACCGTGATCAAGTGGACTTCATCCCTGGGATGCAAGGCTGGTTCAACATATGCAAACCAATAAATGTAATCCAGCATATAAACAGAACCAATGTCAAAAACCACCTTATTATCTCAATAGATGCAAAAAAGTCCTTTGACTAAATTCAACGACACTTCATGCTAAAAACTCTCAATAAAGTAGGTATTGATGGGACGTATCTCAAAATAATAAGAGTTATCTATGACAAACCACAGCCAATATCATACTGAATGGGCAAAAGAAATTTTTTATTAGTCCTAGATCACATTTATTTTTTCCTATGTTTCTTGTAGAAGTATTAAAGGTTTACATTTTAAATAAATGTGTAGATGTAGGCCAATCGTTCATTTTGAGTTAGTTTTTTATGATGCAAGTTATATATGTATTTTTTTGTTTGCATATGGACATCTGATTATTCTAGCATCATGTGTTTAAAATAAACATTCTCCACAAAATTGTCAGAAATCATTTGTCTATACATGCACGTGTCTATTTCTGGATATGGTATTGTGTTCCCTTGACTTCTTTGTCTATGTTGGTGGACAATAGCATACTGTTTGATTACATCACCTTTATAATAAAAAACTTGAAATCAGGTAAAGTACATTCTCCAACTTTATTCTCCATTTTTAAAGTCAATTTGGCCAGTCAAGATTCTTGGCATGTCTATGTTCATTTCCAGTTCAGCTTGTCAGTGTTCCACCCCAAAAAGCTTGCTGTGAATTTGATTGCTATTTTGTGAAATGCCTTGGCACATTTGAGGTTAATGCACATATTAACAATAACAAGTGCTGTGTTCTGACTTTTAATACTGTATATTTCTTGGCAATGTGCTTGGGTTTACCATGCACAGGTCTTTAATATCTTTTGTAAGATTCACCCTGTAAATATTCTGTGTATTTCTTATTGTGTAAAAAGCTATCTAATTTTTATTTTAGTTTTGATTCCTATAGCTAGTGTAAAACAGTACAATTGATTTCTGTATATTGATTATATCTTGTGCAATCTTTTCTTACCAGATAGTATTAATTGATTGTTAATGAGTTATTAATCCATTATTCATTCATTTTAATGAATTATTAGTTCATTGTGAATTTTACCTTGTTGGGTGCTTGAAATGTTCACATTCCCATAACTGCCTTTGACATTCGTTCTGAGATAAATTTAAATTACTTGGGCACAATTTGATTCTGAGTTTTAAGGTCTTATTTAAATCTTAGCTTACATCTTACTTTCAAGATTTACTAGATTGGACTGAAACCATTCTCAGAAAAGGGCTAATTAATGATCCCTTCCTGAGGCACCATCATTCTGTGCACTTTACCTAATGCCCCATGTTTCATGCAATTCTCTAGTCAGGCTGTTTGGAACAGAAATTATTTTGGCCCTGACTGATCTTTGGGAAATGTTCATTTTCATCTTCTTAGGTGGTTTGTTGACTTACCTGGTGTGATTTTCTATAGATTTGTGCTAAAGTTGTTAGGTGGTTATATGCTTTGGCTACATCCTGACCCAAATTCCATCTTGAATTGTTGCTCCCATAATGTCCACATGTATCGCAAGGACAAAAAACCAAACACCGCATATTCTCACTCATAGGTGGGAATTGAACAATGAGAACACATGGACACAGGAAGGGGGACATCACACACCGGGATGTGTTGTGGGGTAGGGGGAGAGGGAAGGGATAGCATTAGGAGATATACCTAATGTTAAATGACAAGTTAATGGGTGCAGCACATCAACGTGCACATGTATACATATGGAACCAACCTGCACGTTGTGCACATGTAACCTAAAACTTAAGGTATTAAAAAAAAAATCTCCACATGTTATGGGAGGAACCCAGTGAGAGATAATTGAATCATGGGGTCAGGTCTTTCCCATGTTGTTCTCATGATAGTGACTAAGTCTCATGAGATCTGATGGTTTTATAAAGGAGAATATTTCTGCATGCATGCTTTTTGCCTGCCATTTAAGGTATGCCTTTGCTTCTCTTTTGCCTTCTGCCATGATTGTGAGGTCTCTCCAACTGTGTGGAACTGTGAGTCCATTAAACCTCTTTCTTTTATAAATACCCAGTCTTGGGTCTTTATTAGCAGTGTGAGAATGAAATAATACAGGTGATTATTTCCCCATCCTTGTGTAGGTTCCTCATACCTATGCAGTGATACACACTCAGAGGAAAACTTCAGCAGTTTTCTCCGCAGATCTCCATTCTCATCTGGGTGAAGCTACCTCTCTCCTTGTACTCTGCCCTGAGAGACCTAGCAGCCTTGTTTTCCCAAGACTCAAAGACTTTTGAGCTCAACCTGGCTTCTCCCTTTATAAGTCAGGCCTGGGAAACACTTTCAAGCCAATAAGCTGGGGCAATACTACATCTCATCTTGTTTCCCTCTTGCCAAGATCACTATTCTTAAGCACTATTTCTTGCTTTTCATTTTCTTAAAAGTTGTCAGTTTCTTACATTTTCTCCATTTTTGGCTGATTCCAGGACAGCAAAATAGGTCCCTTTTAGATAGTTGTGGCCAGAAACTGATGCTGTCATATGGTTTTTGTTTTTTGTTTGTTTGTTTGAGACGGAGTCTCACTCTGACACCAGGCTGGAGTGCACTGGCATGATATCTGCTCACTGCAACTTCTGCCTCCTGGGTTCAAGCGATTCTCCTGCCTCAGCTTCCTGAGTAGGTGTGACTACAAGCATGCACCACGATGCCCAGCTCTTTTTTGTATTTTTAGTAGAGATGGGTTTTCACTGTGTTGGCCTGGATGGTCTCTATCTGTTGACCTCATGATCCACCCGCCTCCCGCTCCCAAAGTGCTGTAATTACAAGTTTGAGACACCGTGCCCAGCCTCATTTTTTTCAAATTTTTTATTTTGACATATTTGTAGATTCATATACAGTTGTAAGAAATAATACAGAGAAATCCCATATACCCATCACCCAGTTTTCACTGATGGTAACATCTTGCAAAACTATGATACAAAATTACAACCAATATATTGACATTGATACAATTAAGATAGAGAACATTTCTGCTACACAAAGATACTTCATGTTGCACTTTGATAACCACCTTGTCTTCCCTCCCATCTACACCCCTTACTCATAGCAACCACTGGCCTGTTTTCTATTTCTACATTTTTTTGTCATTTTAAGAATCTTATATAAAAGGAAAGATACAATATATAACATAGAATTGACTTTTTTTTTTTTTTTTTTTTTTTTTTGAGACGGAATCTCGCTCTGTCGCCCAGGCTGGAGTGCAGTGGCACAATCTTGGCTCATTGCAAGCTCCGCCTCCCAGGTTCACACCATTCTCCTGCCTCGGCCTCCTGAGTAGCTGGAACTACAGGTGCCCGCCACCACGCCCGGCTAATTTTTTTTATTTTTTAGTACAGATGGGGTTTCACCGTGTTAGCCAGGATGGTCTTGATCTCCTGACCTCGTGATCCTCCCGAGAACTGACTTTTTACGTTCAGCATAACTATCAGGAGGTTCATTCAGGTTGTTTATGTATCAATTTTCATTATTTTTTATTAATGAGTAGTATTCCGTGACAGAGATGTACCACAGCTGGTTTAATCATTTACCCACTGAAAAACAATTGGGTTGTTTCCAGGTTGAGGCTATTACAAATAAAATCTCTATAAACATTTGCATACAGGATTTTCGTGAACGTAAGTCTGCATTTCTCTGGGATAAATGCCTAAAAGTGTTATTGCTGGATCATAAAGTAGTTGCACCATAGATTTTTTAAAAAACTGCTAGTCTATTTCCTAGAGTAGCTGTCCCATTTCACATTCTTTTTTTTTCATTTTTTTATTATTTATGTATTTATTTATTTTTATTATACTTTAAGTTCTAGGGTACATGTGCACAATGTGCAGGTTTGTTACATATATATACGTGTGCCATGTTGGTGTGCTGCACCCCTTAACTTGTCATTTATGTTAGGTATATCTCCTAATGCTATCCCTCCCCACTCCCCCCACCCCACAACAGACCCCGATGTGTGATGTTTCCCTTCCTATGTCCAAGTATTCTCATTGTTGAATTCATACCTATGATTGAGAACATGTGGTATTTGATGTTTTGTTCTTCTGATACTTTGCTGAGAATGACCAGCTTCACCGATGTCCCCACAAAGGACATGAACTCATCCTTTTTTATGGCTGCATAGTATTCCATGGTGTATTTGTGCCACATTTTCTTAATCCAGTCTATCATTGATGGATATTTGGGTTGGTTCCAAGTCTTTGCTATTGTGAATAATGCCTCAATAAACATACATGTGCATGTCTTTACAGCATGATTTATAATCCTTTGGCTATATACCCAGTAAGGGAATGGATCTAGTTCTACATCCTTGAGGAATCACCACACTGTCTTCCACAAAGGTTGAATTTATTTACAGTCTCACCAACAGTGTAAAAGTGTTCCTATTTCTCCACATCCTCTCCAGCACCTGTTGTTGCTTGACATTTTAATGATCACCATTCTAACTGGTGTGAGATGGTATCTCATTGTGGTTTTGATTTGCATTTATCTGATGGCCAGTGATGATGAGCATTTTTTCATGTGTCTGTTGGCTGCATAAATGTTTTCTTTTGAGAAGTGTCTGTTCATATCCTTTACCCACTATTTGAAGGGGTTGTTTTTTTCTTGTAAATTTGTATGAGTTCATTATAGATTCTGGATATTAGCCCTTTGTTGGATGAGTAGATTGCAAAAATTTTCTCCCATTGTGTAGGTTGCCTGTTCACTCTGATGGTAGTTTCTTTTGCTGTGCAGAAGCTCTTTAGTTTAATTAGATCCCATTTGTCAATTTTGGCTTTTGTTGTCATTGGTTTTGGTGTTTTAGACATGAAGTCCTTGCCCATGCATATGTCCTGAATGGTAATGCCTAGGTTTTCTTCTAGGGTTTTTATGGTTTTAGGTCTAACATTTAAGTCTTTAATCCACCTTGAATTAATTTTTGTATAAGGTGTAAGGAAGGGAACCAGTTTCAGCTTTCTACATATGGTTAGCCAGTTTTCCCAGCACCATTTTTTAAATAGGGAATCCTTTCCCCATTTCTTGTTTTTGTCAGGTTTGTCAAAGATCAGATGGTTGTAGATGTGTGGTATTATTTCTGAGGGTTCTGTTATGTTCTCTTGGTCTATACCTCTGTTTTGTACCAGTACCATGCTGTTTTGGTTACTGTAGGCTTGTAGTATAGTTTGAAGTCAGGTTGCCTGATGCCTCTAGCTTTGTTCTTTTGGCTTAGGATTGTCTTGGCAATGTGGGCTTTTTTTGGTTCCATGTGAACTTTAAAGTAGTTTTTTCCAGTTCTGTGAAGAAAGTCATTGTTAACCTGATGGGGATGGCATTGAATCTATAAATTACCTTGGGTAATATGGCCATTTTCATGATATTGATTATTCTTATCCATAAGCATGGAATGTTCTTCCATTTGTTTGCATTCTCTTTTATTTCATTGAGCAGTGGTTTGTAGTTCTCCTTGAAGAGGTCCTTCACATCCTTTGTAAGTTGGATTCCTAGGTATTTTATTCTCTTTGAAGCAATTGTGAATGTGAGTTCATTCATGATTTGGCTCTCTGTCTGTTATTGGTGTAAAAGAATGCTTGTGATTTTTGCACATTGATTTTTTATCCTGACACTTTGCTGAAGTTGCTTATCAGGTGAAGGATATTTTGGGCTGAGACGCTGGGGTTTTCTAAATATACAATCATGTCATCTGCAAACAGGGACAATTTGACTTCCTCTTTTCCTAATTGAATACCCTTGATTTCCTTCTCCTGCCTGATTCCCCTGGCCAGAATGTCCAACACTATGTTGAAAAGGAGTGGTGAGAGAGGGCATCCCTCTCTTGTGCCAGTTTTCAAAGAGAATGCTTCCAGTTTTTGCCCATTCAGTATGATATTGGTTGTGGGTTTGTCATAAATAGCTCTTATTATTTTGAGACACATCCCGTCGATACATAATTTATTGAGAGTTTTTAGCAGGATGGGCTGTTGAATTTACTTAAAGGCCTTTTCTGCATCTATTGAGATAATCATGTGGTTTTTGTCTTTGGTTGTGTTTATATGCTGGATTATGTTTATTGATTTGCATATGTTGAACCAGCCTTGCATCCCAGGGATGAAGCCCACTTGATCATGGTGGATAAGCTTTTTGATGTGCTGCTGGATTCTGTTTGCCAGTATTTTATTGAGGATTTTTGCATCTATATTCATCAGGGATATTAGTCTAAAATTCTTTTTTTTGTTGTTGTGTTTCTGCCGAGCTTTGGTATCAGGATGATGCTGGCCTCTTCAAAGGAGTTAGGGAGGATTCTCTCTTTTTCTGTTGATTGGAATAGTTTCAGAAGGAATGGTACCAGCTCCTCCTTGCACCTCTGGTAGAATTCGGCTGTGAATCCATCTAGTCCTGGACTTTTTTTGTTGGTAGGCTACTCATTATTGCCTCAATATCAGAGCCTGTTATTGGTCTATTCAGGGATTCAACTTCTTCCTGGTTTAGTCGTGGGAAAGTGTATGTGTCCAGTAATTTATCCATTTCTTCTAGATTTTCTAGCTTATCTGTGTAGAGGTGTTTGTAGTATTCTCTGATGGTAGTTTGTATTTCTGTGGGATCGGTGGTGATATCCCCTTTATCATTTTTTAATGCATCTATTTGATTCTTCTCTCTTTTCTTCTTTATTAATCTTGCTATTGGTCTATCAATTCTGTTGATCTTTTCAAAAAACCAGCTCCTGCATACATTGATTTTTTGAAGAGTTTTTTGTATCTCCATCAGTTCTGCTCTGATTTTAGTTATTTCTTGCCTTCTGCTAGCTTTTGAATGTGTTTGCTCTTGCTTTCCTAGTTCTTTTAATTGTGATGTTAGGGTGTCAATTTTGGATATTTCCTGCTTTCTCCTGTGGGCATTTAGTGCTGTAAATTTCCCTCTACACAATGCTTTGAATGTGTCCCAGAGATTCTGGTATGTTGTGTCTTTGTTCTCATTGGTTTCAAAGAACACCTTTATTTCTGCCTTCATTTCATTAGGAACTCAGTAGTCATTCAGGAGGAGGTTGTTCAGTTTCCACGTAGTTGAGCAGTTTTGAGTGAGTTTCTTAATCCTGAGTTCTAGTTTGATTGCACTGTGGTCTAAAAGACAATTTGTTATAATTTCTGTCCTTTTACATTTGCTGAGGAGAGCTTTACTTCCAACTATGTGGTCAGTTTTGGAATAGGTGTGTTGTGGTGCTGAAAAGAATGTATATTCTGTTGATTTGGAGTGGAGAGTTCTGTAGATGTCTATTAGGTCTGCTTGGTGCAGAGCTGAGTTCAATTCCTGGATATACTTGTTAACTTTCTGTCTCGTTGATCTGTCTGATGTTGACAGTGGGGTGTTAAAGTCTCCCATTATTATTGTGTGGGAGTCTAAGTCTCTTCGTAGGTCACTCAGTACCTGCTTTATGAATCTGGGTGCTCCTGTATTGGGTGCATATATATTTAGGATAGTTAGCTCTTCTTGTTGAATTGATCCCTTTACCATTATGTAATGGCCTTCTTTGTCTCTTTTGATCTTCGTTGGTTTAAAGTTTGTTTTATCAGAGACTAGGATTGCAACCCCTGCCTTTTTTTGCTTTCTATTTGCTTGGTAGATCTTCCTCCATCCTTTTATTTTGAGCCTATGTGTGTCTCTGCATGTTAGATGGGTTTCCTGAATACAACACACTGATGGGTCTTGACTTTTTATCCAATTTGCCAGGCTGTGTCTTTTAATTGGAGCATTTAGTCCATTTACATTTAAGGTTAATATTGTTATGTGTGAATTTGATCCTGTCATTATGATGTTAGCTGGTTATTTTGCTCGTTAGTTGATGCAGTTTCTTCCTAGCCTCGATGGTCTTTAAATTTTGGCATGATTTTGCAGTGGCTGCTACCGGTTGTTCCTTTCCATGTTTAGTGCTTCCTTCAGGAGCTCTTTTAAGGCAGTCCTGATGGTGACTGGTGACAAAATCTCTCAGCATTTGCTTTCTGTAAATTATTTTATTTCTCCTTCACTTATGAAGCTTAGTTTGGCTGGATATGAAATTCTGGTTGGAAATTCTTTTCTTTAAGAATGTTGAATATTGGCCCCCACTCTCTTCTGGCTTGAAGAGTTTCTGCCAAGAGATCCACTGTTAGTCTGATGGGCTTCCCTTTGTGGTTAACCTGACCTTTCTCTCTGGCTACCCTTAACATTTTTTCCTTCATTTCAACTTTGGTGAATCTGACAATTATGTGTCTTGGAGTTGCTCTTCTCGAGGAGTATCTTTGTGGCATTCTCTGTATTTCCTGAATCTGAATGTTGGCCTGCCTTGCTAGATTGGGGAAGTTCTCCTGCATAATATCCTGCAGAGTGTTTCCCAACTTGGTTCCATTCTGCCCGTCACTTTCAGGTACACCAATCAGATGTAGATTTGGTCTTTTCACATAGTCCCATATTTTTTGGAGGCTTTGTTCGTTTCTTTTTTTTCTTTTTTCCCTAAACTTCCCTTCTTGCTTCATTTCATTCATTTGATCTTCCATCACTGATACCCTTTCTTCCAGTTGTTCGCATCGGCTCCTGAGGCTTCTGCATTCTTCCTGTAGTTCTCGAGCCTTGGCTTTCAGCTCCATCAGCTCCTTTAAGCACTTCTCTGTATTGGTTATTCTAGTTATACATTCTTCTAAATTTTTTTCAAAGTTTTCAACTTCTTTACCTTTCGTTTGAATTTCCTCCTGTAGCTTGGAGTAGTTTGATTGTCTGAAGCCTTCTCTCAACTCGTCAAAGTCATTCTCTGTCCAGCTTTGTTCCACTGCTGGTGAGGAACTGCGTTCCTTTGGAGGAGGAGAGGCTCTCTGCTTTTTAGAGTTTCCAGTTTTCCTGCTCTGTTTTTTTCCCCATCTTTGTGGTTTTATCTACATTTGGTCTTTGATGATGGTGATGTACAGATGGGTTTTTGGTTTGGATGTCCTTTCTGTTTGTTAGTTTTCCTTCTGACAGGACCCTCAGCTGCAGGTCTGTTGGAATTTGTTAGAGGTCCACTGCAGACCCTGTTTGCCTCAGAGGAGTACCCTGCTGTGTGAGGTGTCAGTCTGCCCCTACTGGGGGGTGCCTCCCAGTTAGGCTGCTCGGGGGTCAGGGATCAGGGACCCACTTGAGGAGGCAGTCTGCCCTTTCTCAGATCTCCAGCTGCGTTTTGGGAGAACCACTGCTTTCTTCAAAGCTGTCAGCCAGGCAAATTTAATTCTGCGGAGGTTACTGCTGTCTTTTTGTTTGTCTGTGCCCTGCCCGCAGAGGTGGAGCCTACAGAGGCAGGCAGGCCTCCTTGTGCTGTGGTGGGCTCCACCCAGTTGGAGCTTCGGGGCTGCTTTGTTTAACTAAGCAAGCCTGGGCAATGGCGGGCGCCCTTCCCCCAGCCTCGCTGCCACCTTGCAGTTTGATCTCAGACTGCTGTGCAAGGAATCAGGGAGACTCCATGGGTGCAAGACCCTCCGAACCAGTTGCAGGATATAATTTCCTGCTGCGCCGTTTTTTAAGCCCGTCAGATAAGCGAAGTATTAGGGTGGGAGTGACCCAATTTTCCAGGTGCCCTCTGTCACTCCTTTCTTTGACTAGGAAAGGGAACTCCCTGACCACTTGTGCTTCCCGAGTGAGGCAATGTCTCACCCTGCTTCAGCTCGCACAGGGTGCACTGCATCCACTGTCCTGCGCCCACTGTCTGGCACTCCCTAGTGAGATGAACCCTGTACCTCAGATGGAAATGCAGAAATCACCCGTCTTCTGTATCGCTCACGCTGGGAGCTGTAGACCAGAGCTGTTCCTATTCGGCCATCTTGGCTGCCAGTAGCAAAATATATTTATTTAAAATATTGTTTTAACCTAAGCCATGCGGAATCACTCTGGATTTCTCATTGATGAGCAATTTTTTACACATATTGCCAGTTATATTAGAGTTCAGCATTATGGCAATTATGTCTAGATAAAAATTCACAAACCTTTATGTCCCAGAGTTACTAATTCTTCATACTAAAGCAAGTTATAGGTGTATTTTCTAGCTTAACAACAAAGCTACAGTTGCAAAAATAACAAGAACAACAAAAATATTAAGGCAGAATGAGGACTTGGGAAAAAATTCTCTGAATTGGATACAAATCAAAGCCACAAGAAATGCAATAAATAGAAGCAAACAAAAACAAGAACTAAATGTATAATCTTAGCTTAAAGAACATCTTTGCTTGGGAAACACATGTATGCATGACAATGAAGTAGGCATACTCTGAACATTTTCAATAAGATGTTAATGCCTTCTTTTTCCAAATGAATGAATCAATTTCATATTTCTTGTCTTTCAACTGATTCAGTATAGGTATTGTAGGAGCTTTCTATTTCCACACCTGGTATATTTTTTCACAACAAATTTATCTTTGTCTATAATATTTATAAACATTTTTATCATCCTCATAAATTTATCTCTATTATCTTTATAAATTCATCTTCATAAAGCATTCCACACCACTGACACAGAAAAAGGGGAAATAAGACAGAGATTTTATTACAAAGAAAGGAGCTAGAAAGGCTGGAAAACTCCAACATCCAGAAACAATGTGGCAATGAGGAAAATGGTAAGGAAACAGACATATTTGCAAGGATGCTTTAAAAATGGGAGGCTGTGATATCACAGTTATGTTGACAATTACTCCAGAATAATCATATTCCCATTGGCCATGTTGTGCCTTTTAATTTCAGTGGACAGAAAGCATACATTTTAATTTTTAACATTTTTATAGATTTAAAGGGTAGAAGTGCAGTTTTGTTGCATGGATATATTGTGTAGTGGTGAAGTCTGGGCTTTTAGCATAACCATCACCCAAATAGTGTACATTGTGTTCACTAAGTAATTTCTTATCCCATACCCTTTTCTCATCCTCCCACCCTTTGAAGGCCCCAGTGTCCATTACTTCGTTCTTTCTGTCCATCATTTTGCTCCCATTAGTAAGTTAGGACATAGTACTTGACTTTTTGTTTCTGAATTGTTTCACTTAAGATAATGGCCTCCAATTCCATGTGTGTTTTTGTAAAAGAGAAGATTACCTTCTTTTTAAGGCTGTATAGTACTCCACTGTGTATATGTACAATATTTTCTTTATCCAAGCATCACTTGATGAACACTTAGGTTGATCATCTTCGCTGCTGTGAAGAGTGAGAAGGTACACTTTTGAATAATTTGTTCTGGAGGTAAATATATGGATGAAAAGAACATGAGTGACTTGGTAGTAGTATTACATCATGAGGAATTTCCTTGGAGATTATTGGATATTCTAAAACATGCAATGGCTATGCAGTCTTTTGAATCATTCTGACCTCAGGAATTTTAACACAAAAATACATGTCCTTTTATTATTGTGGGGTCTTTAGAAGTTATTAGAAAATAGATCTTGTTCAACTGTTTCCACAGTATGTTGTAAAACTGTCTGTAAATTGAGTTTCTTGCTTTGTGACATTCTTTAATTTTACATCTAGCAAAGTATGCTTTGGCAAATAGAGAAAACATAAAGTCCTCATTAACAATCACTTTTTTAAATGAGGGTTAACCATTGACAATATTATTAATATCTAAATGTAAAATATTCATTTTAGAAGACTGCCCATATAATTGTGAGCTTTCTTTCTCTCCAATGTATATGTGTGTGTTTCCTGACTTTAGATAAATGGGTTTTCTATGAGAAACAGAGGTGATTACTTCTCAAATCTTACCTAATCTGAACAGTGTTCTGCAGAATGAGAAACACCAAATTATTGCTTTAAACAACCAACTCTTCCCTCAGTGTGTTCATTTTATTTATTTACACATTGCATATTTGTTTCAAGTGAAAATGAAAGTGGACTATATCAGAAAGCACACAAGGGGAATGCTTCTCTACCCTGTGCATTAAAAATCATTCCTGACTGGGTATGGTGGCTTACACCTGTAATCCCAGCACTTTGGGAGGCTGAAGTGGGTGGATCAGGAGTTTGAGGCCTGCCTGGGCATCATGGCAAAACCCCGTATCTACTAAAAATATAAAAGTTAGCTAGGCATGGCAGTAGGCATCTGTAATTCCAGCTACTTGGGAGAATGAGGCACTAGAATTGCTTGAACCCAGGAGGTAGAGGTTACAGTGAGCTGAGATTGCACCACTATGCTCCATCCTGGGCAACAGAGTGAGATTCTGTCAAAATAATAAAATGAAATAAATAAAATAAAATAAAATAAAATAAAATAGTATTTCCCATGCTTTCCACGTAGACAAATCCATTAGTTTAGTTTCATTTAAGTGTGCTGAAGAGAAGGTGATACTCATTCATCTTGAATCTGATACTGAGAACAAAATGAGTTCAGGGATTAAATTAGAGTAGGCCTTTTTAGTCATTGTAAATCATCTCCATGCAGGGTGGTGGCTAGGACCTGTTGCATCTCTTATTATTTTTTTCTCTTTAGGAAAATTTAAGTTAGTATTTTCCTCAGTTCATACTCATCCTAGTAAGCCACCTGCTCTCAATTGAGACAAACGAAATGAAAAACCTTCAGAAGTCAATTAATGAATAATGTTATTTCCTTTCAATATAGGTTACTAAATCTTAGAAGTTTAGGTTTGATAAAACCTGACCCATGCAAAATGCTGCTTCCCTTAGGAAGTTATGTATTATTAGAGTGTTATATAGTTTCCATGGCTTATCCATAAGTCAGGAAAACAGTAAAGTCCAGAGAATCTTAAATTGGAGGTGTAAATGGTACACTATTATGAAATACTTTTGAGCTATATATTATTTCTAACTACTACTCTTCTTCTTTATATCTTTGAAATGTTAAGCTTAAGATACATATCCATCCTAAATCTGTAAATTAAATATAGGCCATGAGATGGATGAAAATTTTGGCATGTTACCAAAATGAGTCTAATATTTTTGAGATTAAAAAATCTGTAAGAATAATTAAGAAAAAATGTAAGAGAAAGAAGTATATGGAAGAAATCCTGTTCTCTCACATACCAATGTGTACTCCTTTGCTACCATCATAGAGACAATGGGTACTTGAAAGACAGCAAAATATAGCTTTACAGAACAATATTCAAAAGCTAGAAGCAGGTCATCAGTATAAGGCATTGATCACACATGAGAAGATAATCTGAAGTCAGTGAAATAATTCCATAAATGTTGTTTGGATATTTGTTAAACTACGTAGTAGGTGTGGTGAAGAAAGATTCCCTACTCTCACAAAGAAGATCTAAAACTCCTTACAAAATTTAAAACAACAACAAATTATTAGATGAAAAGAGATGATATTTTCAATGAGTTGGAAGTGGAATATACTTCCAAAGCTTTACACAATATCCAGAAAATTATGGTACCCTGATATGAGATATCAGAACGATGATGTTGGGGACTATATTCATTGACCACATGGAAGTCTCGAAGTTATAAATAAACAAAAATATGAAAATGTTTTCTTATTTCCTTTACTATTGAACACATACAAGGGGCAATGGATTAGTTTCACTATTTCTTAAAAATCTTAATATTAAAGATTTTTATTATAATATTTTATCTTAGTATTGAAGAAAAATTAATATTAAGACAATAAGGCCAATAAAATAATTTTAAAATGTGAAATAAAGTATTCATATGAAAATAGAAATGGCCAAAGAATATATGATAAATGATTAATTACACTAGCAATCAAATAAAACATAAACATAGACATGAAAACATTTTTTAATTTATCATATTGGTAAAATAAAATGTTTAAAATATAAAACCTTGCAGCTAAGCTGGGAAAAGGGCATGCATACTTTGGTTTTAAGATGACTAAATTCATCCAGGCATGGTGGCTCACGCCTGTAATCCCAGCACTTTGGGAAGCCAAGGCAGGCAGATCACAAGGTCAGGAGTTTGAGACCAGCCTGTCCAATATGGTGAAACCCTGTCTCTTCTAAAAAATATAAAAATTAGTTGGGTATGTTGGTGCGCTCCTGTAGTCCCAACTACTTGGGAGGCAGGGACAGGAGAATCGCTTGAACCCAGGAGGCAGAGGTTGCAGTGAGCCAAGATCACGCCACTGCATTCCGGCCTGGGCGACAGAGCAAGACTCTGTCTCAAAAAAAAAAAGACTAAATTTATTTTGTAAGTTGATTAGAACTACCTACAACACATATTATTTTAATATGTTTTATACACATATATTTACAGTATCTTTCAATTATTCATATTATTTGTTATATTTGTTGCTTCTTTCCGCATATACTATACTGGATCCTAGAAATGTGTTTCTAGGTTGTCAAATACATGAAACTTTTTTGTTGATGACCCTTGAATTTTATGTCATGCTTAATTTTTTTCTTTCCCTTTTTTTTTTTTTTTTTTTTTGAGACACAGTCTAGCTCTGTCGCCCAGGCTGGAGTGCAGTGGCGCAATCTGGGCTGACTGCAAGCTCCGCCTCGCGGGTTCACGCCATTCTCCTGCCTCAGCCTCCCGAGTAGCTGGAACTACAGGTGCCCGCCACCAAGCCCGGCTAATTCTTTTTTGTATTTTTAGTAGAGACGGAATTTCACCACCGTGTTAGCCAGGATGGTCTCAATCTTCTGACCTCGTGATCTGCCGGCCTCAGCCTCCCAAAGTGCTGGGATTACAGGCGTGAGCCACCGCACCCGGCCTTTTTTTTTTTCTTCTTATAGAGAGGGTTATCACTGTGTTGCTCAGGCAGGTCTCAAACTCCTAGTCTCAAGCAATCCTCCTGCCTGGGCCTCCGTAAGTGTTGAAATTACAGGTACAAGTCACAGTGCCCAGCCAAGCTGAAAAAAAATACTTTTAACATGGACAATCCACTGCTAAAAATGGGAGACATAGAAATACAAGGCCACTGCATCATTTCTATAGTATATAGATACAGTCCTGTGCGTTAAATGGAATCATCATTATTTAGGTAAAAATTAGGAACCTCATTTATCTTAGAATAAATGATCAACTTTCAGCAATGGATGAAAATTTTAATTTCTCCTAGAAAGGGGAGAGTTACAGCTTAAAACATTTATATTTTATACCCTAAGACTAGTGTCTTAAGCCATAAGAGTGGTTACAACATAAACCATTTGTGTTTGGATTTTGCCAAGGATTTTGAATTTACTCAACATTGCTATGTGTTGTTTATCACAATTTCAGTATTAGGGGCCATGTGTGGTGGCTCATACCTAGTATGCCAGCACTTTAGGAGGCTGAGGTGGCTGACCCACTTGAGTCTAGGAGTTTTAGATCAGCATAAATAACAAAGTGAGACCTTATCTCTACCAAAAAAGAAAAAAAAAAAGCCCGTCATTGTGACACGTGTCTTTGGTCCCAAATACTAGGAGACTGAAGTGGGTAGATTTCCTGAGCCCAGGAAGTCCAGGCTGCAGTGAGCTGTGATCACACCAGCTAGATAATACACTCCAGCCTAGATGACAGAATGAGAGTCTCCCTCAAATTTCAAAAAAGACAAAATAACAACACCGAAAAAAAGAAAAAAAACTCTTGGCATTAGTCCTGAAACTGAACAATATATTTAATTCTCAAAATGATTGAGTGTCAATCAGGTATGTGCACCTATATTTCCTCAGAAGCACAATTCTATGTTTTCAGCTGTGTGTGTGTGTTTGCATATTTAGATGCTTGCTGGAGTCAGACTATTCTAAACCATACACTTATCTATAGAGGAGTACACTGCAAATGAGTTTGGTTTCTGAGTCATCTCACTCATTAGTCATGTTTTGTCATTGTAACATCAGATTATTTGTGGCATCTTATGAGAAATAGCCTTCAAGGAGACAGTTCATGATAGCTTGCTGTTTAAAGTGTTCTTATTTAAATTCCCAAGGATTTCATGAGAACTGAACATAGTGTTTTTCCACTCAATATCAGGAATATTCATGCTTATTTTGTGGCAAGCATTGTTTTTTATCTTAAAATGTTTGTGGAAACATATGAATGAAAGACATGTAACCCCAGTTTAGCAACACCTATAACATAACATCATGCTTTGCTTAAGACTTTCGATCAGACATCCTGTCTTCCCTAACCCTTTGACTTTTTGTTCTATTCCACTTTCCTAAGATATATATTCCTTTATCAAAGAATTTATAGTGCACTATTTTTTCTTGTCTATATTTATGAATGCACAATAAAACAACTTCTTGAAGAAGGGTGTGCACATGGGTGTGTGTGTGTGCTTGGCTTTTATTTGTCCTTTAAGTGCAGAACAATGGTTTCATTTGACTGTAAAGCTGTATCTCCTTCTTTCTTGGCATGTAAAGATGGCAGGTGGAGCATTCTTTGCCTGCTACCCTCTCCCAGCCACTCTCATGTTAGTGAAAGAATGGTTTGGGCTATGCCTTCACCATATAATTGAACCCCCATATCTATGATTGCAAACAACAATGGCAGACACTTGGCAAAGAAAACTTGTATTGTACTGTTCTTCACCCTTGTGTTCTCCTGGAGATGGTAATTAATGTTTCCTGATTTTTTTAGGAAGCTCTATTATATTTGAGTCATCTAGAAAGACTCTATCTTTAGAAGTCCCTAGCTAAAGTAGAGATTCAGTTGAAATTATTCTGCATTGGGAGGCAAGAAACTCTTGAGACATATACACCCAACCATTGTCCAGATAGAAGAGAGGATACGGGATGTGTTCAGATAGCCATTGGTCCCAACTGTCCTGTTAACTATCTATCTCTGAAGTATGGAAGATAGAGGAAACAGCAGTTTTTAACAATAACAAGGATATTTTGAAACCATTACACCATTCTGAGAAGCAGAGCCTGGGGAAAGTGTCCTTCCCTTTTTCCTTGGAGGATATCTAACTATTTCTGTCATTTCAGCTGTGGGATAGGCATAAGCATGAATCTGTCGTAGATTCCCAGGCCTGTGTGGTGGCCTTTGTAAGAGACACAGTGCTCTATACATTACCATTTCTGAGATTACTGTGCACTTGGGAGTGAATGACAGAATCCCAGAAATTTCAATTTATTTTCTTTGTGATTAAAAACATCTGCAAATGTGCATCAAATTCTTTAAATTGCCATGGGAAAAAATATCACAGGAAATAATTCTCTAATATTATAAAAAGAGATTAAGTGTTAAATATATAATCCTGCACTAAGAAACAATACTGGATGAAGTAAAATGTCAAATAGTCAGAAAATGATGAAGTTTTAAGTTTAAGCAAATAGTTGGTGAATGGGATTTAATAAAACATATCTGTTGTTTCAATAATTCTCTGCTTTTGGAGGTGGTCCACACATTCACTCTCCACCATAGATCTGTATGAACTTATCATCTGTGACATTTACAAAGTCTCATTTCTGTATTTTGATAAATATCTACTCAAATTGTTATAAGAAAAGTTATATTTACAGATAACTATCAACAGTGTTGCCTTCCAAACATTGAATTATTATTCCAGGGAAACATTGGCTTTTGAAAATAGAATTTCATAAAATAGACACGTTTCCCCGTCAATATGTAATCTGTGAAACTTATTTTTGTGGCATGTTTAGAATGTATCAAATTATTTCATGAGAAACTGCCAGACTCAGTCATCAAAATCTGTCTTACATATTGAGTGCTCTGCTAGGAATTATTCAGCTCATATTTATTCCATACTCAAGAGTTTAGATTTGAAAGAGACAATGTAAAATTGTTCCATTATTTTTTAGTGATTCTATCTCTTCTGGTTTATCTAGAAATTATGCCTGCTTTAAATAAACAAGTTTCTTCCTGTTGAAATCCAACCTATGCATTCGTGAGAGTTTTGATAGGTGAGATTCCTGAGTGGATATTTTTGGATTTAAATGCAATATAGAATTTTCTTAAATTAGAAAGTAAAGAAAATTATTCCACAGCAAAGGTATTTTTCTCATAATTGAAAATGACAACATGGTACAGAAGTTAGATATGTGCCAACTTTGAATATAGAGTGCTCATTTTCAACCTTGGACTAATTCAGCAAAGTGCAAGCGGCCCAAACCTGAGACAATTTATTTAGCTCCATCAACCACAATTCCATCAAATCCAATTGTCATTGTGAAGATCTATTAGATAATATACATAAGTACAACATTGACATATAATAAATGACTGGCATGTCTTTATACATTTCACAAGGTAACATGATTTCATATGCTTGTAGTTTCATTAATGGTGTCTTATCAATGTTAGCTTTTCGGTATTGCTTGAAATGCCATGAACAAGACCAAGAGGGGGAAGAGTCAGCAATGGCCACTTCAAGACAGAGCTGAAGGCAGAGATAATGGTTTCTTGTTTGCCAGGGATAGAGGATGCTTCATGATAACTATAAGTTAATTATCCCAGTGTTTCAGATATGTGCAATTGTGAGCTTGAGAAATTTTATGGTGAAAATTTAGGATGAAAAGCCTAATCTGTGTGCTACCCTCTCCTAATAGTAAAAGGTTAACTGAGTCTTGATACATAGAAGGCGTTTCTTAGCTTTATTATTTTTGTTGCCAGATGCTGTGTACATACACACAAAGAACACCTAAAAGTGCTGAAAAAAATCTGCATGCCATGCAGTGGTCATTCAAACCATTCACATCACATCACATTCTGCTTTAATCAACTGCAATGCTTTTATGGGGTCTCTCATATTTAGCTTCCAAATGAATCAGTGTATTAATACCAACACACAAAATGTCCATGTCTTTGTCCTCTTAATCCATCCCTATATTACAAAGATTACATAAATAAAAAATATATTATAGAAGACATAGGCTTTGGGCATAGAATATAGAGTATTATTGGCCCAGTTTTTTCAGATTTGGAAGAGTACATCTCTTTGAGACAACTTCCATTTACAGAGCTGCAGCTCTTTCCACAGAAGTGAACATTAAGATCTAGGTAGTGACTTTTCCAGAAAAGAATGTTGAGGACCTTATTCTATTTTCTAAAGGCTTCATCAAAAGAGAGATTTATGCTACTGTTAGCCCCTCTGCAAGCACTAAAAACAGAGAAAAGTAAATTGCCTTATGAAACAGTTAATCCAGAACATAGGATACTATCTTTAGTACTTCAGAACAAATGACACACCATACATAACCTGGTGATTAACCTTCAGAAAAGAAAGATGTGACCTTAATTCCAATATAGTTGCCATCTTTTATGTTTATATTTATTTATGTATTTTTCATTTATTATACTTTAAGTTCTGGGATACATGTGCAGAACATGCAGTTTTGTTACATAGGTATACAGGTGCCATGGTGATTTGTTTCAGGCATCAACCTGTCATCTACATTAGGTATTTCTCATAATGTTATCCCTCTCCTTGCCCCCACCTCCCTGACAGGCCGGGCGTGTGATGTTCGCCTCCCTATGTCCATGTGTTCTCATTGTTCACCTCCCACTTAAGAGTGAGAACAAGAGTGTTTGGTTTTCTTTTCCTGTGTCAGTTGCTGAGAATGATGGTTTCCATGTCCATCCATGTCCTGCAAGCTACATGCACTCAGTCATTATTATGGCTGCATAGTATTCCATGGTGAATATGTGCCACATTTTCTTTATCCAGTGTATCATTGATGGTCATTTGTGTTGTCTCCAAGTCTTTGCTATTGTAAATAGTTCTGAAATAAACATACATGTGCACGTGTCTTTATACTAGAATGAGTTATAATCCTTTGAGAATATACCTAGTAATGTCAAATGCTAGGTCAAATGGTATCTCTGACTCTAGATCCTTGAGGAATCCCCACACTGTCTTCCACAGTGGTTGAACTAATTTATACTCCCACCAACAGTGTAAAAGTGTTTCCATTTCTGTACATCCTCTCCAGCATTTATTTCCTGATTTTTTAATAATCAACATTCTAACTGGCATTAGATGGTATCTCATTGTGGTTTTGATTTGCATTTCTCTAATGACCAGTGATGATGAACTTTTTTTCATGTTTGTTGGCTGTATAAATGTCTTCTTTTTAGAACTGTCTGTTCATATCTTTCACCCAATTTTTGATGAGATTTTTTTTTCTTGTAAATTTGTTCAAGTTCCCTGTAGGTTCTGGATATTTGCCTTTTGTCAGATAGATAGATTCCAAAGATTTTCTCCCATTCTTTAGGTTGCCTAATCACTCTGATGATAGTTTCTTTTGCTATGCAGATGCTATTTAGTTTAACTAGATCTCATTTGTCAATTTTGGCTTTTGTTGACATTGCTTTTGGTGTTTTAGTCATGAAGTCTTTGACCATGCCTATGTCCCCAGTGGTATTGCCTAGGTTTTCTTCTGGGGTTTTTACCGTTTTAGGTATTATGTTTAAGTCTTTAATCCATCTTAGTTAATTTTTGTATAAGGTGTAAGAAAGGGGTCCTGTTTCAGTTTTCTGCATATGGATAGCCCATTTTTCCAACATTAATTATTAAATAGGGAATCCTTTCCCCACTGCTTGTTTTTCTCAGGTTTGTGAAAGATCAGATGGTTGTAGATGTGTAGTGTTATTTCTGAGGCTTCTATTCTGTTCCATTGATCTATATTTCTATTTTAGTACCAGTACCATGCTGTCTTGGTTACCACAGCCTTGGAGTATAGTTTTAAGTTAGGTAGCATGATGCCTCCAGCTTTGTTCTTTTTGCTTACGATTGTCTTGGCTATATGGGCTCTTTTTGGGCTCCATATCAAATTCAAAGTATTTTTTTTTAATTTTGTAAAGAAAGTCAATGGTAGCTTAATGAGGATAGCATTCAATCTAGAAATTACTTTGGGCAGTATGGTCGTATTAACAATATTGATTGTTCCTATCCTTGAGCATGGAATTTTTTTTTTCATTTGTTTCTGTCCTCTCTTATTTCCTTGAACAGTGGTTTGTAGTTCTCCTTGAAGAGGTCCTTCACATCCCTTGCAGGTTGTACTCCTAAGTATTTTATTCTCTTTGTAGCAATTGTGAATAGGACTTCATGCATGATACAGCTCTCTGTTTGTCTATTATTGGTGTATAAAAATGCTTGTGATTTTTGCACACTGATTTTATATCCTGAGACTTTGATGAAGTTGTTTATGAGCTTAAGGAAATATTGGGCTGATATGATTGGGTTTCTAAATATAGAGTTATGTTGTCTTCAACAGAGACAATATGACTTCCTCTTTTCCTGTTTGAACACCCTTTATTTCTTTCTCTTGCCTGATTGCCCTGGCCAGAACTTCCAATACTATTTTGAATAGGAGAGGTGAGAAAGAGCATCCTTGTCTTGTGCTGGTTTTCAAAGGGAATGATTCCAGCTTTTGCCCATTCAATATGATATTGGCTATGGGTTTGCCATAAATAGCTCTTATTATTTGAGGTATGTTCCAATAATGCCTAGTTTATTGAGTATTTTTAACATAAATGGTGTTGAATTTTATTGAAGGCATTTTCTGTGCCTATTCAGACAATCATGTGGTTTTTGTCATTGGTTCTGTTTATGTGATGGATTATGTCTATTTATTTGCATATGTTGAACCAGCCTTATATCCCAGGGATGAAGCCAACTTGAACGTGGCGGAAAAGTTTTTTGATGTGCTGCTGGATTCAGTTTTCCAGTATTTTATTGAGGATTTTCACACTGATGTTCATCAGGGATATTGGCCTGAAATTTTATTTTTCTGGTATCAGGGTGATGCTGGCCTCATAAAATGATAAAGGGAGGATTCTGTCTTTTTCCATTTTTTTCAGAATAGTTTCAGAAGGAATGGTAGCACTTTTATTTGTACCTCTGGTAGAATTTGGCTGTGAATCCACCTATTCCTCGGGTTTTTTTTGGTCGGTGCCATCACTTTTTTACATGTATTCATGCATTCAAGCTACTACAACTCTGCAACATGCACATCTAGCTGCCCAATAATTCTTACCTGAAACCATTCATTCCTTGTATCTTCAAATCCATACATGGGAGTGATCACTCATTGTATTCAGAAGTTGCACCTACACTCCAAGATTGAAGGCCACTGGAGGTCATTCTTAGGGTACATTAGTACATTTTGCGGCCGCCAGAAATCTAACTTTTGAGAGTACTGCTAACAATTTTGCAAGTGTTTTGTTCCTTAGTTAACAAGATTCAACATGCCCACATCTGTTTTTCCCCTATGACTAGAGCAAGTACGAAATTATCACCCTAAAAAAAATCATAGAATTGGAGTTCCATGGCACTCATTTTCTGGAGTTGGAGAAAGACTGGAGCTTTGAAAGAATGTTGGAAATAAGTCTTACGTTCCACATCTGAGTTGAAGCTGGTACTAAAAAGCTATTTTTAAAAGTCTTAATAATTGGGACAATGATTTTATTTATTTAATTCTTTGAAAGATGTTCTGCACCTTGTAAAATGTGTATTTGGTTCTGATGCAAATTTCTTCCCTGCCATTGTTAAGAAATACAGCTGTGGTCCATTCATCCAGCACAATAAGACCAGCTATACACACAGAGGCTTTGCAGCAGGAGAAAGAAGGATGTTTATTTGCAGTGCACCACAGATGGATAATCAGGTTGCTCATGCTTGAGATCCAACCTATGCAATGGCTTGCAGTTAAGGGCTTTTAAAGACAGATCTAAATTTCTGGAAAGCAGAAACTACAGGCAAAATAGTAAATAAATACTCAAATGTTACACATGGGTTTTGGTGTAACATGGGGGAATATTTTGAAGTGGGAGCATACAGGTCATAAGTAGATTAGAACATTTTATGATTTGGAATTGATTAAAGAGACAAGGTTTTCTTTAAAAATCTGAGGTCACACTGGATGAGGTACCTCACTCTTGTAATCCCAGCACTTAGGGAGGCCAAATGAGAAGATCATTTGAAGCCAGGAGTTCCAGATCATACTGCCCAACACAGTGAAACTCTGTCTCTCAGAAAAATACAAAAATTAGCTGGGTGTGGTGGTGCATGTCTGTAGTCCCAGTTACTCCGGAGGCTGAGGCAGGATAATTGCTTGAAGTTAGGAGGCAGAGGTTGCAGTGAGCTGTGATCATGCCACTGCAATCCACCCTGGACAACAGAGTGAGATAAATAAAAAATAAAAGCTTGTGGTCAGCAGAAAAGAATGTTACCTGTCGATCATGGGAATGACCTCCTTCAGGTCCCTACAAAAAAATAATTATAAAACAGAATAGGCAGTCAGAGTTGTCTTCATTTCCCCTCACCTGACATCTACGTTCCAGGAGATCTGTTTAGTGAGGGTCCAGATTTTTGAAAAAAAAGTCAGGGATATATGCTAAGGTATTATCTTTAATTTCTCTACAATAACCAAATATTATGTGATTCTAACTTCCTTGGCTATTGTTTTAGGCTACTATTGGAAATGGGAGAATTCTCCTGACTTCTTTGCAGAACTTGCAAGAGCGGTGTGGCTTACTTATTCAGCTGCTGCTGCACTCAAACCCCTTGAAGAAGGGAGATCATGGAGGCCAATGGGTGCCAAGGCTTGGGCAAGAACTTTAGGGCTCTGGCCCCACAGCATCATCTGAGGGTGTCTTACAGTGAATGCTATTTTAGTAGTTGCTGTTCATGAGTCACTAAGTGTTAACCAGCTCAGTGGTCAACATGACAGCCTTTTACACCCTGCCCTCTTGGTACCCAGGTTCTTGGATTCTTGTCCAGTGTCTAGAAATAATGAGGTCACATAGACTTGATGGATAGAGAATGCAGAGATTTTATTGAGTGACAGAGTTGGCTTTCAGTAGGATGAGGAGCTAGAAAAGGGTTGGAGTGGGAAGATAACATTTACCTAGAGTTTGGCTCCTCTGCAATCATCCCAAGCTAAACTCTCGAAGTTCAGATATTTCTTCTATTCTCTCCATATCTGCCATGCTGCTCTGCTGCTCTGCCTGCTCTGTAGCTCTTCTGCTCATGGAGCCTGAGGTTTCAGGTTCTATGGGCACAGAATAGGGGGTGGGGCAGGCCAGAGTTGTCTTGAAAAAGGCATGAGGGGGCAAAAACAGGAATGCTTGTTCTCATTTAAGGCTATGGGTGCAGGCTTGAGGGTAGAGCTCTTGCCAGGATCCCTGGCTTCCTGCCTTCTGTCCCTATCACTATCACCTTCTTACTTACTGAGTTATTTAATTGCTTCTCAGGGTTACACAGGTACCTGGAATTTCCTTTGAAGGAACTGAATATTTTCCTTTGTTTCCATGCTTGGTGGGGCCACCCAGGGCATAAAGGAACTTGCTAAGATGGGGTTTCTGCTCTGTTTCACCATTGAGGTGCTTTGGGAAGTATTGGGGTTAACTGATACTGGTCACTATTGCATACTTGCATGCCGGTCAGCCTCCCTGGGACTGTGGTGCCATCTTTCTATTACTGTGCATAGAGACCCCTTAAAACACACACACACACACACACACACACACACACACACACACACACACGTCCCAGTTTCAAAGGCATGTGACCCACAGCAACTCCATCTTGAAGAGGAACTGGGTAAAATGAGGCTGAGACTTACTGGGCTGCATTCCCATATGGCCAAGGCATTCTAAGTCACAGGATAAGATGAGATAAGAGATCCACACAAGATACAAGTCATAAAGACCTTGCTGATGAAATAGGTTGCAGTATAGAAGCTGGCCAAATCCCACCAAAACCAAGATGTCCATGAGAGTGACTTCTGGTCATCCTCACTGCTATACTCCCACCAGCAGTACTCCCATGACAGTTTAAAATGTCACTGCAATATCAGGAAGTCACCCTATATGTTATAAAAAGAGGAAGCATATGAATAATCCATCTCTTGTTTAGCCTATAGTCAAGAAATAACCCAGAGGCTGCTGTGTCTATGGAGTAGCCATTCTTTTATTCCTTCACTTTCTGAATAAACTTGTGTTCACTTTACTCCATGGACTCACCCTGAATTTTTTCTTGCATGAGATTCAAGAAACCTTTCTTGGTGTCTGAATCTGGACACTTTTTTATAATACAAGTGCAAAATTTCTAGCACACTGTGAATCCATAGGCTAATTTGTATCACCCAGTGGCACCAGCCTGCAGAATAAGCTACAGTGTGACCTGGAAAGGAAGCTCAGGTACCATACTGTTCAGATGAAAACTCTGAATCAACTATAGAAAACCAGGACTCATTCTTTGTAAGGTTCTGTTCATTTCTATTGTGCCAATCTCCTTCAAATAAAGGCATCCAGGGGAGAAACCAGCAAGATGGCCAAACAGGAACAGCTCCAGTCTGCAGCTCCCAGTGAGATGAATGCAGAAGGCCAGTGATGTCTGCATTTCTAACTCAGGTTCCATGTTAATCTCACTGGGACTGGTAAGGCAATGGGTGCAGCCCACAAAGTGCAAGCAGAAGCAGGTGGGACATTGCCTCTCCCAGGAAGTGCAAGGAATGGGGGAGCCTCCCTACCCAAACCAAAGGAAGCCATGAGGGACTGTGCTATCCACCCCAGATACTACGCTTTTCCCATGGGTTTTGCAATTCACAGACCAGAAGATACTCTTGTGTGCCTGCACCACCAGGATTCAGGAAAAATTGGCTAGCCATATTCAGAAAACTGAGACTGAACTCCTTCCTTAAGCTTCATACAAAATTTAACTCAAGAGGGATTAAAGACTTAAATGTAAAACCTAAAACTGTAAAAACGCTAGAAGAAAACCTAGGCGATACCATTCAGAACACAGGCATGGGCAAAGACTTCATGACTAAAACACTAAAAACAATTGCACCAAAAGCCAAAATTGACAAATGCGACCTAATTAAACTAAAGAGCTTCTTCACAGCAAAAGAAACTATCATCAGAGTCCATATGCAACCTACAGAATGGGAAAACAATTTTTGTAATCTTTCTGACAAAGAGCTAATATCTAGAATTTACAAATAACTTAAACAAATTTACAAGAAAAAACAAACAACTCCTTCCAAAAACTAGTCAAAGAATATGAACAGACACATCTCAAAAGAAGATATTTATGTAGCCAACAAACATATGAAAAACAGCTTATCATGACTGGTCATTAGAGAAGTGCAAATCAAAACCACAATGAGATACCATCTCACGCCAGTTAGAATGGTG
The DNA here is from genome assembly GCF_000001405.40 of Homo sapiens. Lineage (NCBI taxonomy): Eukaryota > Metazoa > Chordata > Mammalia > Primates > Hominidae > Homo > Homo sapiens. Next base: position 15,069,973 of record NC_000024.10, read on the forward strand.
ATCATTTAAATGTCTGGAAACAGCAGATGCTGATGAGGATGTGGAGAAATAGGAATGTTTTTACATTGTTGGTGGGAGTGTAAATTAGTTCAAGCATTGTGGAAGTCTGTGTATCAAATTATTCAAGGATCTAGAACCAGAAGTACCATTTGACCCAGCAATCCCATTACTTGGTATATACCCAAAGGATTATAAATCATGCTACTATGTGGACACATGCACATATATGTTTATTGCAGCACTCTTTACAATACCAAACACTTGGAACCAACCCAAATGCACATCAATGATGGACTGAATAAAGAAAATGTGGCACATATACACCATGGAATACTATGCAGCCATAACAAAGAATGAGTTCATGTCACTGCAGGACATGGAAGCTGGAAGCCGCCATCCTCAGCAAACTAATACAGGAATGGAAAATCAAACACCACATGTTCTCACTAATAAATGGTGCTGACCAATGAGAATATGTTGACACAGGGAACATCACACACTGGGGTCTGTCAGTGGGTGGGAGCAAAGGGAAGGGAGAACATTAGAACAAATACCTAATACATGTGGAGATTAAAACCTAGATGACAGATTGATAAGTGCAGGAAACCACCATGGCACATGTAATAAACCTGCATTTTCAGCACATGTATCCCAGAACTTAAAGTGATATAAAATAGATAACAATAAAAAAAGAAAGGTATCCAGATTAGACTATGGAAAGTATTAATATCATTTACATTTGTACAGATGTTTAAACAATAGTAACCTTTGAAGCTGAGTAAATACATGGCGGTCCCATAGAAAATTTTATTTAAATATCTGTATGAAATAATTCACAAGATTTCTTTGAATAATGATAAAAAAGATATTGAGCCTATTCATGGGGAAATCAAACTCTGAAATGTATTTAACCAGGTTTATTCTTTTTTAAAAAAGTTACTTTAAGTTCTGGAATACACATGCAGAATATGCATGTTTGTTTCATAGGTACACATGTGAGTTGGTGGTTTCCTACACCTATCAACCCACCATCTAGGTTTGAAGCCCTGCATGCACTAGGTATTTGTCCTAATGCTCTCCCTCCCCTTGCCCCACCAGCTGAGAGGCCCCCAGTGTGAGATATTCCCCCTCCCTCATGTCCACATGTTCTCATTGTTCAACTTTCACTTATGAGTGAGAACCTGTGGTGTTTGGTTTTCTGCTCTTGTGTTAGTTTTCCAAGAATGAGGGCTTCTGGCTTTATCCATGTCCCTCCAAAGGACATTATCTTATTCCTTTTTTATGGCTGTATAGTATTCCATGGTATATATGTGCCACATTTTCTTTATCTGATCTATCATTGTTGGGCATCTGGGTTGGTTTTAAGTCTTTGCTATTGTAAACAGTACTACAATAAACATACATGTTCATGTGTCTTTATAGTAGAATGATACTTTAAATTACATGTGGAATCAAAAGAGCCTGTAAAGCCAAAACAATCCTAAGCAAAATGAACAAAGCTGGAGACATCCTGCTAGCTGACCTCAAACTATACTACAGTAACCAAAACATCATGGTGCTGGTACCAAAACAGATATATATAGACAAAAGGAACAGAACAGAGACCTCATAAATAACACCATACATCTAAACCATCTGATCTTTGACGCAGCTGACAAAAACAAATAATGGTAAAATAATTCCCTATTTAATATATGATGTTGGGAAAACTAGCTAGCCCTATGCAGAAAACAGAAACTAGACCCCTTCCTTAAACCTTATACAAAAATTAACTCAAGATGAATTAAAGATTTAAATTGAAAACCCCAAATCATAAAAATCCTAGAAGAGCACATGGACAATAACGAGATTTATTCTGAGGCAACATGTGTGGCTATAATGTGAGAAACAGCCTCAAGGTGTCCCGAGAAAGTGTGATCAAGTTTGCTGTTGTACAGATTGGTTTTAGAAATTTTAAGAGCAGAAATTATAGGTAAAATTATAAGTCAGTACATGGAAGGTGTACATTGGTTTGGCCTGAAACTAGCAGAGGCTCATTTCTGTCTCCAATTTTGCCTCATACAAATTGTATGCTCCATGCATGTTTGTGGTGATGATTATTCTGATGAGCTTGTCACTCAATTCTTCAAACGACAGATAACTCTTTCTTCTGAGCCATGTGCAACCATAGATTACCAGGTTTTGTTTTAGAAAGCATTTATTCCATACTACCACATGCCAGATGTACAAGTGTGGTGAAAGGTTTTATATGGCAGCATCCCTGAATAAACCAAGTAAAATAATAACAGAATAGGCATAATCTGAAAATGCTATGTTGGCACATTTTTCATCGGATCTATCCAGAACAGAGAAAGCAAGGAGAAGGGAGAGATATATATGTCATTCCTAAATTCACAAGAGATACAGTCTTCTGTACAGGTAAAACTACAGGAATTTTCTTATATAATTGCATTTAGGTAATGATGCTACACTACAAGGTAATAATTTAATATTTTTAGTTCACAATAAAGAGACTCCTAAAGTATTGAAACACAAAATAATTTATAATTGGACTATTATTTTACTAATGGATACAATTATTATTCAAACATGCAACTCACTCTCAACCACGAGTGTATATTATTCCCAAAGGTGAGAAATTTGAGGGGAATTCTACAAGCACACCATAGCCTTTTCCTCTTGTGGGCTTGCCTGAGAGAATGTTTTGTTGACTAACTTGGGTGATGGAAAATCTGCTGAAATATTTCCTACCCTTAAATCTCCCATAAGATTCTCATTCTTACTCTGTTTATCTGAAGCCTGTACCTTTTTTTTTCTATTACTGGAGCTGATTTCTCCAGATGCCCTTTTAACATTAACTCATGCATTGATTTTAAAATGTTTATATACTGGAGGGCATGCACTAATCACACTACACACAGCATTACCTATCCACACAATTTATTCTAATAATATTCAAATCAGAGGCTATATGCCTCTGCATATGGGTATTTTTTTAAATCTTGTCATACCTCATTTACCAGGGTTACTTATATGAAAGAAGATTTAAAATTCTTTAGGGAATTTAAAGTGGGAGGATAACCTTTCCAGGAAGGCTATGGGGAAGATTTTAAGGATTTACTGCTTAGATGACTTGAAAAATATAGTACGTCATACAGCAAAACACTATTTTTAATCAGATTATCCAAATAACATACCCTGTTTCGGTTTAGTAATGTGTTTTTCTCACTATTTCTTGTATTGTTAGAATATTTAAATTTATTTATTTATAAAATCTGCTTTTACTTCCAAAAATTAGCAATTATCTAGCTCATGAGGTAAAAGCTTGCTATTCTCTCTCATTAATTACAAGCATTTCATGATGGAGTTCATGATCAAGTTATTGATCATTTATAAACACCAAGGTCTGCTTTGTTGGTGAATGTTAAGTAAAAAACAAAATAAAAAAAAAATAGAGTTTGCAAATATTAAACATAGACCCAATGGACACAAGGTCCAGATGTAAATAAAAATTTAAAAAATAGCAATGTTATAAGCAATATAAATTAAATTTCCTTGTAAATGAAAAAGAAGATGAGCTTTTTAAAGATATTTTATGAATGTCATATTGTGCTTCTTTTTAATTAGATCTGTATAATGTTGTATTCTCATAAGATACCCACTGTGCAAACCTTGGCTTGTTTATCTGCAAACTCACATTCGTATTTTACAAGGTTAACATTGCATGTTTTCATCTGCAGTTTTGCAATGCTGATGTTGGATTTTGCATGTTATTGTATTATTCTCCTTGTAATGTAACAATATTGTCTGCTCAGAATTGACAGTCAAAGAGTTACAAGTGATTTAGTAATACATGCCCTGTCTTCTCTAGGTTCTAAAGGTAATGTTTAAATACTATACACATTTTGATAATTGAAAAGTATGGAAATTTTAGGTATAAGATTTGACTTTAATATTAATGTCTTGAGCACTTAGAAGTTCATTCAAGATAGATATCCTGTCAGCATTCATTTTACCAGCAAACAGTTATGATGTATGGATGAGGTTAATACTACTGACCTATGTCAAAATTGAAATTTTGTTTTTCATGTTGGCATAATAATTCTAATTTTTAATTAGAGATATTTAAAAAACGAAGCTTAGAAATGTTACCCACTTTGGCTAGATTGAATGCAAGACTGCTTTCCATGCTGATGAACAGCAAAGTTAATCAGTTTATAACTTACTTTCACAGTAAATTAGGAGATTAGGAGTTTGACAACTCAAAAGCCCACACCCTTGCTTTCAGTTCAGGAAGGAAAAGTATGGTATGTGACTTAGAGGAAACTACCCTAAGAATATTTCAAAATTGAGAATTCCAAATTCATATCTTTTGGCAGGAGTTGAACATTAACAACACTATTAGCAAGGGAATGACTTGTCTTCTCTAACTTTAGTTTGTATAGAATTTGGAAGGCAGAAATGAATACTTCCACTGGCTCATAGGAATGGCAGTCAACAGATACTGTTCAGAATTGACACAGGTGAGAAGGGAGGCTTCCTCTGTGGACCAAGATGTGGCTATCTGTCAGGCAGAAAAATGCCTCCCCTCAAAGCTAAGAACATCCCAATCCTGTGAAACTATAGATAGGTTATGTTATATGACAAAGGGGAATTAAGATTGCAGGTAAAATCAAGTTTTCTAATCAGTTGACTTTAAATCAGGGATATAATATGGACCATCTGCTTACATCCAATGTAATCACAAGGGAAGAGAGTATCAGTAAAGATAATTATGAACAAGGCCATGTGAGAAAGACTCAGCCCAATGCTATTGTCTTTGAAGATGGAGGAAGTGTTCATGAGGCTTGGGGCACAGCAGCTTCTAGGAGATTAAAAAAAAAAAAAAAAAAAGGAAAAAATGGATTCTCCACTGGAGCCTCCAAAGGGAAGGCAGCCTTGCTGACATCTTGATCTTAGCCCAGTGAGACTGATTTTGGACTTTGGACCTCCAGCACTGTAACATGACATTTTTTATTCTCAGTGATTCCATTTGTACTCGTGTGTTGCAATAGCAATATGTAACAAATGCAAGGTGGATGATAGATTTGCTAGTAGGAGCTGGCGGAAGTTTTCTAGACTGTTTCTGACTTTCCTGAAGTTGTCACCTGAAAAGGAGCAAGGATTTGGTAATGGGAATATCAAGGTAAAAAGTGTGAAGGACTTACCTCCATGAAGACAAGACAATAAAGTGACAAGAAGAACATGATAGACGTGGCTGGCTGCATGGACATCCTATTTGCGTACAATGAAATTAAATTTAATCTTTTCTCTGGATGCACAATAAATACTAGTTTAATTATGTAACACTTGTTCAGCAAAATATATTCACAATGCATTGTCACAAAGTTGTATACAAACACACAAAATAACTAAAAGTCAATGATGTTCTTGGCTGGGTGCGGTGGCTCACACTTGTAATCCCAGAATTTTGGGAGGTTGAGGTAGGTCGATCACCTGAGGTCAGGAGATCAATACCATCCTGGCCAACAGGGTGAAACCCCATCTCTACCAAAAGTAAAAAATTAGCTGGGCCTGCTGGCAGGCACCTGTAATCCCAGCTACTCAAGAGGTGGAGACAAGAGAATCACTTGAAAATGGGAAGTGGAGGTTGCAGTGAGCTGAGATCCTGACATTGCACTCTAGCCTGTGGGACAAGAGTGAGACTTAGTATCAAAAAAAAAAAAAAAAAAAAAAAAAAAACCTTTCAAAACACTATAATGAATTGTTTTCCCTAGATCTCAAAAAAAAAAAAAAATAGTATGTTATTACAGGAGGAATTACATGTTCTGAGGTATTACACATTACTAGGAAGAGTGGAAAATTTCTTTTTAAGAAGTTGTAAAATTTTCACACATTGTAATGATGTTTACAACAGTCTAGGAAAATTATGCCTCACTACATGGGCTAAGACAGTCAGTAAACATTGATTACTACCATTTAATTATGATAATGACTATGGAATTCAGGAACTGTAATTTATAAGGGTTACAGCAGTTCTACCAGCCATGAATCTTTATCTGATGATTTAGCTACTTTATAACCCAGGTTGTATAAATAGTTTCATATTAATAGCACTTCTAAATTATTGATTAGACACGTTTTAAATGCTAGGCAACTTCAGGCTTCCCAGAATCAAAATATTTCCTTATTTTGATACAAGATACAAGTAGTTGTTTCAAAAAAGATACCCAATAATTAATTTATATGTATGATTTTTACATTTTTCGGTAAATATTTTGTATTTTGCATAAGTTAAGGAGTTTAAAATATAGACTATAGATTCATATAATTTATACCCATTAAGATTTAAGTCATTTAATGATTACAGAATATATATTCACACACTTAAATGAAAGATCCTTAACCCTTTATGTATTTTATACAGTTCTTGTCCAAGTTAAATTTAACTGCATGTAAAAGTTTAATAATTTCCAATTGCATTTCTAAATTCAGAATATAAAAAATCATGTTTTCAGTATCCAAAAGTTAACATCTAATTTTCTCATCCCAGTATACACAACTTTCTTTAAAATATACATAAAATTTCAAAATCCCAGTGGCATCAGAATGTGTCTTTCAGTATTTGCATGCTGGTTTTCTCATATACCATTAAAAATTGTGTTGAAAAACCTATAAAAAACAATTGTCACCTTATATCACTTTGCAGAAAGCTAAACACAAGAATCAGAAACCCAGAGTGAATGGTACACATTCTAACTGGAAGCTCTCTATCTCTTAATAGGTTGCCAGAAAACTCCACACCTATTTGTGGGTGAGAAGGAATACACACAACTTGAAGTCTTCTGTTGAAGTATCAGGTGTTCTGCTCCTAGGACACTGTGAAGAGAATCTGTGTGCTATTCATTGGTGAATTATGAACAGACGATATGCCTGTTGACCAGTATTTCAATCATGAGTGTAAATGAGTAAAAATAACATGGACCACCCATGTCAGAAACCAGTGGTAACATTTAGAAGTTCACTGTGCTCACACACTGAGGATTAAATATGAATTCATAATTTCATGGGCTGTTCTAGCTTTCAACAATGGTACATGGCATTTTTCCTGACCCAGTATTCAATAATTCCTTTATTTAAAAAACTGATTGATTATTTGCTATATGCTATGATAAATCATAAAAAGAAAGATGATCAATCAAAAAAAGAAAAAAAATGTGAGCATCTTCACAAATTCAATAATTTGATTATAATGCTTTGCAAAAATGCTAGAGGCTCAGAAGAAATATCATAATCCATTTCAGATGAAGTAGCTGGAGTGAGAATTGATGAACAGGATTCATCCTGCAAATAGATGATGGATACATTTTGTTAACTAAAGGCGGTTTTGGAAACATTTGGAATAAAAGTAGCATGGTATGATGTTTAGTTATGGAGATGAAGGGGATAGGAAACATGCCACTTTTAGACTTGTTGAGAGTGAATGGCCATGGATGAACATGGAAAAAAAAAAAAAAAAAAAGAAGAAGAGGGCATATCTGAGCAAACTGCACTTTGGACTTGTCCAAGGGATATCTGCTAGAGATGCACAATAGAAAGAACTTTCCTTTAACCATGCCTTATTAAACACCTCTACCAGTGACCTAGATAAAAGTATGTAGTTCTTACAGTGAAAGCTGAAGATGAGATTAGATAGCAGTGGACTAGGTATTATTTTAATTGACAAACTCGGGAAAGATCTAGATAGATAGAAGGTGTACATTGGGACTCTACATTTAGGCACAGAAATCATTAGCACTGCTACAAAAGGAAGCAGAATTTATCATTGGTTTAGTGGTATAGTGCAAAAATGCTTAGTGTACTATATGTACTCAGTGTGAAGGATTGGTGTGTCAGGCATACCAATGCAGTCTCATGAACAATTATCTAATAGCGACTCTACTGACTTTCCTTTGCAATGGGTTAAATGATTCCTCGATTATTCCCTTTAGTTCAGGGTTCTACTTAAATATTGCTAAATACTTGTACATTAAGTATTGTCTTCATGGAGTGATTTAGAAACATGACCTTCTTATGAATTTACTTTTAACCAATATCTTAGTAGAATAAGCATGAAAGAGCAGAGTTATAATTCTAGGGAGTTATTTTAATTAGTGTTCCAAGTACTTTAATTAGCATTCCAGTTATCTACTTATCAGAGAAAAGTGTTGGATGCACTATGCAACTCATACTTTTAGATGTTCCTGCCATTACAAAATGCATCCAGATACTTTGTAGAGAATCTTTTCAGTAGAAGTTGATAATTATATTTTCTTTTTCCCTTGTTACTCTCTACTTATCTATTTGTATAATCTATTTATTGATTTATCTCATAAGAAACATGTTCTTACATATAAAATCAAATACATTTTAATCTGTTTCAAAAGGAAGTTAGTGTATGCAATTAGTGAATTAAAATAAGACAAAAATGCAATTTATATATGTGTAATATTTTCATAAGACAAATTTTTACAAACATGAATGTGTACATTGCCAAACTATAAAAACAGTTCACACTCAGTTGTTTAATAACTCAGGATACTTCCATGGGTACATGAAATAATAACATAATTATGTAACATTATTTGAAATTACTCCAAAGTATAAAATAATATGTGTTTACAGCGACTTTAAACTACCTAAAATAACATATAAATTATCTCCCTGAGTCAATAAATATATAAATGAAAAAAGTCAAAGTTGTTTAAAGAAACTATTGAATAGACTATACCAAAGGTTAGACATATAAGGAAATTATCAATTATTATTAAAAACCTGTTTTCTATGACACATTCATAATTTTTAAAAAATGACATTTTATATAGAAAAATTCTGTTTATGTTTTATAAATCATATCAAGTGTTTGTATTTAATAAAATGAGCACTAATTTGCAGAGGAGTATAACCTTAGGAGTAATATTGCCATATTTCTCTACTGAGATTCTGTGAACATGAATATAGGAAACTTATCGGTTAAGAAATACATTAAATTAAATTTTACACAGTAAAGATTTTGCAAACAATGCAGTAATGGAAGTTTGTGAAATGTTATGACAATTCATTGTATTTGGTTGCAATTATACCTATACCCCAAAGTACGAATTGTTTGTACTTTTTAAGAAGTCATTAATGATTACCCACACAATATACTGCATTGTATTATATCTCTGTATTGTTTGCTCTGTTTTCTATTTTGTTTATTTTGAAGAACTTTATTTGTGTTTGTTTATTTATTTGTTTCCTGAGGCAGGCTCTCTGTCACCTATTCTGAAGTGCAGTGGTGCAATCTCTCCTCACTGCAACCTCCAATGCCCAGGTTCAAGCAATTCTCTTGTCTCAGTCTAAGCCTCCCAAGAAGCTGGGACTACAGGCATGTGCCTCCATGCCTGGCTAATTTTTGTATTTTTTTGTAGAGATGGAGTTTCACCATGTTGGCCAGGCTGGTCTCAAACTCCTAACCTCAAGTGATCTGCCTTCTTCGGCCTCCCAAATGCTGGGATTACAAGGATGAGCCACCATGCCCAGCCTGGCTTGAAAAACTTTATAGTTATGAGAAATAATGTAACTTATTGATCCAAACAGAACATTTTTAAAATTTTTATTTCTATCATTATATGACTATAGGAAAATTATAAACAGTATAGCACAAAATAAAAATTCTGAGAAAGTATCCCAAAACTTTAGCATATCTTGAGACTGATCTTATGATATATTAAACATTGTGTCTTTGGGAGGCCAAAGCGGGCGGATCACGAGGTCAGGAGATCTAAACCATCCTGGCTAACATGGTGAAAACCTGTCTCTAATAAAAAATACAAAAAATTAGCCGGGCATGGTGGCGGGCGCCTGTAGTCCCAGCTACTCTGGAGGCTGAGGCAGGAGAATGGCGCAAACCTGGGAAGAGGAGCTTTCAGTGAGCAGAGATAGTGCTTGGGCGACAGAACAAGACCCCTCCTCGAAAAGAAAAGAAAAAGAAATTGTGAACCACAGATTTAGAACTATTGGAGGAAAATAGCTTTATTTATTATAAATCTACTAGAGTTTTACCATTATGGAAATATTTGCTTGACATTAAATCCAATGAACACTTAATGGTTATTTTAAATGTTTTTGCCCACCTCTATGTTGTTCTCTTTGAGTAGAAAAGATGCGCAGTATCCTAACCTCATACTCACCATGAGAATCTTCAAAATTCATGTAGTTAAAAATGGATAACGGACATGCAAACTTGAGGCCTACTTTAAAAATCAAATGCAGAATCCAGAAAATCATTGAAAATTTGCTGAGACTCCTGGTAGGCAATCAATTTGGCGTAACATGTCACTGGACGTTTATCAAGGTCTCCCCACATGAATCTCATTGGATTCCTTGGCTTGTTAGTCTTTCTAGGAGAGTTACTATAAATTTAGGCTAGACACAGTGGCCATAAATATGAATAACCAGCTCAGATGTTTGCTGAGCTGTAATTGAGACATAAGTTCATGGAAGGGAAATGGTGGTTACATGCATCCAATTAAGAAAAGGGGTATCTTACTGTTACTGACCACTTAAGTGATTCATATGAAAGTTAAACATTTTCATTTGATGAATTCCCATCATCAAGAAATAATTTTTAGCTGGGTGCAGTGGCTCATGCCTGTATTCCCAGCACTTTGGGAGGCCAAGGAGGGTGAATAGCCTGAGGTTATGAGTTTGAGACCAGACTGACCAACATCCTGAAACCCAGTCTCTACAAAAAAAAGAAATACAAAAATTACCCAGGCATGGTGGAAGTTGCCTGTAATTCCAGGTACTCACGAGGCTGAGGCAGAAGAATCTCTTGAATCTGGGAAGCTGAGGTTGCAATCAGCCAAGATTTCCCTTGCACTCCAGCCTGGGTGACAAGAGGGAAACTCGATCTCAAAAAAGAAAAAATGTTTAACATGGTGAGGTATTATACATACTATATGCCCTATGAGCTATGTGTGTGTGTGTGTGGGGGGGGGGGGCATATGTAATTGCATAGTGCATATATATATAGGGGTATGTGTATGTGCATGTTTGTGTGTATAGCAAATATATATATATATGTATATATATACACACACACACACACACACACACACACTCTCTGCTATCAAGTTGGCCCCAGTGTCTATTGTTTCCATGTAATTTAGCTCCTACTTATTAGCAAGAACATGCCATGTTTAGTTTTCTGTTCTTGCATAAATTCCTTAGGATCGTGGCCTCCAGCTGCATCCATGTTATTGGAAAGGACTATATTCTCTTCTTTTTATGGCTGCATAGTATTCCACAGTGTATATGTACCACATTTCTTTACCCAGTCTGCCATTTATGAGAATCTATGTTGATTCCATGTGTTTGTTATTGTGTGCGTGTATATATATATAAATATTTGAGCAATATACATATATATGTTGTGACTGTATATAGATATATGTATGAGTTACATATATATCATATAAAAATGTATGGGCTCACATACACATATCATACATATATGTTACACATATACATATATGTATGAGCTCACAATATATCATACATATGTATCATGTACATATATACATGTGTACATATGTGTGTACATATATGACATATGTATGATATAGATGTAACTCATACATGTATCTATATACAACAGCAACATATATATAGCTTATACATACACACACACAATAACACAGGCATGGAATCAACATAGATTCTCATAAATGGCAGACAGGATAAAAATGTAGCACATGTATATGTATACACATGTATACATATGTGTACATGTGTATGTATACATACAGATACATATGTGTACATATGCATGATATATATGTATCTCATAGGGCATATAATATTTTGTATATACACACGCATATATATGTACACACACACACACACACACACACACTTCTGTTAGTGAGAATAGGAAGCTGTTTCAACATATCTCATGGCTCATGGGTTTAAGTTGAATAGTAATGTACCTACCAATATATCCATATATTCCATGCTGAATGCAGTTTACAATATCTCTGTTTCCAAATGCAAGACTTGGAATGAGAGATTTTATTTGTGCCAGAGAATAATGATTTTCTAGGACTAAATACTGGTGACAGAATGAAAGTATATTAATTTTCAATTTTGAGACAACTTGATATAAAAGTTTTCACCAGAGGTTGAAACTCAAAGATCTCACATGTGAATTAATGGAGAAAAAGCATGGGAACACACTCAAAACTTATTGCACAGTCCACCATTTTCACACATATTTCTTATGTGATGTTCAGCTTGTTTCCTCTTTCCAACTTTTATTTTAGGTTCAGGGGTATATATGTACAGGATTGCTATAGAGGTAAATTGCCTGTCACAGGGGTTTATTTCATTACCCAGGTAGCTGACCATAATACCTGATAGGTAGTTTTTTGGTACTCCTCCTCCTCCCTTCCTCCACCCTCAAGTAGGTCCCTGGTATCTATTGTTGTCATGCTTTTGACCATGTGTACCCATTGTTCACCTCCTACTTATAAGAATTACTTCTAAGTGAGTATATGCAGCATTTGCTTTTCTGTTCTTGTGTTAATTTGCTTAAGGTAATGGCCTACAGATGCATCTATGTCGCAGCAGGACTTGATTTTTTTCTTTTTTATGGCTGCATGGTGTTTCATGGTGTATATGTACCATGTTTTCTTTATCCATTCTACTGTTGGTCATCTAGGTTGATTTCATGTCCTTGCTATTTTGAACAGTGCTTCAGTGAACATAATGCATACATGTGTCTTTGTGGTGGAATGATTTCTATTTCTTTGGGTGTGTACCCAGAAATGAGATTGCTGGGTCGACGGATAATTCTGTTTTAAGTACTTTGTAAAATTGTCACACTGTTTTCCACAGGTACTGAATTAATTTACATACATTACATTAATATACATCCTGCAGTGTATACGTATTCCCTTTTCTCCACAACCTTGCTAGCATGTTATTTTTTTAGGAATAGCCATTCTTACTGGTGTGAGACGGTATCTGATTGTGGCTTTGATTTGCACTTCTCTAATGATTGGTGATGTTGTTAATGTTTTTCATAGGCTTGTTGGCAGTGTGTATGTCTTCTTTTGAGAAGTGTCTGTTCATGCTCTTTGCCCATTATTTTAATAGATTTTTGTTTGTTTGTTTTCACATGTTAATTTCTTTTAGTTCCTTATAGATTCAGAATATTAGACATTTGTCAGATGCATAATTTGCAAATATTTGCTACCATTCTGTGGGTTGTCTGTTTAATCTGTTGATAGTTTCTTCTGCTGTGCAAAAGTATCGCTTGCTTTTTTCAAAAGAAGCTAGTATATTTGACATTATGACTTTCTCAAGTCAGTGGCTAAAGTAAAAACCAGCAGAAACAGCTGAAAATACTACTATGATTTTTGTATCTTGGAGAATCCTCCAGGAATCCCCATATTGAAGATATTGAAGATAATATTGAAGATAAATATTCTGTATTCTCTTCAGTTCAATGGAAACAGATTTATCTTCCCATATTGTCAACTTGTATGAAAAATGTAAAACTTTAAATATTACAATCCCATTCCTGTGTGGTAAGATTGGCACCTTATGCAAAACATTCTAGAACTGAGATGAGTAGAGGTGACATCTGACAAATTTTTGCTGGGATGTCCTGTTGGAGTTCTGTTCAATTATTTATCTATATTGCTCCCTTGTTCGTTCTCTGTTGACAGGGAAGAATGGATGAATTAAATAAGTTAAGGGCCTATGTAATGCAGTGCTTATGTATTCCTATTCGTGGTTTATTCTTAATTACAATTGGATTGCTTCCAGACATGTGACCATCTTCAGTCTCACAACTTACGCCGTCTCTCTTGTAATGTGGCACCCACATTCTCATTTATTTTTAATTTGTTTTATTTTATTTTATTATTATTACTGTTTAATAGACAGAATCTTGCTCTGTTGCCCAGCTGAAGTGCAGTGTCATGACCCGGGTCACAGGAGGCTCAAACTCATTGGCTCAAACAATCCTCCTGTCTCAGCCTCCCAAACAGCTGGGACTATAGGCATGCATCATTACCAATTACCATTACAATTATATTGGTAATTCTTCTTTTCTTTTTGTAGAGTTGGGGGTCTTGTTTAATTGCTTAGTCTGGTCTTGAACTCCTCAAGTAATCCTCCTGTACTGACCTTCCAAAGTTGTGGAATTACAGACATAATTCACTTTTCCAGGCCTGAAACCACATTTTGTTTATGGCCTGTCAGACATGTGAACTGAAGGGACCAGCTCCTGACAGAAAAACAATGTGTGATTTTTCAGGCCCTGCCAAAGACAATTAACAAAAGCTTTGCCTGGGCCAGGCACAGTGGCTCAAGTTCTTAATCCCAGCACTTTCGGAGGGTGGAGGCAGGCAGATTACCTGAGGTCAGGTTGTGGAAGCCAGCCTGGCTAACATCTCTACTATAAATATAATAAAAATTAGCTGGGTATTGTGGTGCATGCCTGTAATCCCAGCTACTTGGGAGGCTGAGGCTTGAGAATTGCTTGATTGCTTGAACTCAGGAGGCAGAAGTTGCAGTCAGCCAAGATGCCAAAATTTCTACATGACAGAGTGAGACTCCATCTCAAAAGAAGAAAGAAGGAAAGAAAGAAAGAAAGGAACGAAGGAAGGAAGGAAGGAAGGAAGGAAGGAAGGAAGGAAGGAAGGAAGAAAGAAAGAGAAAGAAAGAAAAAAGAGGGAGGGAGGGAAGGAGGAAGGAAGGAAAGAGAGAGAGAGGGAGAGAGAACGGAAGAAAGAAAGAAAGAAAGAAAGAAAGAAAGAAAGAAAGAAAGAAAGAAAGAAAGAAAGAAAGAAAGAAAGAAAGGTAGAAAGAAAGAAAGAAAGAAAGAAAGAAAGAAAGAAAGAAAGAAAGAAAGAAAGAAAGAGAAAGAAAGAAAGAAAGAAAAAGAAAGAAAGAAAAAGAAAGGAAAGTTTTGCCAGGAGAAGCTGTCCTTCACACACCAGATGTGGTTCCAAGCCACTGCCGTCTCTTAAGTGTTGCAAGCAGGGACTCAGGACCCCGAATGGTCATGTTTTGATGTATGTCTGCATTACTGACCCAGGTGATTCCATGTGGAAGCCTCTTTACTAGAGACTTTTGGTGGAGGTCTTCCCTGGATGCCTCTGCAGAGACCTCTCTGATGAGAGAGAGTGGTGATATAGTTTGGCTCTGTATCCTCACTCAAATCTAATCTTGATTTGTAATTCCCAGGTGTTGAGAGAGGGACCTGGTGGGAGGTGATTGGATTATGGGGCCAGTTTCCCCCATGCTGTTCTTGTGATAGTGAGTGAGTGCTCATTAGATCTATGGTTTATAAGTGGCAGTTTCATCTGCACTCTTGCTCTCTCCTGACACTGTGGGAAGATATGCCTTCATTCCCCTTTGCCTTCCACCATGATGGTAAGTTTCCTGAGTCCTCCCCAGCCATGTGGAACTAGGAGTCAATTAAACCTCTTTTCTTTATAAATAACCCAGTCTCTGGCTCTATCTTCATAGCAATGAGAATGAACTAAAACCAGTGGGAACATTGAACATATTTTCTCCACTCTGAATCAGTCTACAGGACTTTTCCACTCTTGTCCACTACCCTACTGTCACCCTCTGCCCACCCCCAGGTCCATAGCACCACAGAAGCCCTTTGTTTATGGCTCACTTAGAAGTGAGACCAGTCCCTATAATACATGCATCTTTATTCATCCGTTTGAACTTTGACTGGCACTATTTCATGAAAAAGAATGGAAAAAGAAATGGGGTCTCTTTATGTTGCCCAGGGTGGTCTCTAACTCCTGGTATCAAGTAAACCTTGGCTTTCAGCCTCCCAAATTGCTGAGATTATAGACAAGAGCCACTGTGCCTGGCTGACTTTCCTTTAGACTCATTGGAGTAATTGTCAACTCTTAATACCAACTTGTTAAAAACAAACAAACAATACAAAAAACACCCAGGCCATAGGAAACACAAGTGATCCTTCCTTCACTTGTAATCTTATCTCTGTCTTCCTTTTTGCCTTTTTGTAGACTACCACAAAATATTCTTTTCCCAATGAACAAAGATTAAAAAGAACAAAAAAGTGTATTCACATTCTAAAAATATAGTTTAAGCCTATTGTTTTCAAAAAATTCAGTTACTAATGGTCCCTTAAATTGGCAAGCATTGAAAATTGTAACTACATATGCAACTTGATTGATTGACTTTTTTTGAGAATTGGAAATAATACTTAACGCACTTTTTCTGCCCTTGATCTCCAAGTATCTATGATATCAGTGCCCAACAAAATTGAAAGCACATGGATTTCCATTTCATTTCCATCTCTAGTTTAGCCTTGTACTCTATTAGTTACTTATGGTGAACTGACAAACTTGCTGGTGCCTGATGACAGAGAAAAAGATATCTCCTAAAATATTTACCAATTTCTTCAGTATTTGTTCTCATCACCATTGTCATCCTTTCCAGACATAACTTAGGAATGAATTCATAAACTCCCTAATCTGTAGTTGATCAGTAGTTGATCCCTAATCTGTAGGAAGGAAGGAAGGAAAGAGAGAGAGAGAGAGAGAGAGAGAGAGAGAGAGAGAAACTCCCTAATCTGTAGTTGATCTTATTTTCCCCAGGGCCTAGTGACTGGGGTGAGTATCAATTTAGCTAGTATTTTGAATCACTCTGAAGTGACTTAAAATTCAAAGGTCTTGCATGCAGTGAAATGAAAACCAGGGGCCTTTGCAGCCTTTCAATTGTTCCTATGAATAAAATACTTTCTACATTTACAGAATAAATGACTTTAAAGTGTTATGTTATATTCAATGACATTTGATGGAAGAAAAAATAACCATTTCATTCATGATGAATGTCAAGTTTTGGAGTTGGGGAAATCAAATCAACTTTATCAACTAGGATTCAAATGGTGACATTTGTTTTATTCCATGGATGCTCTGAACTTAGTGGTGATAAAGAATCATGGAGAAAGTTGATAAACTGGGGTTGCTCTGGAAGTACCCTGTCCAGCCTAATTTATTGCCAAATGTGTAAAGAGAACAGGGAACTCTGCAGGATGTTTCTGTGATAAAGTCATCTTCTGCAGTCTGCCTGGACAGCACATGAAAAGCTATGACTCTTGCCTTCTAGCACTTAATACCTGATTAGCTCTTTCTAAACAATGCCACCTGCTCTTTCCTCTCTACTGAGCATGTGTTACTGCTGTGGGACAATCAGAGATGGGAGAGAAGGAAGAGTTCAGGAGAGTCCTTTATTCTTAACGTCATCACCAGCTCAGTCGGACTAGGGTCCGGAAAGTCTGAGCCCCGAACAAAGGAAACAGCAACCTTTTAAGCAGTTAATGGTGGGTGTTACATGATGCAGGAAGTGTACTTACAGAAGTGAGAACAAAGGCAGTTAATCGTTTTTTTTTTTTTGACAGTGTTTGTATAGCTTTTAATGTAGGAAATTACTATTTTACTACAAGGCTTTTGTTTAGCTGTTATCAGAATGGAATGACAAAAAGTTGGGAGTGTAATAGTGATTCTGCATATTAATCACCTACATATACACTTTCAGTGAATAATAGGCAGTTTTTGTAATTTTTTTTCTAATCCTATGTTACTTCTAAATTATGCTTATTGAAAAGTATTTTTTTTTATTATACTTTAAGTTTTAGGGTACATGTGCACATTGTGCAGGTTAGTTACATATGAGTACATGTGCCATGCTGGAGCGCTGCACCCACTAACTCGTCATCTAGCATTAGGTATATCTCCCAATGCTATCCCTCCCACCTCCCCCCACCACAGTCCCCAGAGTGTGATATTCCCCTTCCTGTGTCCATGTGGTCTCATTGTTCAATTCCCACCTATGAGTGAGAATATGCGGTGTTTGGTTTTTTGTTCTTGCGATAGTTTACTGAGAATGATGATTTCCAATTTCATCCATGTCCCTACAAAGGACATGAACTCATCATTTTTTATGGCTGCATAGTATTCCATGGTGTATATGTGCCACATTTTCTTAATCCAGTCTATCATTGTTGGACATTTGGGTTGGTTCCAAGTCTTTGCTATTGTGAATAATGCCGCAATAAACATACGTGTGCATGTGTCTTTATAGTAGCATCATTTATAGTCATTTGGGTATATACCCAGTAATGGGATGGCTGGGTCAAATGGTATTTCTAGTTCTAGATCCCTGAGGAATCGCCACACTGACTTCCACAATGGTTGAACTGGTTTACAGTCCCACCAACAGTGTAAAAGTGTTCCTATTTCTCCACATCCTCTCCAGCACCTGTTGTTTCCTGACTTTTTAATGATTGCCATTCTAACTGGTGTGAGATGATATCTCATAGTGGTTAATTGTTCTTTTACATTTGCTGTACCTCATGTTCTACATCCTTGGGAAAAACATGTTTTTGTAACATATACTTATCAAATTTGTGACCTCACAGCTGTGCTAGGAAGGTAAGCAGGAACTCACTGAGCCTCAAGGAATGTGAAACTGTAGAACACAGATAAGGCTCATTAAGCACAGAAGAGAATTAGGCAGTTAATATTCTCTTCTAACTCAGGCTTCCTAGAGGGCTATATTACAGTTAGCTTTTTAAGGAAAAATAATACATTTATTGGTTATTATTCTTACAAAATTTATTAATTCCCTCTTCATCCCCTCACCTTTGGTGCTTGCCATAAATGCAGATTAATAAAGAGCACCACAATTATTTATTTCTTCTGATATAGGCACATATTCTTCCTGAGGGACTGATTGGTATCTTTGCAGTGCCATCAGTTTGGTGGTAGTTGTTCGGTCTGCTATTGCTTCAATGGTGGACTGAAAGCTTCTGATGAGAAGAGGTAAAAGACAAGGTAGTATTAGGCATCCTCCAATTATGACTATAAAACCAATTATCAAAGTTTTAAAGCCTCCAAACCATGAGAACCATCCTCCAAATATTGTATTTTGGCTCCCTCAAAACAAGGTCTGCAGTGGGACATGGGCTAGCTTCTGCCTTCTAGCAGTAAGTTCCACAACAGCTCTTCCATTATCATCCATTTGTAAACAGCAGTTGGTCAAATTTATTTTGCCACAAACTCCTCCTTTGGAGACTAGGAGATAGTCTAATGCTAGGCTATTTTGGTATATGGCATCTCTCATTTGGGTAGCTTGTATAGCTAACAGATCCAAGTCTTGAGCTGTTTCATTGACTGTAATTTCTAGTAATGCTCACAGTCTTATAATTTAGTTCAGCATGTAAATAGGAGTATGGTAACCCCATCATCCATCTTGGGCCCATGTAATTGGCCCGTAATACCTTATAATTCTCTCAGGAGGCTATTCATTGTCTTTCCAATTACCTATTTCAATATATTTTCTTATGTTTGTGTTTATCTTCTCAGTGGGATTTATTTGGGTGAAGACATTCTTTCTGGTCCTCTTTATTTCCTTGTTATAGACTAGGCGACTTAAATTCTCCCCTGGCTTAAATGGGAGCAAGAAGAAGGATGGTCCTATTGTCCCTAACACACAGGCTGTGGTCCATTTTTCGAGCAAAAGTTGGTAGGCCTTCATCCCACAGATCAAGTATAGTCATGCTGTTGCTCTCCAAATATTTGGGGCATCTAGTTAATACCATAACTGAATTAATGTTGGAAATTGGGAGACAGGGTTCAAGTCTGGCACAGAGGAATTCTCTATATAGCTTCTCCACTGAGTCTTATTTTCTGATTCCTCGAAATATAGTTGACCTAAACAAGTTATATCTCCTACTTGAGTTTGAAAGTCTTTCCCCATCATGCTATGCAGTATCTTCCAATGATATTGTCAGTAGCCAAACACTTGGGTTGGCATTACATTTCTTTTTTTTTTTTTTTTAAGGCAGAGTCTCACTCTGTCACCCAGGCTGGAGTGCAGTGGCGCCATCTCCGCTTACTGCAAGCTCCGCCTCCCGGGTTCACACCATTCTCCTGCCTCAGCCCCACAAGTAGCTGGGGACTACAGGCGCCTGCCACCACACCAGGCTAATTTTTTTTGTATTTTTCGTAGAGACGGGTTTTCACTGTGTTAGCCAGGATGGTCTCAATCTGCTGACCTCGTGATCCGCCCGCCTCAGCCTCTCAAAGTGCTGAGATTACAGGCGAAAGCCACTGCACCCGGCCGGCATTAAATTTTGTAGTGAATTCTCGTATAGTAAAGTTATCTTGTGGCATTAGTTCTCTGGCTTCCCAAGGCTATTGTTCACCTATACTAGTACCTCCACATACATAACATGAGGTGACTCCAAGATTTGTAACTATACTTTTAGCTAGCTGATCAAATAGATTCTCAGCTGACATCAGAGGAAGCTGGATTTTTGGTTCCTTGGTGTCAAAATGCTTATTAAAAGACTTGAAAAACCTGAAATGTGGCATTGTATTGACTTTAACCTTAGCTCGTTGGGTCTTCTTAATAATGACCAATGGAATGCCACAATTTGCTCCTTCCCAATTAAAGCTTAGTGTACCTTGGTGTCCTTTAGTCCAAAAGGGCATGATTCACTTCAGTATGGTCAGATTAAGGGGGTCACATGTTCTAGTTGCACAACCAACCTTCGCTTCTTGGCTGGCAAGCAAGGCTACTCTCTCTGTGTAAGGGTGTTCACTGAACTCATGGGTAGTCCACTGATTGTTACAATCAGGGCATCCCTCTTCCATTTCTCCTGTTATGGCCTTGGTGGCCTTAATATTGACCCTTTCTTGCTCTAAGTTTTTGCAGACCACTCCTAAATTGTATAGGTTGCTGAGATGTGTAGCCTGACAAGCATCAAAAGATATAGAAACTGATCCTGTATGTGACTAAAGCTTTAGCCATGTGTGGACTCACCACCGTCCAGTGTGGTTGGAGCAGGACAGTCATCCTTTTCTGATGTGCCTTGGTCTTTCTGGAGGATCAGTCAAGTTGGATTATCTGGATCTTGCTGACTCCTCCACCAGTCTGGGACTGGGGCTGCAGGTTTCAGTCAGCTATGATGGATCCAGGACATGATACCTGCAATTTTACAGAAGAAGGGGTAGATATGATCACAACATGGGGCCATCCCACAAGGGCCTGAGGGTGGTAGGGTTCCGATGTTTAACCCATACAGAGTCCCCAGGTTGAAAGAGGTGTACTGCCTCTGTGAGGCTAATAGGTATTCTCTCTCTTACTCACCCTTGTATTTCTTGTATTACTTCACCTAATGCCTGCATTTGTCTCCTTAGGGTTAGCTCTTCTATTTATTTTAAATCTCCTTTTATCTGAGCTATGAGTTGGGGGTGGTCATCCATATACTATCTCATAGGGTGAATGCCCAGTCAATTTAGTAGGGGTACACCTGACTCAGAGAAGGACAATGGGCAATACCTGATCCCACCTTAAATGAGTTTCTTGGCAAAACTTCTTCTTCTTTTTTTTTTTTTTTTTTTTTCTGAGACGGAGTCTCGCTCTGTCGCCCAGGCTGGAGTGCAGTGGTGGGATCTCGGCTCACTGCAAGCTCCGCCTCCCGGGTTCACGCCATTCTCCTGCCTCAGCCTCCCAAGTAGCTAGGACTACAGGCGCCCGCCACTACGCCCGGCTATTTTTTGTAGTTTTAGTAGAGACGGGGTTTCACCGTTTTAGCCTGGATGGTCTCGATCTCCTGACCTCGTGATCCGCCCGCCTCGGCCTCCCAAAGTGCTGGGATTACAGGCGTGAGCCACCGCGCCCGGCCTGCAAAACTTCTTCAACAGTTGTTTTAGTGTTTGGTTCATCCTGTCAACTTTTCCAGAACTCTGTGGATGGTAGGCTGTATGTAGCTTCCATTTAATTTTAAATATTTGGGGTAGTCGCTGCACTACTTCTGCCACAAAAAAAAAGCTGGCCTGTTGTCCGATCTAAAGTTAGTGGTAGTCCAAATATAGGAATAATGTCCTTTATTAGTATTCTGGTTACTTCTTGACTATTCTTGTGAATAGTTTCTCATTATCATGACTTACAGTGATTTAATTATCAGTCTGATACCTTTTCTGTTGAAGTTGCCTTTTTGAAGCAAGAATTATTTTGAAGAGGTGGGTGGGGCAAAAGAGAGGTATTGATAACTCTTTAGAGGATGTTTATATGTTAAGTTTCTTGATTGTGATGATGGTTTCCTGGTTGTATATACTTATCAAAATTTATCAAATTATATGCTTTAAATGTGTGCAGTTTTTGTATGTCAATTATACTTCAATAAATCTGTTTTAAAAATGGGGCTTTGTTGGGCCATGTGTGGTGACTCACACCTGTAATGCCAGCACTTTGGGAGGCTGAGGTGGGGCCATCATGAGATTGGAAGATAGAGACCATCCTGGCCAACATGGTGAAAGCCCGTCTCTACTGAAAATACAAAATTTAGCTGGACATAGTGGCACAAGCCTGTAATCCCAGCTACTCAGGAGGCTGAGGCAGGATAATCACTTAAACTGGGGAGTCAAAGGTTGCAGTAAGCTGAGATCATGCCACTGCACCCTGGCAACAGAATGAGAATCTATCTAAAAAAAAATGGGGCTTTGTCATAACAGCAAACTAAAAATATGTGACAGTGGCATGTATAGCTATGTAACAAACCTGCACATTCTGCACATGTATCCCTGAACTTAAATAAAACAAAATAAATCTAAAAATGAGTTGGCTATAAGGCAAAAATATGAGTCCAGAGGTGCAAAGTCTTCATTCATCTTCTTAAATAGTGATATGGAGAAATAGAAATGTCAGGCTACAAATTCAATCACTGGTTATGGGTGTGAAAGAAAGAAGAGACATAGGAGGGACATAAATTATTAGAACCCAGGAATAATATACATGAAAAATCAAGTATTTGGATTTAGCCACAGCTGTACTTGACCAAGAGAATCTGTAGTAGGGATTTCCCAAGCATAAAAAATTATTTATATTACCAGCACAAAGAATGAATAATTCCTCATGTTAATAAGTTCCCAAGCTTCAATATCTAATGTCTCTGTCTCTGCAGCAGAATCAGTTCTCTCAATGACCAAACATTTCCTCTCAATAGAAAGTTGCAATGATCAGTCTTATTACACAGCAAACAAAGACATTGAAACTAACTCACAAAACATCTTGAGGCATTGATGGAAGAGTTGATCTACTGCAAAACCAAGTTGCCAACAATCACAGAGGAGAAGATACCAGCTCAGATCTGCACAGCTTAGCTTAACTCGCTCTCTCTCCCCTGAGCTCCTATGCTGTCCATCTTTGCTTGCCTCATGATACTAATATTTTCAGTGGTTTGCATACTCTGAAAATTAAAAGATCATTCATACATCTGCCACCGTCATAGGTTCTTTGCCTCAGGTGTATGGCAAGTGAATATGCAGAGACACTGGGGTACAGTAGAGAAAGAGGTTTAATCAGAGAACCCCCCAAAACAAGATGGGAGGAAACCTCAAATCCATCTCCCAGAGGAGTCTGGAGCTACAGTTTTCAAGGATTTCAAAGTGGGCCCAAGTGTGGACATCACTGATTGGTGGGAGAACGCAGGATGAACTCCCAAGACAGGAAGATGAAGAAGCTTTGTTCTCATGCCGATTGGATTCCTTTGTGGGGATCTTCAAACTGGTTGGCATCAGTTGTTTCACTGTAACTCTTTAGAATTATGCTGGATCTGTGGAAGCAATTCTTAAACAAAACTCTTATGATTCTATCTATAGGATATATGATTCTATCCATTAGATTACTATAGATAGATAATGGTATCTACAGGAAAATGTGGATGCAAATTATCAGAATCTAGTTCTATGTGATTTCCATTTACAAAGAAGTGTGTAAAAAGCAGCCTGACTCATGCTTAATTATAAATGTATTTCTGTCAAGAATTCTTGTGTACCCTGTGAGGACGGTTTCAGATGTACAGCTTTGCATTGTAGCAAATCCCATTTATCTGCCAATAATATGAAGCAGAACAACCTATTATCCCACCCACTATCTCAACAGGCAAAAAGAATTGCCTTGTCATAGGAGACTTCTGCCAAAGAAATCACATATATATGCATATATGTAAATGCTTAGGTATATGTATACATAAAATGTAAAATAAAAACCATATCAGGGTTTGCCTTATGGAGTAATAGTCTATTTTCCCTACTTTCTGAATGTGAGGAAGGATCACACCTTGTTATCATCCATATGTGTAGGACCTCACCTGCTTCCTACTCCATAACGGGAACTTTGCAAGGTCTCTTACATGCATCTTGTAGTTTAGATATTGAAGGAACTTGGAAAGAAAGGCATTTTCTCCAGGCTACAGAGAAGGACCCTGAGACAGAGCTTCCATCCCAAGTGACAAACTTATTTCGTATTTTGCTTTAATTTATCCTCCATCACAATTTCATTTTTTTCTCATCACCCCCCTAAGGAAATTTTTAATTCTTAAGTATTTATTTATTTTAGTTTTTTAAAGAGACTCACTCTGTTCGCCAGGCTGGAGTGCACTGATGCAATCTTGGCTCACTACAACATCCACCTCCTAGGATGAGGCAATTCTCCTGCTTCAGCCTCCCAAGTAGCGGGACTTACAGGTGCCTGTCACCGTAACTGGCTATTTTTTGCATTTTTAGAAGAGACAGGGTTTCACCATGTTGGCCAGGCTGGTCTTGGACTCTTGGCCTCAAGTGATTTGCCTGCCTCAGCATCCCAAAGTGTTGGGATTATAGGTATTTATTTGTAAGACAATATCTGGCTCTGTCATCCATGCTGGAGTTCAGTGGTACAACCTCAACTCACTTCAACCTTTACTTCCCAGGCTCAGGTGATCCTCCCACTTCAACTTCCCCAGTAGCTGGGATAAAAGATTGCCATGACTGGATATTTTCTGTATTTTTTGTAGAGATGGGGTCTCACTATGTTGCCCAGCATTGCCTCAAACACCTGGCCTCAAGTGGTCTGCCCACCTTGCCTACCAAAATGCTGGGATTCCAGACATAAGCCCCCATGCCCAGCCAAAAGCTCAACATTCTTTTTCTAATTGTCTATGCTCCAGTAAAATGTTAATACCATGAGCATGCTGCAGGTCAATTTATGTACTGTATGTATGTCTGTGCTGTATATATCAACAAATAAGATGTTTCTTTCACCCCTCAACATTTCCACTATTACCTCCACTTGACACCCTTTGCCAGTTGAAAATTCGTGATAAACTAGAGTGCACAGGGATCCAATCATACGATTCTGTTTGAATGCCAATGTTTTCCCTCTGGAAAATTTAAACTCTCCCAGTACAATCAAGGAGTAGAAGGAGTAATATTTGAGTAGGTAAAATATTTTTTCAGTCTTTTCAGGTGCACTGGCTCATGCCTATACTCCTAGCACTTTGGGAGGCTAAGGTGGGAGGATCACTTGAGCCCAGAATTTGAGACAAGCATGAGAAACATAGTGAGACTGTATCTCCACAAAAATTTTAAAAATTAGCTGCATGTGGTGGTGCACACCTGTAGTCCCAGGTACTTGGAAGATGAGGTGGGAGTATCACTTGAGCCCAGGAATTTGAGACTGCGGTAAGTCAGCAGTGATCATACCTCTGCACTCCATCCTTGGCAACAGAGCAAGACCTGTCTCTAAAAAAGTAATAATAGTAATAATTCTCCAATATTATGCCTAGCCTTATTATATCACAATAAAAATACTGCACAAAATGCGGAGTGAATATCTCTGATGAGGGATTAATTTTATTGCAGAATTGATCCTGAAACCTAACATTAGTATAGTCAAGCCAACCCTGAAGATAACAGAAAGACAAAAGCAGGAAAAAAAAGTTGTAGAAAAGTAAACGTAGAACTACAAAATCTCAAACATAATTCTTGCAGCAAGCAATATATGACATTCTAAACTATATACACACACATAAAGAAGAAAAAGCCACAAGTAAATATTAAGAAATGGTAAGAAGAGAAATAGTAAAAAATGTGATATATGCAGTGACATGCTTGTGAGTTAAATGAATTTAAAAATTAAAAAATAGATATTCAGGATTATATAGTTAGTTAAAATTGATCCAGAATGGTGTACAATCTGTAACCCTTTTTCTTGAAATAACATACAAAATGCTAGAGAAATAAAAACAAGCAAAAATTACGAACTTCACCAACTCAGGAAGCAGCTGGCTCAGATGATTCTGCAAGGAAAATCTACTAACTCTTTAAATAAAAGTTTATTCCAGTGCTTTTTTAAAGGTAGCAGAACCCTCAAAATGGCATATGGGAATTTTGTGAAGTAGAAATGGAATAAACATCTGAGCAGGTCACATATATACAAGCATTTCACACACTCTCACCTGGAAAAGTAGACTTGCTCCATCAGTTTTTTAGAGTGTGGTCTTAAAACCCCCAACAAGGATGTAAAAGGTTTAAATTCCTCTCTCCTTGCCTGCCTTCCCCCAACCCCTGGTTCCATGCTTCTTCCTCTGTCCTTCCTTCTCTTTCCCTCCCTCCCTCTCTCCCTTTGTTTCTCTCCCTTTGTTTCTCTCCCTCCCTCTCTCTGGACTCCCTTCTTCTCCCTCCCTCTCCATGTGTCTCCATCTCTCCCTCTCTTCTTTTCTCTCCCTCTTCCTTTCTTTCTCTCTCTCTCCCTATCTCTCTGTCTCTCTTTCCCTCCTTTTCTTCCTCCTTCACCTCTGTCTCTCCCTCTCTCTCCTTTTGTTTCTTTCTCCCCTCCCTCTCTGTCTTTTTTCTCCCTTTCTCTTCCTCCCTCTCTCTCCCTTTCCATCTTTCTTTCTTACTCTATTTGTACCCTTCTTCCTCTTCTCTCTCACCCTTGTATCCGTTTTCCTTCCTTCCTTCTGGTCCTTCTCTCTCTCTTTGTCTCATTTTCTCTCTCTCTCTGTCTCTCTCCTTCTCTCCTTGCTTCCCTCTCTGTCTCTCCAACTCTCTCCCTCTGTTTTTCCCTCTCCCTCTGACTTCCTCCCTGTCTCTCCCCCTCTTCCTTCCTCTCCCTTCTTCTGTGTCTCTCACTCTCTCTCTCCCTCTGTGTCACTCTTTCCCTTTAATTTCTCTCTCTTCCTCTCCTCACCTTCTATCAGTTTTGCTTCTTATGCTTCATATATTTTTGGAGCTCAGTTATTAACTCCATATACATACAAACCCATATCCCTTCCTACCTATACATCTCACTAATTTTTTTTCCAGTAAGAAATGGACTTCATCTTTATTAACAGTCATCCTCTTCATATCTACTCCAATGAGAGTAGCAGAACCACTCTGGCTTTCTTCTCTTCAGTGTCAGCATGGGAGAATTCTTCTACTTTAAGAAACTTCAGCTTGTATCTGTATAGTAAATACATCTTTAAAAGAAACAACATAAGGTGGGGCCATTCTTTTTAAAACCAACCTAGCAATCAGTCCTTTAATTTGAGCATTGATTCTGTCTTTGTGCAGTGCAATGTTTGCTATGATTGCCCTTAAATATTCCATCATTAATTTATTTTCAATTTGTCCCATTTGTTTCTTTATTCTCTTGTTCTCTCATATTCTTCTTTGTTGAGTAGACTTTACTATTTTATTTTAATTGTTTCAAAATATGTTTAGCTTTTTAAATTTTTTTCAGCAATAAATTCAGCAGTCATAATACCTATATTAGATTGTGAGTTAACCTTCAATGCATTATGCAATTATATTGCATAAAGAAAACCATCTCATACATTAAATTGCTCTGGGTGAGTGGTTCTGGGTGAGTCAGTGGCTGAGCGGTTAGTTAATGTGAAGGTCTAGGATGTTACTGCAGAGGACTGTAGACTGAAAACACTGTGAACATAGGCCACACTAAGTTTATTAAAAATACATTTCTTCTTTCAATAATAAATGAAACACCTAACTGTAACCATTTTACTTTATACATTTTTTTATTTTTTTAACTTTTTGACCCCTTTACATAACATGTCTTAAAATGAAAACGCCAAGCATATTTTTGTTTTTATATTTTTATTCTACAAGCTTCTCTCTCTTTTTTTTTTCTTGGTTTGTTTTAGAGACAGGATCTCCCTATATTGCCTACACTCTAGTACAGTGGTGCAATCATGGCTTATTGCCGCCTTGAACTCCTGGGCACAAGCAATCCTCTACCATCAGCCTCCTGAGTAGCTGGGACTATAGGCACATACCACCATGCCTATGTTGTCTGCCTGCCTAATTTTTAAATTTTATTTTACAGACACGGTCTCATTCCATTGCCAAGGATGGTCTTGAACTCCTGGCTTCAAGTGATCCTCCCACCTCAGTCTCTCAGAGTGCTAAGATTATAGACATAAGCCACAGTGCCTGACCTACAAGTTTTTTCTGTTTTTAAATTATTTTTTTCCTTTAGTTACTCTGTAACCTTTTTTTAAAAAACTAAGACTCCAACACACATTAGCTTAGGCCCGCACAGGTCAGTATCATCAAGTCTTCAATAGAAAATAGGGATTTTTCAGCTACACAAAAGAGATAGTGTTTATTTCTGTGGACCTATGGGACAATGGTTGTTTATGTGGTTGGTCATTAGCTTAAATGTTATATGTGGTGCATAATTGTATTTATAATATTTATTTTCAATAATTTATAATACTTATATGACTTTTTGTCCTGGAAGTCCAAAATGTAGGTCATCTCTAGATCTGTTGTTCTTTCAGGATAGTTAAGGTGTTTGATTATTACATGATTTCTTCATCTCTTTTTCGAAGTGGCTTCATCATTTTACATTCCCATTGGCAATATGTGAGTAATTCAGTTTCTTCACATGCCTGCTAACATTTGGTATTGTCACTTTCTTTTATTTTAGTCATTCTGAATAGGTGTGTGTATGTCATGCACATCTGTGTGAAGCGAGTCCACCAACAGGCTTTGTGTGAGCAACAAGGTTGTTTATTTCACTTGGGAGCATGTGGACTGAGTTAGAGAAAGGAGTCAGCAAAGGGGGATGGGGTGGGCAGTTTCATAGGATTTAGGTAGGTAGTGGAAAATTACAGTCAAAGGGGGGTTGCTTTTTTGAAGGCAGGGGCAGGGGGTCACAAGGTGCTCAGCAGGAAGCATCTGAGACCCATTGTCCAGGAGAAGGAATTTCATAAGGTAATGTCATCAGTTAAGGCAGGAACTGACCATTTTCTCTTCTTTTGTGGTTCTTCAGTTGCCCTCAGGCCATCTGGATGTATACATGCAGGCTTGGGCTCAGAGGCCTGACATTCCTGTCTTCTTATATTAATAAGAAAAATAAAACAAAATGATGGTGAAGTATTGGGGTAATGAAAATTTTTGGGGGTGGTACAGAGAGATAATGGGTGATGTTTCTCAGGGCTATTTCAAGCGGGATTGGGGCAGAGTGGGAAATTAGAGTGGGAGAGATTAAACTGAAGAAAGATTTTGGGGTAAGGGGTGATATTATGGAGGTGTTAGAAGGAGCATTTGTCATGTAGAATGATTGATGATGGCCTGGATGCAGTTTTGTATGAATAGAGAAACTAAATGGAAGACACAAGGTCTGAAAAAGAGAAGGAGAAAAACAGGTATTAAAGGACTACGAATTGGGAGGACCCAGGACATCCAATTACAGAGTGCCCAAGGGGGTTCAGCATAATTATTTGCTTGGTGTTTGGAGTAAGGAAAACTAGTGTGCACATATCTGTCCAATTAGCAGGTAGACACATGTAGATAGAGGATTCACAGAAGAAGAAGAGAACTTGTGCAAGGAAAAACTGGAAATGCAAAGTGAAAAGATAAGAAGGAGTACTAAAAGAGGTGTCTTGCACCCAGACTCTTTAGGGATCTAGTGAGGGCAGAATCCATTAGAGGTTGTAATGGGGATTGATGGGGCAACTGCATACAGGAAGAGGTGTGATTTTTATGGTGTATGAGAAAGCTTTGAGTGTCTATGCGCAACCTTTCACTGTTATTTACAGAGCTGGATATAAGCAAAGAAGAAGAGGGCCTGGGAGAAGAGTGAAAAGCAAGGGGAAGGTAGCGAACGATGGTGTTAAATACAGGGTAAATGTCTTTTTAAGCAATAATAACTGCTAGTGCTTTTAAGTTTGTCTGTATTGATAGAGGGCTTATTTGTAATATGGAGCTGGAAAGCCCTATTTTTTTCAGGAATGGGTGTAATTAGGCTTTACATATGAAGAGTGAAGGAGCATAGAGAAGGTGCTACCCAGGGGAATTCCAGTGGGTCTTTGCCAAGAGATGCATAAGGGAACAGCCACAGGAATAGTAGTGTGTGTTGTGAGGGGTCCAATTATAGGGGAATTAGAGTTAATATAAGGAGAAAGGTTTTTTAAGTAAGTGCGGAGAAGGGTGTCAGCTTGCTGATGTGAAATGTCTGGGGAGGTCTTGCTGGATCTGTCTAGAAAGTAAAGAAGTTCTTCTGGAGGGTAAAGGTGAATGTTGTTAAAAAAAAAAAAGTTCAGAGATATAGGGAGAAAGGAGATGTTACCCAGTCTGTATGTAAGGCAGGGACAGCTGTGTAAGTGCAGGAAGAAAGGGAAATGCAAAGCCAACAATTGTTTGCTAAGGAGGGATTAGAAACAGCTAAGTGAATGAGATTGATAGTGTAGTGGAGATAGCTGTGGAGAGGTAGAGGGTGGCATAAGAATTGCAATGAGAATAAGAATGAGTATAAAAGTAAAGAATAGGACTTCATCAAGGTGATTCATTGTCCAAGTGAAAGTGAAGAGAGCCTTGGATGAAGGGTGCAAAGTAATAGTAAAGGAAGCATGTTTGAGATGTAGAGGAGAATAATGGCTTTTGGAGGGAAGTATTGAAGATAGAAGAATGCATAAGTTTGGTACCACGGGGTAGATAGGCAAGACAATTTAGTTGATAAGGCAAAGATCCTTGACCAGACTGTAAGACTTGTCTGGTTTTTGGATGGGTAGGATAGGAGAGTTTTAAGGAAAGTTTGTAGGCTTTAAAAGGACATGTTGTAACAGGTGGATGATAACAGGCTTTAACCCTTTTAAAGCCTGATGTGGACTGGGATAAGGGCAATTAGTTTTTAATGGATGATAAAAAGTACATGATCAGTTACTAAGCAGGGAGTAGAGGTGTCCCATACTTATGGATTAAGGTAGGGAGACACAAGGGGAGGATGTAAAGAGGCTTTGAACTGGGGAAAAGGGTGGCAATGAAGTGTGGCTGTAGCCCAGGAATAGTCAGGGAAGCAGATAATTTAGTTTAAATGTCTCTACTTAATAAGGGAGCTGGGAAGGTGGGGATAACTAAAAAGGAGTACATAAAAGAATGTTGTCCATGTTGGCACCAGAGTTGGAGTTTTAAGAGGCTTAGAAGCCTGACCATCAATAACCAAAACAGTTATGGAGGCAAGGGAAACAGGCCCTTGAAACGAAGGTAATGTGGAGTGGGTAGCCTCCATATTGATGAAGAAGGGGATGGACTTACCTTCCACTGTAAGAGTTACCTAAAGTGTCTGTAATTGTCCAGGCTTCCGAGGTGATTGGGCGTGTCAGTCTTCAACCGCAAAGCTGAGAAGATCTGGGAAGGAGTTAGTCAGAGATCCTGACGCCAGAGTTCCAAGGGCTCTGGGAGTGGTTGCTGGGTGATTCAGACAGTTCAATTGCCAGTGGGGTCCCACACAGATGGGACACAGGTTAGGAGGAATACCAAGCTTCAGGCATATCTTGGTGCAGTGGCCAGATTTTCAGCACTTGAAGCAAGATCCTGGGGGAGGAGACCCTGGAGGAATGGCTGACTGCTGCTGTTTAGGCATTCTGAAGTTCTTTTGTGCCAGAGATTTGGATGGGGTTTCTCCCAAAGCAGAGGCAAGTAATTGCGACAAAGAAATATGTTGCCACTTGGCTGCCTCTTCTTTATTATTGTACACTTTTTAAAAGCAAGGTTAATTAATTCTTGTTGTGGGGTTTTAGGGCCAGATTCCAATTTTTGAAGGTTTTAGCTGATTGAGTAATAAAACGCTTATTGAGAGTAAGATGGCCTTCTGGCCCTTCTGGGTCCAAGGCTGTAAAGCTTCTCAGGGTTGCTGCCAAATGAGCCATGGGCTGGGCTGTGTTTTAATTTTTTCCTTGAGTAGTTTCTTTAAGTTTGTCATAATTAACAGGTTTGTATGCTGCCTTTTTAAGCCCTTCAACTAGGCAGGAAAT
The DNA here is from genome assembly GCF_000001405.40 of Homo sapiens. Classification (NCBI taxonomy): domain Eukaryota; kingdom Metazoa; phylum Chordata; class Mammalia; order Primates; family Hominidae; genus Homo; species Homo sapiens. Next base: position 15,102,149 of record NC_000024.10, read on the forward strand.
CATGTGATCTCACCTAGCTATACCTGAGGAATCTGCCTGATAGTTCCATTGGGGATCCTCTCGGGGAACTACTCTAATGCCTTCCTGGAGGTCTGGCTTATGAAGCCGGTGGTTGTCAGCATGAGATTGGGCTAGAGAAAAAATAATCTTTCCCATTCATCTGTGGAGAGGGTTTAAGTTAGGATGACATTTAAGTCACTCAATGTTAAATTGTAGGACATAGTTAGATATTGGAATTCCTGTATATATTTAGGGGGGTCTGATGAGAAAGAGCCTAAATGCTGACTTATTTGGGAGAGGTCAGCTAAAGAAAAAGGAGCATTAACCTTGACTATGCCTTCAGCTCCAGCCACCTCTGTAAGAGGAAATTTTTGAGCAGGTGGGCTAGAGCTAGTTGCAGAACAAAACTGTAAGCCAGAACAGGTGTGGGGAAGGGAGGTGACAGAAGTGTTGTAGGGTGGGGGAGCAGAGGCTGAAGAAGAGTTGGAGCCTGATTCAGCCTGGCAGGGAGTGACCTGAGGAGAAGCAGTCTGGGGAGGAGGAGAGAGGTCAGATGGGACTGTGAAAAAGGAAGATTCAAAAGACTCAGTGACACTTGGGTTTGGGACTGAAGGGACAGGCAGTTTGGAAAGAAGGAGGATTTGGGAAGAGTTGCATTGGGAACAGACACTAGGGTGGGAACAAAGTGTGAAAAATGTCTGGATGTCAGTCACCTCAGACCATTTGCCCATTTTTTGACAAAAATTATCTAGGTCTTGTAGGATGGAGAAATCAAAAGTGCCATTTTCTGGCTATTTGGAACCATTGTTGATTTTGTTTTGGGGGCCAGCAATATTGCACAAGAAAAGAAGGCATTTATGTTTCAGGTCAGGTGTGAGTTAAAGAGGTTTTAAGTTCTTGAGAACACAGGCTAAGGGAGAAGAAGGGGAAGTGGAGGGTGGAAATTTGCCTATAGTGAAGGAGGCAAACCCAGATAAAAGAGAGGGTAGAGAAACAGAGGTGGGGGAGGTGGTACTTGCCATCCAGGGGAGATGGTGCTTGCCACCCAGGGGAGGTGGTAATTGCCACCAAGGTGAAAGATCAAGGCAAGCATTCCCATGTTGATCAGACACCTCTGAAATGTGGGTGAAGGGTCAGGCAGGTGTCCCCACAATGATTTAGACACCAAGGGAAGACTATCTTCCTGAGTCCATGATCAGCGCTGGAGTTTTGAGTTCACAGGTAAAACATGTCTCCTTTGTCTCTACTAGAGAGGAAAAATAACAAGAATTGGAAGGACAGGGAGATTGATGGGTATCAAGGGAGGCTGAAGGAGAGTGAAAAGACTGCTTACCTGATTTGAAGTTAGTGAGATGTTCCTTGGGCTGGTTGGTCTGAGGACCCGAGGTCATAGGTGGATCTCCTCATGGAGTGAGGGAGAGGACAGGAGACCAGTCTCCTAAAGGAGTCCCTTGTCCCAGGTCTTCAGCACCAAATGTCACACGCATCCATGTGAAGTGAGTCCATTAACAGGCTTTATGTGAGCAACAAGGCTGTTTATTTCACTTGGGTGCAAGTGGACTGAGTCTGAGAAAGGAGTCAGCAAAGGCAAATGGGGTGGGGCAGCTTTATGAGATTTAGGTAGGTAGTGGAAAATTACAGTCAAAAGGAATGGTTCTTTTGTGAGTAGGGGTGGGATCACAGGGTCCTTAGCAGGGAGCTTCCGAGACTCATTGTCCAGGAGAAGGAATTTCACAAGGCAATGACAGGAGTTAAGGCAAAAACTGGCCATTTTCACTTCTTTTGTGGTTCTTCAGTTGCCTCAGGCCATCTGGATGTATACATGCAGGCTTAGGCTCAGATGCCTGACAGTATAGGTATTGGATTATGGGGTTCTTTCTTTTCTTTTTCTTTTCTTTTCTTTTCTTTCTTTTTTTTGGGGGGGTGGGGGATACGTTCTAGCTGTGTTGCCCTGTCTGGAGTGCAGTAGCTTGATTACGGCTTACTGAAGGCTCCACCTTCCATCAAGTGGTAGTTGTGCCAGTTGTGTGCTACAATGCCTGGCTATTTTTTTCTTTTTACTATTTTATAAAGATGAGGTCTTGCTATGTTTCCCAGGCTGGTCTCAAACACCTGGCCTCAAGCAATCCTACCTAAGCCTCCCAAAGTGCTTGGATTATAAGCATGAACAACCATGCCTGGCAGGCAGTGTTTCTAAATAGTATTTTCCTAATGTTAAAAGTTATTGAGCACCTTTTCACATACTTATTTGCCATTTGTATATTCTCTTCAGTGAAATATCATTTTATCTCATTTACCAGTTTTCTGAATGGATTTAGAGTGTGTTTCTTTACTGCTAAGTTTGGAGTATTCTTTTTTCTTAATTACCAGTTGGTTTTCATACATGTCTGCCAATCTATAATTGGCCTTTTCGTCTTGTGAATAAGAGTGTTTGTCGACCAAAATGTTTTTAACTTTGACTAAGTGAAATTCACCAATATTTTTTCTTTTATTTGTCATGCTTCCTGTGTCATCTCTAAGAACTCCTTGCCTGAGCTTAGGCACAGTAAAAGTTCTCTTCTTGCTATTGTAATTTTTGCTAAAGGTTTTTACAGTTTTATGCTTTATACTTAAGTCCATGATCCTATTAGATTGTATTTTTAATGCTAATAGATTCAGAGGCTACATGGAGACAATTGTTATAGGGATATATTGTATACTGGTAGAATTTGTGCTTCTGGTGTATTTATCAGCCAAACAGTGAACATTGTTCTGAATATGTCATTTTTCATCTGTCAATCTTTTCCCTCACCTTCTTCTGGAATCCCTAGTGTCTATTAATTTTTTACCTTTATGCTCATGTGTACCTATGGTCTAGCTCCATTTGCAACTGAGAATATGAGTTTCTCATTCTGAATTATTTTACTTAAAATAATGGCCTCCCATTCCACCCATGTTACTATTAATACAAAAACATAATTTCATGGCTACATGTCATTCTATATATATAATAAATATGTCATATATTATAAAATATTGTCTTTATTGAATAATTCATTGATGGACACAAGTTGATTCCGTGACATTGCTATTAATAATAGTGCTGTTATAAACATACAAATGCAAGTGTCTTTTTGATGTAACCATTTATTTTCCTTTGAGTAGATTCTCAGTAATGGGATTGCTGTGTCAAATACTAGTTATACTTAGTCCCTTGTAAAACCTCTCTATTGATTTCCATAGAGGTTATACTAATTTACATTCACACCAGCTGTCTATCTTCTTCTTCTTTTTCTTCTTCCTCTTCTTCTTCTTCTCCTCCCTCCTCTTCTTTCTTCTTCTTTTCCTTCTTCTTCTGTTGTATTTTTTTTGACCGAGTTTCACTTTTGTCACCCAGGAGTGCATTGGAATGCAATGGCATGATCTCAGCTCACAGCAACCTCCACCTCCCAGGCTCAGGTGATTCTCCTGCCTCAGCCTCCCTGGTAGCTGGGAATATAGGCACACATCACCCTGCCCAGCTAATTTTTGTCTCTTTAGTAGAAATGAGGTTTCACCATTTTAGCCAGGCTGGTCTTGAACTCCTGACCTCAGGTGATCTGCCTGCCTCGGCCTCCCAAGGTGTTAAGATTACAGACGTGAACCACTGCACCAAGCCGGTGTTCTTTTTTTCATCACACCCTTGCCATATATTAATTTTTCAAATAAATTGTAGGTCATAAGTTGAGGTTATATCTGATTCTTTGTTTCCTATGGATATCCAATTCCTCCAGCATTATGGTCTGGCAAATTTGAGGAGGTTTCAGCTTTTCTTTCTCTGAGCACTTTTTTAGCCTGCCCTCTCTTGTCTTGTCTTATACTCGGACTCTCATGACACAAACTATAGATATTTTGTTATAAGACCACAGGTCCCTATGCATCTACTCATATTTCTTCCAACATACTTGACCCCTTATCTCTGTATCTCAACCTTGAAGCTATCCATTTTGTTTGTTTTGTCATTGTTTCTAAATTTTTTCATTGTAAGATTATTATTATTATTTATTGTTATACTTAAAGTTTTAGGGTACAGGTGCACAACGTGCAGGTTAGTTACATATGTATACATGTTACATGTTGGTGTGCTGCACCCGTTAACTCGTCATTTAACATTAGTTAAATCTCCTAATGCTATCCCTCCACCTCGCCCTACCCCACAACAGGCCCCAGTGTGTGATGTTCCCCTTCCTGTGTCTGAGTGTTTTCATTGTTCAATTCCTACCTGTGAGTGAGAACATGTAGTGTTTTTTTTTCTTTTTTTTTTTTTTTTGTATTTGTGATAGTTTGCTGAGAATGATGGTTTCCAGCTTCATCCATGTCCCTTTGAAGGACATGAAATCATCCTTTTTTATGGCTTTATAGTATTCCATGGTGTGTATGTGCCACATTTTCTTAATCCAGTGTATCATTGTTGGACATCTGGCTTGGTTCCCAGTCTTTGCTACTGTGAATAGTGCCGCAATAAACATACTGTGCATGTGTCTTCATAGCAGCATGATTTATAATCCTTTGACTATATACCCAGTAATGGGATTGCTGGGTCAAATGGTATTTCTAGTTCTAGATCTCTTAGGAATTGCCACACTGGCTTCCACAATGATTGTACTAGTCTGCAGTCCCACCAACAGTGTAAAAGTGTTCCTCTTTCTCCACATCCTCTCCAGCACCTATTGTTTCCTGACTTTTTGATGATTGCCATTCTAACTGGTGTGAGATGGTATCTAGCATGTGTCTTTTGGCTGCATAAATGTCTTCTTTTGAGAAGGGTCTGTTCATATCCTTTGCCTACTTTTTGATGGGGTTGTTTGTTTTTTCTTGTAAATTTGTTTGAGTTCGTTGTAGATTCTGGATATTAGCCCTTTGTCATATGAGTATATTGCAAAAATTTTCTCCCATTTTGTAGGGTGCCTGTTTACTCTGATAGTAGTTTCTTTTGCTGTGCAGAAGCTCTTTAGTTTAATTAGATCCCATTTGTCAATTTTGGCTTTTTTGCCATTGCTTTTGGTGTTTTAGACATGAAGTCCTTGCCCATGCCTTTGTCCTGCATGGTATTACCTAGGTTTTCTTCTAGGGTTTTTAAGGTTTCAGGTCTAACATTTAGGTGTTTAATCCATCTTGAATTATTTTTTGTATAAATTGTAAGGAACAGCTGCAGTTTCAACTTTCTACATACGGCTAGCCAGTTTTCCCAGCATCATTTATTAAATAGGGAATCATTTCCCCATTTCTTGTTTTTGTCAGGTTTGTCAAAGATCAGATGGTTGTAGATATGTGGCATTATTTCTGAGGGCTCTCTTCTGTTCCACTGGTCTATATCTCTGTTTTGGTACCAGTACCATGCTGTTTTGGTTACTGTACTTTTGTAGTACAGTTTGAAGTCAGGTAGCATGATGCCTCCAGCATTGTTCTTTTAGTTTAGGATTGACTTGGCAATGTGGGCTCTTTTTTGGTTCCATATGAACTTTAAAGTAGCTTTTTCCAGTTCAGTTAAGAAAGTCTTTGATAACTTGATGAGGATGACATTGAATCTGTAAATTACCTTGTGCAATATGGCCATTTTCATGATATTGATTCTTCCTACCCATAAGCATGGAATGTTCTCACATTTGTTTTTATCTTCTTTTATTTCATTGAGCAATGGTTTGTAGTTCTCCTTGAAGAGGTACTTCATGTCCCTTGTAAGTTGGATTCCTAGGTATTTTATTCTCTTTGAAGCAAATGTGAATGAGAATTCACTCATGATTTGGCTCTCTGTTTGTCTGTTATTGGTGTATAAGAATGCTTGTGATTTTTGTACATTTATTTTGTACCCTGAGACTTTGCTGAAATTGCCTATCAGCTTAAGGTGATTTTGGGCTGAGACGATGGGGTTTCTAGATGTACAATCATGTCATATGCAAACAAGGACAGTTTGACTTCCTCTTTTCCTAATTGAATATTTTTATTTCCTTCTCCTGCCTGATTGCCCTGGCCAGAACTTCCAACACTATGTTGAATAGGAGTGGTGAGAGAGGGCATCCTTGTCTTGTGCCAGTTTTCACATGGAATGCTTCCAGTTTTTGCCTATTCAGTATGCTATTGGCTGTGGGTTTGTCATAGATAGCTCTCAGTATTTTGAGATACGTCCCATCAATACCTAATTTATTGAGAGTTTTTAGCATGAAGGGCTGTTGAATTTTGTTAAAGGCCTTTTCTGCATCTATTGAGATAATCATATGGTTTTTGTTGTTAGTTATGTTTATATGTTGGATTACATTTATTGATTTGCTTATGTTGAACCAGGCTTCCATCCCAGGGATGAAGCCCACTTGATCATGGTGGATCAGCTTTTTGATGTGCTGCTGGATTCGTTTTGCCAGTATTTTATTGAGGATTTTTGCATCAATGTTCATCAGGGATATTGGTCTAAAATTCCTTTTTTTGTGGTGCCTCTGCCAGGCTTTGGTATCAGGATGATGCTGGCCTCATAAAATGAGTTAGGGAGGATTCCCTCTTTTTCTATTGATTGGAATAGTTTCAGAAGGAATGGTAGCAGCTCCTCCTTGTACCTCTGGTAGAATTCGGCTGTGAGTTCATCTGGTCCTGGACTTTTTTTGTTTGGTAAGCTATTAATTATTGCCTGAATTTCAGAGCCTTTTATTGGCCTATTCAGAGATTCAACTTCTTCCTGGTTTAGCCTTGGGAGTGTGTACGTGTTGAGGAATTTATCCATTTCTTCTAGATTTTCTAGTTTATTTGCATAGAGTTGTTTATAGTATTATCTGATGATAATTTGTATTTCTGTGTAATCTGTGGTGATATCCCCTTTATCACTTTTATTACATCTATTTGATTCTTCTCTCTTTGCTTCTTTATTAGTCTTTCTAGCTTAAAAAGCTTATTTTGGCTGGATATGAAATACTGGGTTGAAAATTCTTTTCTTTAATGTTGAATATTGGCCCCACTCTCCTCTGGCTTATAGGGTTTGTGCCCAGAGATCCACCATTAGTCTGATGGGCTTCCCTTTGTGGGTAATCCAACCTCTCTCTGGCTGCAATCAATATTTTTTCCTTCATTTCAGATTCCTTCATGGGGAATCTGACGATTATGTGTCTTGCAGTTGCTCTTTTCAAGGAATATATTTGTGGTGGTCTCTGTATTTCCTGAAATTGAATGTTGGCCTGCCTTGCTAGGCTGGGTAAATTCTCCTGGATAATATCCTGAAGGGTGTTTTCTAACTTTGTTCCATTCTCCCCATCACTTTCAGGTACACCAATCAAAGGTAGGTTTGGTCTTTTCACATAGTCCGATATTTCCTGCAGGCTTTGTTCATTTCTTTTCACTCTTTTTTTCCGTAATCTTGTCTTCTTGCTTTATTTCATTAATTTGATGTTCCATCACTGATATCCTTTCTTTTGCTTGATGAAATCAGCTATTGAAGCTTGCATATGCTGCACGAATTTCTTGTGCTGTCATTTTAACTCCATCAGGTCATCTGTGTTCTTTTCTACACTGGTTATTCTAGTTAGCCATTCATCTAACCTTGTTTCAAGGTTTAGTTTCCTTACAACGGGTTAGAACATGCTCCTTTAGCTCAGAGAAGTTTGTTATTACCCACATTTTGAAGCCTACTTCTGTCAACTCGTCAAACTCAACCTCTGTCCAGTTTTGTTCCTTTGCTGGCAAGGAGTTGCGAATCTTTGGAGGGGAAGAGGATTCGGTTTTTTGGAATTTTTCGCCTTTCTTTTGTGATTTCTCCCCATCTTTGTGGTTTTATCTACCATATTTTCTTTGATGTTGTTGAACTACATGGGTTTTCGTTGTGGATGTCCTTTCTGTTGATGTTGATGCTATTCCTACCTTTTTGTTAGTTTTCCTTCAAACAGGCCCCTCTGCTGGAGGTTCATTGGAGTTTGCTGGAGTTCCACATCAGACCCTGTTTACCTGGGTATAACCAGCAGAGGCTTCAGAACAGCAAATATTCCTTTTTTATCCTTCCTCTGGAAGCTTCATCCTACAAGAGAACCTGCCAGCTGCCAGCCAGATCTCTCCTATATGAGGTCTAATCAGAGATTTGACTTCTGAGTATGAGGTGTCTGTCTGCTCCCTCTGGGAGGTGTCTCCCAGTCAGGCTATGCACGGTTCAGGGACCCACTTGAGGAGGTAATCTCTCTGATATCAGAGCTGAACTGCCATGCTGGGAGAATTATTGGTCTCTTCAGTGCTGTCAGGCTGGAACATTTAAGTCTGCAGTAACTTGGCCCACAGCCATCACTTCCCCAAGGTGCTCTGTCCCAGGGAAATGAGGATTTTATCTGTAAGTCCCTGACTGGGGCTGCAGCCTTTTGTTCAGATATGCCTTGCCTACAGAGGTAGAATCTAGAGAGGCAATCAGCCTTGCTGATCTGCAGTGGGCTCCGCCCAGTTTGAGCTTCCTAGCAGTGTTGTTTACCGTGTGAGGATAAAACTGCCTACTCAAGCCTCAGCAAAGGCTAACGCCCCTCCCCACATCAAGCTCCAGCTTCCCAGGTAGATCTCAGACTGCCGTGCTAGCAGTGAGGATTCCAAACCAATGGACCTTAGCTTGCTGGGCTCCGTGGGCATGGGACCCACAGAGCCAGGCACCAGAGGGAATCTCCTGGTCTGCCAGTTGCAAAGACCATGGGAAAAGTGCAGTATTTTTGCTGGAGTCTACCATTCTTCACGGTACAGACTCTTGTGGCTTCCCTTGGCTAGGAAAGGGAAATACCCCAACCCCGCACGTTTCCCAGGTGAGGCGATCCCTCGCCCTGATTTGGCTTGCCCTCCATGGGCTGCACCCATTGGCCAATGAGGTACCTCAGTTGGAAATGCAGAAATCACCGTCTTCTGCCTCCTCACGGGGAGCTGCAGACCGGAGCTATTCCTATTTGGCCATCTTGGAACCTATACTGAAATTTTACCCCTTACTGAGAATAATTACCAAATAAATAGAATAATGCCTATCATATGATCATTGAAAAAGCATTCGTTGTCACCTGTGAATGTTGAGAAATATTTTTTATGTGAAGAGATAGCACTTTTTGTAGGTTTTTTGTTACTTTATAGAAATAGAGGCCAATTATTCATTTTTCTACATCATGCATTTAAAATGTTACTTTTTAATTAAAAACATAATCTTGAGCTCTTTTATGACAAATGATATCAATCTATTTCATTCTTTTAAATTTCTGTTGTATTTCTCTGTACTTTACACCTTACTTTAAGCGAGCCCTCTTCTATTGATGGAAATAAAGTATTTCAATAGTTACTTCAAATGTTCTGTTTTTCATTTGTCAGTTTTTTTTTAAATAAAAACAATGCATCTATTTATTTATTTGTTTATTTAAGAGACAGTGCCTCACTTTGTCTCCCACGGTGGAGTGAAGTAGTGCAATCACAGCTCACTGCATCTTTGAACTCCTGGGATTAAGTGATCTTCCATCTCAGCCTCTCAAGTAGCTGTGATTATAGACAGGCATGATTAAGTCTGACAAATTTTTGATTTAGTTTTTTATACAAAGAGCTATGTTGCACAAGCTGGTCCCAAACTCCTGATCTCAAGCAATCTTCCCATTTTGGTCTCCCAAACCACTGGAATTACAGAGAGGTTCCACTATGCCCAGCTCCTTTTTTTTTTTGAAATTGTATTTTAATACCTGTCTACAAATCATTTTCTGTACATGTAGTCATTTGTGCACTCAATCTTAGCATTATAACTTTGAGGTCAGAGGATATAAAAAACTAAATTTCTAAGTGTAGTGTCCAGCCCTACAGGGCTTGTGGGTTTTAAAAATAAAGACATAAGACAAAGAGAGAGAAAAAGACAGCTGGGCCCGGGGGACCACTATCACTAATGCACGGAGTCAGGTAGTGGCCCCGAATGCCTGGACTTGCTGATATGTATTGTATACAAGGCAAGGGGATAGGATAAGGAGGTGAGTCATCTCAAATCATTGATAAGTTCAAGCAAGTCACGTATCCACAATGCAAGGGGTCTCTCCATTTGTGGTAGTCGAAGCAGAGAGGGAGGACAGCATACATCAGCATTTCTTCTGTGAACTTATCCGAAAGATCAAAGACTTTAATACTTTCACTAATTTTGGTACTGCTATCTTCTAAGAACTTAAGAGAGGCAGCAGGTGTACAGGCAGAACATGAAAGTGGACAAGGGGTGTGACCACTGAAACACTGTACCACAGGGAGACGTTTAAGCCTCCAGATGACTGTGGGCAGGCCTGGCTAATGGCAGGCCTCCCACAAAAGCTGGTGGAGCAGAGTGTTCTCTAACTCCTCCAGGGAAAGGGAGACTCCCTTTCTCAGTCTGCTAAGTAACAGGTGCCTTCCCGGGCACTGGCACTACTGCTAGACCAAGGTCTGCTAAGTAATGGGTGCCTTACCAGGCACTGGTGCTACCGCTAGACCAAGGAGCCCTCAAGCATCCCTTATCTGAGTGTGACAGATGGCTCACACTCTTGTCTTCTGGTCACTTCTTACAATGTCCCTTCAGCTCTTAACTCTGTATGGCTTGGTGTTTCCTAGGTTATGAATATAAAACAGAGATTATTATAATAATAAAACAAAGACCAACAATACCAACTAATGATTCATAATATTCATATGTAATCAGATCTATATCCTATTTCTAGTATGTCTTTTCTTATTCTAATTATTTTCTTTATTATACTGGAACAGCTTGTGCTTTCAGTCTCTTGCCTCAGCACCTAGGTGGCTTTCTACTCACAACTAAGCTTTTCTAAATTTTCTCCAAAGGTTTTACTAACTGAGGTTCCTTATGGGTCTATATGTGATTCTCTAAATGCCCATCTCTTCTAAGTCCTTGTTTGCTTGAGATTGTTAAAATTTAGCAAAATAAAAGATGAAAGATTATATCTATGTTTTAATTAGAATTTTAATTAAGAGAAAGGTTATTTTTGCAGACGTAATTAAACCCTGCTATTTCCCTTTCTGTCATGTGCCTGATAAAACTATTGGTTCTTATCCAATATACACAAGCGTGTTCAAATAAAATAAATTAAATAATAGCATATGTAAACATTTACAGATTAATCTGAGAAAACTTCCCAGGAATAAGACATATGTCTATAGGCTTTACATTATAGATATATCTCTATAAGCTTTATATCATATAATATAAAGATATATTATATTTATATATTATATTTATATTTTATATTATTCCCAAAGTAGATCAACCTGAGATATTCTAGACTTTTCAGAAAACAAAAAATAAATCAATGGGGCAGCATGTTACATGATAAGACCACTTATGTGGGTTAGGGTCCAATAAGACAGGTGTTAGTTGTCAAGACAGAAATGTTCAGTGTTAGAAGACCATGTAACAATGTATACAAACTACTGAAAGAAGAAATGTGTAAACTACCAGTTTATATAACCATGCTGTCATTAAAAGATAGTGCCCATGGGGGAAAAATGCACATTTAGGATGTATAGTTCCTGCAACTTCTGTTAGAAAAAACACCAAATAACTATTTTGTTTTCTATTGATGCTACTAAAAGTTACCAAAACTTATCAGCTGCAAATCTGATTGGATCAAATAAAAGAAACAAAGTCCCATCAAAAAAACTAAAAGATATAAAGGAGAACCAAATAAAAATGTTACAATGGTCCGTGATCCCAGTGTAGCCTAACTGGGAGGTTCCCCCTAGTAGGGGCAGACTGACACCTCACACGGCCGGGTACTCCTCTGAGACAAAACATCCAGAGGAATGATCTGGCAGCAATATTTGCTGCTCACCAATATCCGCTCTTCTGCCACCTCCGCTGCTGATACCCAGGCAAACAAGGTCTGGAGGGGACCTCCAGCAAACTCCAACAGAAATGCAGCTGAGGGTCCTGACTGTTAGAAGGAAAACTAACAAACAGAAAGGACATCCACAACAAAACCCCATCTGTATGTCACCATCATCAAAGACCAAAGCTAGATAAAACCACAAAGATGGGGGAAAAAACAGAGCAGAAAAACTGGAAACTCTAAAAATCAGAGCACCTCTCCTCCACCAAAGGAACGCAGCTCCTCACCAGCAATGGAATAAAGCTGGACAGAGTATGACTTTGATGAGTTGAGAGAAGAAGGCTTCAGATGATCAAACTACTCTATGCTAAAGGAGGAAGTTCAAACCCATGACAAAGAAGTTAAAAACCTTGAAAAAAAATTAGATGAATAGCTAACTACAATAACCAATGCAGAGAAGTCCTTAAAGGACTTGATGGAGCTAAAAACCAAGGCAGGAGAACTACATGAGGAATGCACAAGCCTCAGTAGCTGATTTGATCAACTGGAAGAAAGGGTATCAGTGATAGAAGATCAAATGAATGAAATGAAGTGAGAAGAGAAGTTTAGAGAAAGAAAAGAATAAAAAGAAATGAACAAAGCCACCAGAAAATATGGGACTATGTGAAAAGACCAAATCTACATCTGATTGGTGTACCTGAAAGTGATGGGGAGAATGGAACCAAGTTGGAAAACACTCTGCAGGATATTATACAGGAGAACTTCCCCAATTTAGCAAGGTAGGCCAACATTCAAATTCAGGAAATACAGAGAATGCCACAAAGATACTCCTCAAGAAGAGCAACTCCAAGACACATAATTGTCAGATTCACCAAAGTTGAAACGAAGGAAAAAATGTTAAGGGCAGCCAGAGAGAAAGGTCGGGCTATCCACAAAGGGAAGCCCATCAGATTAACAGATGATCTCTTGGCAGAAACTATACAAGCCAGAAGAGAGTGAGGGCCAATATTCAACATTCTTAAAGAGAAGAATTTTCAACCCAGTATTTCATATTTAGCCGAATTAAGCTTCATAAGTGAAGGAGAAATAAAATACTTTACAGACAAGCAAATGCTGAGAGATTTTGTCACCACCAGGCCTTCCCTAAAAGAGCTCCTGAAGGAAGCACTAAACATGGAAAGGAACAACTGGACCAGCCACTGCAAAAACATGCCAAATTGCAAAGACTATCAAGGCTAGGAAGAAACTGCATCAACTAATGAGCAAAATAACCAGCTAACATCATAATGACAGGATCAAATTTACACATAACAATATTAACCTTAAATGGAAATGGGCTAAATGCTTCAAGTAAAAGACACAGACTGGCAAATTGGATAAAGAGTCAAGACCCATCAGTGTACTGTATTCAGGAAACCCAGTTCACATGCAGAGACACACATAGGCTCAAAATAAAGGGATGGAGGAAGATCTACCAAGCAAATGGAAAACAAAAAAAGGCAAAGGTTGCAATCCTAGTCTCTGATAAAACAGACTTTAAACCAACAACGATCAAAAGAGACAAGGCCATTACATAATGGTAAAGGGATCAATTCAATAAGAAGAGCTAACTATTCTAAATATATATTCACCCAATACAGGAGCAACCAGATTCATAAAGCAAGTCCTTAGAGACCTACAAAGAGACTTAAACTCCCACACAATAATAATGGGAGACTTTAACACCCCACTGTCAATATGAGACAGATCAGAAAGACAGAAAGTTAACAAGGATATCCAGGAATTGAACTCAGCTCTGCACCAAGTGGACCTAAAAGACATCTACAGAGCTCTCCAACCCAAATCAACAGAATATACATTCTTCTCAGCATCACACTGCACTTATTCTAAAATTGACCACATAGTCGGAAGTAAAGCACTCCTCAGCAAATGTAAAAGAGCAGAAATTATAACAAACTGTCTCTCAGCCAGTGAGAAAACATGGCACATTGTAAAGGCCATTGATGCTATTAAGAAACTGCATCAAGTAATGGGCAAAATAATCAGCAAGCATTATAATGACAGGATCAAATTCACACATAACATATTAACCTTAAGTGTAAACTGGCTAAATGTCTCAATTAAAAGACACAGACTGGCAAATTGGATAAACAGTCAAAACAATCCATGTGCAGTGTTCAGGAGACCCATCTCAAGTGCAAAGACACACATAGGATCAAAATAAAGGGATGGAGGAAGTCATCTACCAAGCAAATTGAAAGAAAAAAAAGCAGAGGTTGCAATCCTAGTCTCTAATAAAACAGACTTTAAACCAACAAAGATCAAAAAAGACAAAGAAAAGCACTATATAATGATAAAGAGATCAAAGCTAAAAGAAGAGCTAACTACCCTAAATATATATATGCACCCAATCCAGGAACACTCAGATTCATAAAGCAAGTTTTTAGGGACCGAAAAAGAGACTTAGACTCCCACACAATAATAGTGCGGGAATTTCACACCCCACTGACAATATTAGACAGATCAGTGAGACAGAGAATTAACAAGGATACCCAGGACTTGAACTCAGCTCTGGACCAAGCAGACCTAAAAGACATCTACAGAACTCTCCACCCAAAATCAACAGAATATACATTCTTCTCAGCACCACACGGCACTTATTCTAAAAATTGACCACATAATTGGAAGTAAAACAATCCCCAGCAACTGAGCAACCTGCTCCTGAATGACTACTGGCTAAATCGCAAAATTAAGGCAGAAGTAAAGATGTTCTTTGAAACCAATGAGAAAAAGGACAAAATGTACCAGAATCCCTGGGACACATGTAAAGCAATGTGTAGAAAGAAATTTATAGCACTAAATGCCCACAAGAGAAAGCAGGAAAGATCTAAAATTGACACCCTAACATCACAATTAAAAGAACAAGAGAAACAAGAACAAACGATCTCAAAAGCTAACAGAAAAGAAGAAGTAACTAAATTCAGAGAAGAACTGAAGGAGATAGAGAAACAAAAATCTCTTAAAAAATCAATGAATCGAGCTGGTTTTTTGAAATGATCAACAAAATAGATGACTAGCAAGAATCATAAAGAAGAAAAGAGAGAAGAATCAAACAGATGCAATAAAAAATGAAGGGGGTATCACCATCAATTTCACAGAAACACATACACCCTCCCAAGACTAAACCAGAAAGAAGTCGAATCTCTGAATATACCAATAACAACCAAAAAAAGTCCAGGACCAGAGAGATTCACTGCCAAATTCTACCAGAGGTACAAAGAGGAGCTGTTACCATTCCTTCTGAAACTATTCCAATCAACAAAGAAAGAAGGAATCCTCCCTAACTCATTTTATGAGGGCAGAATCATCCTGATAGCAAAGCCTGGCAGAGACACAACAAAAAAGTAGAATTTTAGGCCAATATCCGGGATAAACATCAATGCAAAAACCCTCAGTAAAATACTATCAAACCGAATCCAGCAGCACATCAAAAAGCTTATCCACCACGATCAAGTCAGCTTCATCCCTGGGATGCAAAGCTGGTTCAACATATGCAAATCAATCCATGTAATCCATCACATAAACAAAACCAATGACAAAAACCACATTTTTATCTCAATAGATGGAAAAAAGTCCTTTGACAAAATTCAACAGCCCTTCATGCTGAAAACTCTCAATAAACTAGTTATTGATGGAGCATATCTCAAAATAATAAGAGCTATTTATGACAAACCAACAGTCAATATCATACTGAATGGGCAAAAACTGGAAGCATTCCCTTTGAAAACTGGCACAAGAAAAGGATGCCCTCTCGCCACTCCTATTAAACATAATATTGAAAATTCTGGCCAGGGTTATCAGGCTAGAGAAATAAATAAATGATATTTAATCATGAATAGAGGAAGTCAAATTGTCTCTGTTTGCAGATGACCTGATTGTATATTTAGAAAACTCCAACGACTCAGCTCCAAATCTTCTTAAGCTGATAAGCAACTTCTTCAAAGTCTCAGGATACAAAATCGATGTGTAAAAAATCACAAGCATTCCTGTACACCAATAACAGAAAAACAGAGAGCCAAATCATGAGTCAACTCACATTCACCATTGTTACAAAGAGAATAAAATACCTAGGAATGCAACTTAAAAGGGATGTGAATGACCTCTTCAAGGAGAACTACAAACCACTGCTCAATGAAATGAAAGAGGACACAAACAAATGAAAGGCCATTCCATGCTCATAGATAGGAAGAATCAATGTCGTGAAAATGGCCATACTGCTCAAAGTAACTTATGGATTCTATGCTATTCCCATCAAGCTACCACTGACTTTCTTTATAGAATTAAAAAAAAAAAAAACTACTTTAAATTTCACAGGACCAAAAAGAGCCCTCATAGCCAAGACAATCCTAAGTAAAAATAACAAAGCTGGAGGCCTCACACTACCTTACTTCAAATATACTACAAGGCTTCAGTAACCAAAACAGCATGGTACTGGTACCAAACAGATATATAGACAAATGGAACAGAATAGAGGTCTCAGAAATAACGTCACACATCTACAACCATCTGATCTTTGACAAACCTGACTAAAACATGCAATGGGGAAGGGATTCCCTATTTAATGAATGTTATTGGGAAAACTGACTAGCCATACGTAGAAAGCTGAAATTGGATCCATTCCTTTCATCTTATACAAAAATTATCTCAAGGTGGTTAAAGACTTAAATGTAAGAAACAAAACCATAAAAACCCTAGAAGGAAACCTAGGCAATACCATTCAAGTCATAGGCATAGATAAAGACTTAATGACTGAAACACCAAAAACAATGGCAACAAAAGCCAAAATTGACAAATGGGATCTAGTTAAACTAAAGAGCTTCTGCACAGCAAAAGAAACTATCATCAGAGTAAACAGGCAACCTACAGAATGGGAGAAAAATTTTGCAATCTATGTATCTGACAAAGAGCTAATACGCAAAATGTAAAATGAAATTAAACAAATTTACAAGAAAAACACAAACAACCCTATTAAGGAGTGGGCAAAGGATATGAACAGACACTTTTCAAAAGAGGACATTTCTTCAGCCAGCAAACATATAAAAATGCTCATCATCACTGGTCATTAGATAAATGCAATTCAAAACCACAATGAAATACCATCTCACTCCAGTTAGAATGGAAATCATTAAAAAAATCAGTGAACAACAGATGCTGGGAAGGATGTGGAGAAATAGGAACACTTTACACTGTTGTTGGGAGTGTAAATCAGTTCAACCATGTGAAAGACTGTGTGGCAATTCCTCAATGATCTAGAACTATAAATACCATTTGACCCAGCAATCCCATTACTGGGTATATATCCAAATGATTGTAAATCATGCTACTATAAAGGCACATGCACACGTATGTTTATTGCAGCACTATTCACAATACCAAAGACTTAGAACCAATCCAAATGTCCATCAACAATAGACTGAATAAAGAAAATGTGGCACATGTACATCATGGAATACTATGTAGCCAGAAAATGGATGAGTTCATTTCCTTTGCAGGGACATGGATAAAGCTGGAAGCCATCATTCTCAGCAAACTATCACAAGGACAGCAAATCAAATACCACATGTTCTCACTCAAAGTGGAAGTTGAACAATGAGAACACATGGACACAGGGAGGGAAACATCACAAACTGGGGCCTGTTGAGGGGTGGGGGAGCTAGGGGAGGGATAGCATTAGAAGAAATACCTAATGTAGATGATTAGTTGATGGGTGCAGCAAACCTACATGGCACTTGGATATGTAAATAACAAGCGGGTACATTGTGCATATGTACCCCAGAACTTAAAATATAATTAAAAAAAAATTCATCTGATGCATCCTTGTGTATCCATTTAAAAATAATTTGTACTTATCTAAAGAGTACCTAGATTCTCTCAAAGCACTATCTACAGAAAGGTTTCTCTATTTATGTTATAAACGTAATATAATAATTCACAAGGGAAAATATATGTTCAAGTTTGCAAAATTATGTGGTCAATTTTACAGTGTTTAGAAGCATTAGAAGTCATGAAAATATATGAATGGGTACTTGATTCATCATCTATATTAAAATGTCTATATTTAACTTTAAAATTATATTTTTTGGTAAACAAGTCTGTATTTGGTAATATTTTCTTCTTATTTAATTTAAATATACCATCTTTTGTTTTGTCTTCTAACCACTGGTTTGTGTTTGATGTTAACTACCCTTGCAATAGTTACAAACCTCCTAAATGACTAAGTGCCTAAAATCAGAACAAGAGAAACTCTGGAATTTGACAGACCTGCATTTGATAATTCTGTGTTAGTTACTGTGTGCGTTTGTGTAATCCTGGACAAGCCATTTAAGCTTTTAATATCCATTTAATACATTTAAATTGGATCAAGGTATCTATCATGGGCTATACGCTGTCAAAAATTCCTACGTTTAATTTCTAAATCCCAGTACCATTGTATGTGACTGTATTTGGATACACCATCCTTAAAGAGGTGATTAATGTAAAATTAAGTCATGTGGATGTGAGCCCTTATAAAGTAGACCGGTATCCTTATAAGAAAAAGAGATGAGGACACAGAGGCACGACCATATGAGAACACAGGGAGAAGACAGCATCTACAAGCCGAGGAGAGAGGCCTCAGAAGGAGTCAGCCCTGCCAATGCCTTGATCTTGCACTCCAATGCTTCTGTTTTGAAGACTAACCAGCAGCCATTAAACTCCACAAGTGTTGTTGTTGTTGTTGTTTCTCTTTTATTTATTTTTTATTTTTATTTTTTAAATTTCATTATTATTATACTTTAAGTTTTAGGCTACTTGTGCACAACGTGCAGGTTTGTTACATATGTATACATGTCCCATGTTGGTGTGCTGCTTAATAGTAAGGTGAAGTTTATGAAAGTGAAGTGTTACAAACACACATAGCAAACTTTTTAGGTTACTTTCATTTTATTCACTGACATTCTGAAAACTAGGATTACCGATGATTTAACTCACAACATAATTATTTTCATAAAATTAAATGTGGCAGTTTTTGGAAAGTTATTATTTTTACTTTTATTCTTTCACAAATTATCAAGCCAGAAAAAAGTCCCTTTCTCTCTAGAGATGACATTAGAATTTTACATGCTTCTCACAAACACGTTCTGTAGACTATATATATGTAATGTGCATTTTTTAGTATTTTCCAAGAGAGTAGAAAGACAGAACAACAAATAAAACCCCTAAACAGAAAAATCAAAGCTCAAATACATGTGATTTCACCTCCTCTACATTAGTTATTTGATAGAAATGTTTTCCATTTTCAGTTTTCACCAACTTTTCATTATGGACATATTTGGGGAAAGTTTACAGCTGTCCTTGCACTATTGAGTTTATTTTCACCCTATAGTTTCTATTTTTGATAAAATGGGAGTACAATCAGTTCTATTTGCGCATCCCTTATCTATAAATGCTCCCAACTCCTGATGGATAATGTTAATATGGGAAAAAATTAAAAAGTTAAAACATAACAATATAACAATAAAAATCCAGAAAATACAGTGAAATGCCTATTTATATGGCATTTACATTGTATTAGGTACTGTAAGTAATCTAGAGATTATTTAAAGTATACAAGAGGATATGCATAGGTTATATGGAAAAAGGTATTTATCTAAGGGACTGGAGCATCTGAGGATTTTGCTATCCTCAGGAAGTCTTGGAGAAAATCACCTGCAGATACTGAGGGATGACTGTGCAAGTTTGAGGAAATATTTAATTGTCTCAGAGACATTTTTATGTCTGTTTCTAATCAGACTTCAACTGTTATATGTTCCCCACTGCAACATGTTTGTAATAATCTCTCCATTCCAATAGGTCTTCAACAGGTCTCCAATTCTCATTTATCTTGCAGATTGTCATAAGACCCCACTGTTATTGCAAAATTCAGTTTCTTTTCTGTGTAAAGAATCTTTTTATTTTATTTATACTTATTATTTTTGTTATTAAGTTTTTGAGACACGGTTTTGCTCTATCACCCAAGCTGGAATTTAAGTGATTCTTCAGCCTCGCCCTCCGGAGTAGCTGTGACTGCAGTCACCTGCCACCATGCAGAGCTAATTGTCCTCTGTGTAGAGAATCTTAAAAGGTAAAGTTTCACAGGACATGAAAATATAGGACAATAATAAAGTGTTTAAATTCCTGCATAAAACAGATTTGAAGTTTCAAGTGCACAGGAAAAGCGTTATGTTTGCAAACTGAAAGTATTTAATTAAAAAGAATTGTAATACTTCCCATTGCAAAGTGTTATTCTTTAGTTTTTTTAAATGAAATTCTGAAAACTGAAAGTATTTAATTAAAAAGAATTGTAATACTTCCCATTGCAAAGTGTTATTCTTTAGTTTTTTTAAATGAAATTCTACAGAGATAATGCACACAAAACACATCAGAATTTTGGATAATATATATTTAAGTTTAGTGATTGTTTTTAATTGTTCTTAACACAAAACCCAATTCATTTTATTATACTTTCTAAAATATTCTAAATGTCTTTTCTCTTACATCTGGTTTGGTTAACATCTTCTTCCTGGCTCCACAGAAGAAAATCTTCCTTTTCTTTTATAATCCAATATTATAGGTCTTCATCCTTCATGTTCTACAAAAACAATTGAACTGACATCTGTGGTTTGCCTCACCTGGGTTAAATCTACCTCAACTCTTGCTCTTAATTTTGTCCTGGTCTCCCAAAATTACAATCAGTCTTCTTACTTAATCCACAAAACATTTATCTACCATGTTGTGCAAAAAAATTCTTTGTTCTTTTACTGATTTTTAATGCATATTACACATATTTGTGTATTTTCTGTTATTGTAGTTCTTTAACACTTATTTTCCAAAGGGCTTTATCTGTTAATGTCAAAACATTGCTGACATGGAGCAATTTATATTCTCTTCCTGAGACATCTGTGGATGGTTGATCTTGTTGCTGTTTTATTGAACCAGTTATATGTTTTTCTTTTTTTTCTGTGATCGTCTATACTCATGAACAGGCTGAGAAAAAGTAATGATAGGTTATTTTTTGTCTAGTAATGCCAAAAAAAAAAGGTTATTTAATTTTCTGAATTAAAATCAAGCTCATAATATTAGCAGGAAAGCTTGTTTTTCAAGTTTTGTCTGCATGTTGGTCAGTTGTGGCTAAGAAAAAGCAGCAAATATTTGCCGCAAACATTTTCAGAACAGATTAAGAAATGACCCCTCCTTGAATCACTGAAGGAATGCAAGTATTTCACCTTTGAACAATACTTCACTCAGGAGGTAGCAGAGGACTGTGGTTTATTAGTTTATTTGAAATGTGCACGCCTTCACTGTTTTATCAAACTGTTGCATTTTATAGGAAAATAAAAGTTTGCCTGTGCACTATAGGGGCCCAATGTTTTTGATTTGATGCTGTGCATGATTTTTTTTCTCTAGTATTAAAAGAACATCACACTGATTCTCATCCCAAAGATGTGAATACTAGCTAGCTCTTTAATCTAATTTGATTTTTAATCTACTTCATTATAGTTTTAGTGTCTTGCATGCGTAAAAAATAGTTGCTAAAGAATCCTGAATTCATATATGGAAAGAGAAACTAGGGCTTTCTTAGATGGAAAGTATCTACCAGCTAATTTGATAATAATAATAATAATATAATTCCTCTATAAAGCTCTTTCCAAAACAGTCCTCTCTACATAAATGTCTTGGTAAGATTTACAAATCTATGAAGAAAAAAAGGTGACAAAATATAATGAATTTATTTTAAATTAAATAGTTTGGTTATCTGAATTTTAACATATCTTCATATAGAGCTGGGTCTCCAGGAAACATAATCTACTCTAGGTAAAGATTAACTCTAAATGGAAGATGCACCAAACATGCTAATATATATAGTTTACCTTTTGTGCACACAAAACAAGGAAACAATAATGAGTCAAAATTTATGCTTTGATGAAAAGCACTAAATTCCTTGATCTGAATCCTTTTGGTAAAGCTAAACTAGACAGTATTTAAATAATATGATTGACATTGACTACCAGCTATGCAATAATGGAGCAAGTTAAATAACCAAAGCATCCTGAAATAGTAACATCATTCATAGAATTGTTGTTACTTTGTGTCTTAAACACACTTAGGTAGTTTTTTCACATTTACTGGGCAGGACCACACAGAGTATGCATTCAAGTTCTGTTACTTGAATTTAATTCAATTTGAATGCTTTGCTGTGTAAAATAAGGGAGACAATAAATAAAATTAAGTGGGGAGAGGGGAGAGAGAGAAATAAATGTACTCTAGTTAATTGAATGTCTCACACTGTGGCATGAATGAAACTTGCACGTTTATAACCAATTATTCCAAGTCTTCCTCAATTTTTCATAACATATAACTGTTTTAATATAAGGTAGAAATAACATTTTGAAAAAGAGAATACTGTCTATAAGAAGGAATTATATCATAGTAATCATTTTCTGTACTGGTAAATAGTTCTTCTCTACCAATTCATGAAAACTTGTTTAAGTTACAGGTAAAAATTCAAACAAAATGAGTGTTTGCAGGCAGTAATGTGGTGCAGCTTCTCTCTTCTCTCTGGTCACATTGCAAATATAAATTCAATCTTGCTATTTTTCTTGTTGAATTACATAGTGGATAGAGTGGTCGATGCTCAATAAAATTGAGGCTTGGAAAGCTTCTGAAATTTCAACATGTTTTTCTTCGTGCCAGAAAGATGGAAAAAGTAACAAAAATATAAATCCCTTTCCTGTGTGCTTGTGCTAAATTGTCAGGAATTAGCACTCATTTTCCATTCTTAAAGCCCTCCATGAAGGCTATCCAACTCCTATTTCAGGGAGGAACAGTTAATAAAGGGGATGCTAAGAAAAAAATAAGCATCTTTTGGGGCTACAATGAACAATGGACCTGAAAAATGCTGGGTTTCTGGTTTCCCCCATCCTCTCAACTAACTTCCCTCTTTCTTCTCACATTCAAGTACTGACCTATGATAACAATACCTCTCACACTTCATCCAGTTTGGATTTCTCCATTTCCAATGCTGATTGCTATTTGCACATTTGCAGGGGTTTGTTTGAGCTGAAAAAGTAGTACTGCAGGTGAGTGTCTACTTTCCAGATGGAAAATCTGTCTACCAAAGGATCATTAAACTCTAAAGACATGGAGAGGTATAGATAAATGAAAATGGAAAATTCTATGGTAAATTTAATGTCTTAGGCATTTTTAAAGTCATTTTAGTGGACAAGAAAACTATGGTGCATCTATATAATGGAAGCAAATCAGCAATAAAAAGCAAACAAACTATTAATACATGAGAAACCTTCAGCACATCTTAAGGGTATTATACTGTCAAGGTGTGGTGAGATTAAGTCCAATTTTAACTATCCTCACGGGTACCACTGAGGAAGGGCCCCTTATTCCTCTCATGACAGCTTTAAAAAGAAAGTTTGACCTTGTTACCTTCCTAACTTGGGAAAAAAAATCAATTACCAAGCCAAATGCCAGAAACATCATTGCAATGTAGTTGCCTATTATGTATGTAAAAATTCTATTGAGCAGAAACATGATTTGCTTCCAACGCTGAAAGGAGAAACATAATTTGTTCTCTCTTATGCACAGTTTTGCTTTCTGCAGTTTCTGTTACCAAAAGCACAGTACTATTAAATAATTCCAGAGAAATAGAGAAACCATACTTTCATGACTTTTACTATGGTATTTTAATTATTCTACTATATTATGTATTATTGTTGTTACTCTTTGAATGTGCCTAATTAACACATTGAACTTCATCATAGGTACATATTCACAGATAAAACATAGTATATACAGGGTTTAGTCCTACCTGTGGTCTCAGGCATCTGCTGGGGTTCTTGGAACATACCCCTTATGGATAATCAGAGACTACTGTAGCATGGGTATGCTAGCAACTCATCAATATTTGTCCCTGCAATGGTTGTTTGTTTTTTTTGTGAGTGAACAGTTATGTCACTAAATGAAATAATTCACCTTGTCTGTGTGAGTCATTTGAAAGATGTAGACATAGATACATATATAGGTAAATCTTATTTCTAATTAACTCAGTTGGTTACAAATACTCACAGATATCAAATAGACATTCTAAAATTTTCTCCAAGCTGGGCACAGTTGCTCATGCTTATAATCCCAGAACTTTTGTAGGCCATGTTCAAAGGGTTGTTTAAGCCTGGCAGCTCAAGAACAGCCTGAGCAACATAGTGGGACTTCATCTCTACAAAAATAAAAATAAAAAAAATTAATCAGGCATGGTGGCACATGCCTGTAGTCTCAGATATTTGGGGACCCTAGGTAAGATAATTTGATCCTGGGAGGCCCAGTTTGCAGTGAGCCATGATCACTGCATCTGAAATTATTCTCACTACTTATACAGGATAAAACTCCTAGCTCTAATTTCTAATTTGCTTGCACACAGAACTACAGGCATGTAAAATTCTAGGACACAGGCAATGGTTGAGAAAAGAGCTAATATACCATTTTAACATTTTAATGCTTTCAGGCCATAAGCACTGCACTCCAGAGTGAGATGTTATCTCAAATAAAATATAATTAAATAAAAATGAAACAAATAATTAAATAAAATTTATTCACTGTGACAAACTAGTTTTTGGAGGCTATCTTTGGTACCATTCTACAGCTCTACCCAATGACAAGATTTGTTATTCATCTATAGCAATACATTTCTAGATGAAAATCCAAAAATGGAAGCTTTTCACCATGACATTTTTAACACCACCAAAATCTTACTTCTGCTCTATGCAGCCCATATAATACTAAAATGGCAAATAGTAATTTCCTCTTGGGATTTTTAACACCAGATGTTTTGTCATTTATTCAAATAAAAATATGCAATCTATTGTAATGTTTGCAAACAATGAAACAACTTGCTTATGGCCTGAAAGCATTAAAATGTTAAAATAGTATATTAGTTATTTTCTCAAACATGGCCTAAATCCTAGAATTTTATATGCCTGTAGTTCTGTGTGCAAGCAAATTAGAACTTAGGGCTAGGAGTTTTATCCTGTACAATTAGTGAGTATAATTTTAGATGGCAGCTCTCCTTGAAAACAGGATTCTATGTCCAGAAAATAGAATATGAATGTTTCTTGGTAAAATGCAAAATTAATCACATTCCATCATTTATATGAATATCATGAGGCTATTTTCTTTTTCCTTCTGGGATGAGGCAAAAGCATACCTAATAAGTTCAAATCATTTTCTTCCAATATATGATTTGTTATAATGGCACATAGTTTCTCAAGTGTAAAGATATACTTTTAGAATCTTAATAATGCTAAAATCATCTGATATTTTGTTCTACTGCCACAATAAATGGAAAATATACTTTTCAAAATACAATTTTATTTGCTTGTTTTGATTTATATATATATATATATATATATATATATATATATTTATTTATATGAGTTCGCCAGAGCTACCACAACAAAATGCCACACACTGGGCAGCTTAAACAGTAGAAATATATTTCTCACAGTCCTGGAGGCTGCTAAGTATAAGCTCAATGTGTCAGAGGATTGGTTCCTACTGAAGTCTCTCTCCTTGGCTTGTGGACACTATCTTCTCCTCATGTCCTCACATGTTTGTCCCTATGTGAGTCTCTGTGTCCTACTCTCCTATTCTTATGAGGACACCAGTCTTACTGGATTGGGGTCCATTTTAATGACTTCATTCCAACATAATTATCTCAAAATGTCCTCTCTTCAAACAGAGTCACATTCTCAGGTAATCGCAGGTTAGAGAACTTAAGTTATAATTTTGGGGACATATAATTGAGCCCATGACATTACTTCAGCAGAGAGATGTGTTGGTTGCCTCTTCTCACCTCAGTTCCCATCAGTAAATCACCTTGTTCCTCTACAGAAAAACTGAGCCACCCTAGGCTGATTGGAGCACTTCTAGGATGTATGCCTCTGGGATGGGAGACAGATACAAACTCCTTAGTGATTAGATCTCCTCCTGTGAGATGAATCAGTTCTTCAGTTGGAAAGAAGTAACAACAAATTAGATTGACAGTTAAGAATTATGGCATAGAATGGTATGTCTCAAATTCTAATTTGCATAGATATCCCCTGCAGATCTTATTACAAGGCATAACCTCATAAGGTAGCTCTGGGATGGTTCTGCATTTTTAACAAGCTCCCAGGTAAGGCTGATTAGGCTGGTCCAAGGTCTGTACCTGTCATAACACAAAAACACAGCTATGTATCGTGAGCATTGCGGTTTTTGGAGGTTTGAAGTCAGTCTGACCAGCAAACTCTCCGTACTTGCCCAAAGGTTCCGGTTTAATTTGTTTTGCAGTAGGTTGCAGAATTGCATCTATCAAGAGTAATGGGTTCAGCCCAAGAGCTGCTACTTCTGTGGAGCCTTTGCAAGTTACTCAACTTTTATTGCCTAACATTCATCATCTGTGATGTGGAGTGATTACTAAAAATGTTCACCTGCAGTCAGGCACAGTGGCTCACACATGTAATGTCAGCATTTGGGGAGGATTGCTTGAGGCCAGGAATTCAAGACTAGCCTGGTCAACAGAGTGCAACGCTGTCTGTACAACAATTTAAAAAAGTAGCCAGGTGTGGTGGCACATGCCTATAGTCTCAGTCCCAGCTACTCAGGAGGCTGAGGTGAGAGGATTACTTGAGTGAAGGAGTTCTAAGCTGCAGTGAGCCATGATTGCACCAGTGCTCTCCTGCCTGAACAACAGAATGAGACTCTATCTCATAAAAAAATACTCACCTCAAAGCTCTGATGCAAATTATTTACCACAATATTTGCAGTTTTTAAAAAATCCTGATATATACAGTCACTAATAACTATTTGCTTAACTATTCCTGAAGAATTTTTATTTCTTGCTATTGTTTTCACATTTCTTTGAATGGCAAAATGATCTGAATAATATTTATAATAAAATCTAAGTTGTGATTTAGAACCTTAAGTATGGTTATAAGAAATACTTTATATAATGCACCATAATAAGATCTACAGTAACTACATGATGACTTACACTGAAATTGAAAACAAGAAATCATTTAAATATCTATTTTATCATTCTTTGCACAATTCTTTGCATGTTTTAGGTTTTCTATAACATGAGTAATTGAATGGAGCCTGTTCTTCAGTTTATAGTTTAAAACATATGACTTTTTGCAAATTACTAAGTGCCCTCCCCCTACAACTTACAGTGGACCAACTTACAATTTTATAGCTTTACAGTGGTGAAAAATCTACACTCAGTAGAAATGACACTTCAAGTCATGTCCTCATGTAATAACATTGTTTTTCACTTTTGTTTCAAGATTCAATAAATTACAAGAGATATGCAACACTTTACTACAAAGCAAGCTTTGCATTTGATGATTTTGCCCAACAATAGGCAAATGTAAATGTTCCAAGAACATTTAAGGTAGGCAGGGGCAGAACTATGATGTTTGGTAGGTTAGATGTATTTAATGTATCCTCAGCTTACAATGTTTTCAGTATACAATATGTTTCTGGGGATGTAAACTCATCATAATTCAAGAAGCATCTTGCATACACTCTCAGAAACTTAAAATACATACTTGATACACACAAATAACTAATTAATAATAAGAAATAGGCCATTTTAGTATAAGTAAAATAAGATGCTGTAATATTGAAAATTCTAGGCTACATATAGTGTCTGAAACATTACTTAAGTTACTTTGGTGATTGAGCAAACTTTGGTACACCCATACCAGGGGATCTACTTAGCAAGAAAAAAAAGGAATAAACTATTGATACATGCAACAACATGTCTGGATCTCCAAGGATGTGTAAAAAGCTGGTCTTCCAAAGATACATCTTCAGCAACTTCATTTAGGTAACATTTTTGAAATGACAGAAGTATAGAAATGAATAACAAATTGGTGGTTGCTGGAGCTTAAGGCAAAAGTTCGTGGTAGAAGGAAAGTGGGCATGGTTATAAAAGATCAACATAGGAGATGCTTTTGTGAATGGAATTTGACATGATTTGTGTCTGTGTCTCCATCCAAATCCAAAGTTGAATTGTAATTCCCAATGTTGGGGGAGGGACCTAGTGGGAGACGATTGGATCATGGAGATGGATATCCCCCTTGTTATTCTTGCGATAGTGAGTGAGTTGTCATGAGATCTTGTTGTTTAAAAGTGTGTGGCACTTCCTCTTATGCTCTGTTTCTCCTGCTGACGTGATTTTCTCATTTCGCCTTTGCCTTCCGCCTTGATTGTAAGTTTACTGAGGCCTCCCAGCCATGCTTGCTGTACAGACCGCAGAACTGTGAGTCAATTAAACATCTTTTCTTCATAAATTACCCAGTCTCAGACAGTTCTTTATAGCAGTGTAAGAATGGAATAATACAGAATTGTTCTGTATAGTGGCCATCTCAAGAATAATATCCTGGTGGTGAAATTATACTTCAGTTATGCAAGACATTACACATTGGAGAAAACTGTTCAATAGAATCTCTATCATATTTTAAATATGATATCATAAATATCATATATTTAAATATGATATCATATTTAAATATCATATTTTAAATAGCTGGAATCTCCAGCTATTTCAAAAGTCAAAAAAAGTTTAACTTAAAAACGTTTCAAAACTGCAATAAATTGACCACAGGGAAAAATTTATTAACTAAAGTTAATGCAAAATAGAAAAAATATTTATTTTCTTTCAATGTTGCAAAACAATGTCTATTATGAGAAGGCATTTTCTTGACTTTAAATGTTTACCAGCTAGAGCTTGGCTGGGTTCCTGTCTCTTAAATAATATGTTGCAGTTCACAAATGGAGACCAAATATTGTTATCTTCAGGTTACATCTAATCTGTTTTCCACCTATACCTTTTCTTATTATTTAGCTGATGAGATACTAAGCTGTAACTTGTTTCTCCTTTTCTAATTCAATTATGTGTACACTTGCAAAGATTTGCTTTGGCATAAAGGAGAGAAATGTAGGTAAGAGTACACTTTCTAACTGTAAAATCAGTTTAAAAAGGATCTTTAAATTCTCAAGACAGGACATTGAGAGATGAAACCCTGTCTCTACACACACACACACACACACACACACACACACACACAAATTAGCTGAGCATGGTGGCATGAACCTGTAGTCCCTGTTACTAGGGAGTCTGAGGCAGGAGGATCACGTGAGCCCGGGAAGTTGAGGCTGCAGTGAGCCATTATCAAGCCACTGCATTACAGCCTGGGCAGCAGAGGGAGACCCAGTCTCAAAGACAGAAGGAAGATATTTGATTTTGTCACTTGATAATCTTAAAATCATAGGTCAGAACAGAATGTCAGAAACGTTCTGCCTACTCAGAATAGTTGTCTTCTCTTTCCCATGGTCTCTCATTTTTAGCTGATACAAAATTGAATAAAATCATGACACCTCAACTCCTTCTAGAAATATCATGGTTCAACTGAGGTACCCGGTCCATCTCACTGAGACTGGTTGGACAGTGGCTGTAGCCCATGGAGGGCAAGCAGAAGCAGGGTGGGGTGTCTCCTGACGTGGGAAGCACAACGGGTTAGGGAATTTCCCTTTCCTAGCCAAGGGAAGCTGTGAATGACCGTACCAGGAGGAAGACTACACTCTGGCCCAAATATTGCACTTTTCCCACGGTCTTCTCAACCGGCAGACCAGGAGATGCCCTCCGATGCCTGGCTCAGTGGGTCCCACCTCTACGGAGCCCAGCAAACTACGATCCACTAGCTAGAAATTCTCACTGCCAGGACAGCAGTCTGAGGTTGACCTGGGATGCTCGACCTAGTTGGGAGAAGGGGCGTCCTCCACTGGTGAGGGTTGAGTAGGTGACGTAAACAAATCCTCACAGGGTAAACAAAGCTACTGGGAAGTTCAAACTGGGTAGATCCCACCACAGCTTAGCAAGGCCAGCTGCCTCTCTAGATTCCACATCTCTGGGCAGGGCATCTCTGAAAAAAGTGCAGAAGCCCCAGTCAGGGACTTATGAATAAAACACCTACCTCCGTGGGACAGAGCACCTGGGGGAAGGAGTGGCTGAGTGCAGCTTCAGTAGATTAAACATCCCTATCTGCAATCTCTGAAGACAGCAGCATTTCTCCCAGCACAGTGTTGGAGCTCTGATAAGGGACAGACTGCCTTCTTAAGTGGCTGGTGATCCCCATGTAGCCTGACTGGGAGACACCTCCAAGTACAGGCTGATAGACATCTCATACAGGAGAGGCCTGGCTGGCACCTGTCAGGTGCCCCTCTGGGACAAAGCTTGCAGAGGAAGAAAAAGGCAGCAATCTTTGCTGGTCTGCAGACTCCACTGGTCCAGTGAACCTCCAGCAAACTCCAGAAGACCTGCAGTAGAGGGGCCTGACTGTTGGAAGAAAAAGTAAGAAACAGAAAGGAATAGTGCTAACGTCCACAAAAAATCACGTCCACTTAGAGACCACATCTGAAGATCACCAACATCAAAGACCAAAGATAAATAAGTCTGCAAAGATGGGGAGAAACCAGTGCAAAAAGACTGAAAAGTCCCAAAACCAGAATGTTTCTTCTCCTCCAAGGGAACAGAACTCCTTTCCAGCATGGGAACAAAACTGGATGGAGAATGAATTGGACGACTGTCAGAAGTAGGCTTCAGAAAGTGAGTAACAAAAAACTCCTTCCAGATATAGAGGTTGTTTTAACCCATTGCAAGGAAGCTAAGAACCTTAAAAAAAGTTAGATGAATTGCTAACTAGAATAACCAGTTTAGAGAAGAACATAAATGATCTGATGGAGATGAAAAACAAAGCACAAGAACTTCAAGAAGCATACACAAGTATCAATAGCTGAATCAATCAAGCAGAAGAGATGACATCAGATATTGAAGATCAACTCAATGAAATAAAGCAAGAAGACAAAATTAGACAAAAAAGAATGAAATCAGATGAGCAAAACCTCCAAGAAATATGGCAATATGTGAAAAGACCAAACCTACATTTGATTGGTGTACCTGAAGGTGACGAGGAGAATGGAACTAAGTTGCAAAACTCTCTTATAGATATTACCCAGGAAAGCTTCCCCAACCCAGCAAGGGAGGCCAACATCAAATTCAGAAAATGCAGAGAACAACAAAAATATATTCCTCAAGAAGAGCAACCTCAAGACACATAATTGTCAGATTCACCAATGTTGATGGAAATGAAGAAAAAAATTTTAAGGGCAGCCAGAGAGAAAGGTTGGGTTACCCACAAAGGGAAGGACATCAGACTACAGTGGTTCTTATGGCAGAAACGCTACAAACCAGAAAAGAGTGGGCAGCCCGCATTCAACATTCTTATAGAAAATAATTTTCGGCCAGGCGCGGTGGCTCACGCATGTAATCCCAGCACTTTAGGAGGCCGAGATGGGTGGACCACCTGAGATAGGGAGTTCAAGACTTGCCTGGCCAGCATAGTGAAACCTGTCTCTACTAAAAATACAAAAATCAGCCAGGCGTGGTGGTGTGCACCTTTAATCTCAGCTACTCAGGTGGCTGAGGCAGGAGAATTGCTTGAACCCTGGAGGCTGCGGTTGCAGTGAGCCAAGATCATGCCATTGCATTCCAGCCTGCATGACAGGACAAGACTTGTCTCGGGAAAAAAAAAAAAAAAAAAAAAAGGAATGAAAATAATTTTCAACCCAGAATTTCTTTTTTTTATTATTATACTTTAAGTTTTAGGGTACGTGTGCACAAGGTGCAGGTTAGTTACATATGTATACATGTGCCATGTTGTTGGGCTGCACCCAGTAACTCATCATTTAATATTAGGTATATCTCCAAGTGCTATCCCTCCCCTCTCCCCCAACCCCACAGCAGGCCCCAGTGTGTGATGTTCCCCTTCCTGGGTCCATGTGTTCTCATTGTTCAATTCCTACCTGTGAGTGAGAACATGCAGTGTTTGGTTTTTTGTCCTTGTGATAGTTTGCTGAGAATGATGGTTTCCAGATTCATCCATGTCCCTACAAAGGACATGAACTCATCATTGTTTATGGCTGCATAGTATTCCGTGGTGTATGTGTGCCACATTTTCTTAATCAAGTCTATTATTGTTGGACATTTGTGTTGGTTCCAAGTCTTTGCTATTGTGAATAGTGTCATATCCAGTCAAATTAAGCTCCATAAGTGAAGGAGAAATAAAATCCTTTCCAACATGCAAATGCTGAGAGATTTTGTCACCAGGCCTGCCTTAAAAGAGCTCTTGAAGGAAGCACTAAACATGAAAAAGAACAAATGGTACCACCCACTGCAAAAACATACCACGTTGTAAAGACCATCAAGGCTGTGAAGAAACTGCCTCAACTAATGGACAAAATAATCAGATAACATTATAATGTCAAGATCAAATTCATACATAACAATATTAACCTTGAATGTAAATAGGCTACATGCCCCAACTAAAAGAGAAATCAGATAAAGAGTCAAGAACCATCCGTGTGCTGTATTTAGGTGACCCGTCTCATGTGCAAAGAAACACATAGGTTCACAATAAAAAGATGAAGGAAGATTTACCAAACAAACAGAAAGCAATGTAAAACATGGGTTGCAATCCTAGTCTCTGATAAAACAGACTTTAAACCAACAAAGATCAAAAGAGACAAAGAAAAGCACCACATAATGGTAAAGGGATCAATGAAACAAGAAGAGCTAACTATCCTAAATATATATGCACCCAATACAGGAGCACCCAAATTCATAAAGCAAGTTCTTAGAGACCTACAAGGAGCTTGGACTCCCATAAAAGACTTTAACAACCCGCTGTCAATATTAGACACATCAACGCAAAAGAGAATTAAAAAGGATACCAAGGACTTGAACTCAGCTCTGGATCAAGCAGACCTAATAAACATCTACAGAAGTCTCCACCAAAAGTCAACAGAATATACATTCTTCTCAGCAACACATCACACTTATTCTAAAATGGACCACATAATTCGAAGGAAAACACTCCACAGCAAAGGCAAAATAAATGAATTTATCACAAACTGTCTCTCAGACCACAGTGCAATTAAAGTAGAACTCAAAGTGAGTCCATCTTGAGATAATTTTTGTATAAGGTGTAAGGAAGGGGATTAAGTAGGATTAAGAAACTCACTCAAAACTGCACGATTACATGGAAACTGAACAACCTGATCCTGAATAACTACTGGGTAAATAACAAAATTAAGGCAGAAATAAAGATGTTCTTGGAAATCAATGAGAAAAAAAGACCAAATATTCAAGAATCTCTGGGTCACATTTAAAGCAGTATAGAGAGGGAAAATTATAGCACTAAATACCCACAAGAGAAAGCAAGAAAGATCTAAAATCAACATACTAACATCATGATTAAAAGAACTAGAGAAGCAAGAGCAAACAAATTCAAAAGCTAGCAGAAGACAAGAAGTAAATAAGATCAGAGCAGAACTGAAGGAGACGGAGACATGAAAAACCCCTCAAAAAATCAAGGAATGCAGGAGCTTGTTTTTTCAAAAAGATCAACCAAATAGACTGCTAGCCAGACTAATAAAGAAGAAAAGAGAGAAGTATCAAATAGACACAATAAAAAATGATAAAGAGCTATCCCATAGAAATACTAATGCTGAACCCACAGAAATACAAACTACCATCAGAGAATACTATAAACACGTTTATGCAAATAAACTAGAAAATCTAGAAGAAATGGATAAATTCCTGGACACATATACCCCCCCAAGTCTAAACCAGGAAGACGTCAACTCTCTGAATAGACCAATAACAAGTTCTGAAATTGAGATACTAGTTAATACCCTACCAACCAAAAGAAGTCCAGGACCAGAGAGATTAACAGGTGAATTCTACCAGTGGTACAAAGAGGAGATCCTACTATTTCTTCTGAAACTACTCCAAACAATAGAAAAAGAGTGACTCCTCCCTAACTCATTTTATGAGGCCAGTATCTTCCTGAAAACAAAACATTGCAGAGACACAACAAAAAAATAAAATTTCAGGCTAATATCCCTGATGAACATCAATACGAATATCCTTAATAAAATACTGGCGAACCAAATCCAGCAGTTCATCAAAACTCTTATCCAACGTGATCAAGTCAGCTTCATCCCTGGGATGCAAAGCTCGTACAATATATGCAAGTCAATCAATGTAATCCATCACATAAACAGAACTAATGGCAAAAGCCACATGATTATCTCAATAGATGCAAAAAAAGCCTTCGACGAAATTTAAGGGCCTTCATGCTGAAAACTCTCAATAAACTAGGTATTGGTGGAACGTATCTAAAAGTAATAAGAGCTATTTATGACAAACCCACAGCCCATATCATACTGAATGAGCAAAAACTGGAAGCATTCCTTTTGAAAAGTGGCACAAGACAAGGATGCTCTCTCTCACCACTTCTATTCAACACAGCATTGGAAGTTCTGGCCAGGACAATCAGGCAAGAGAAAGAAAGAAAGTGTATACTATCAGGAAGAGAGGAGTCAAATTATCTCTGTTCTCAAATGACATGATTGTATATTTAGAAAACCCCATCATCTCAGCCCCATTCTCCTTAAGCTGATACACAATTTCAGCAAAGTCTCAGAATACAAAATCAATGTGCAAAAACCACAAGCATTCCTGTACACCGGTAACAGACAGTGAGCTAAATCATGAGTCAACTCCCATTCACAATTGCTAAAAGAGAATAAAATACCTAGGAATACAACTTACAAGTGATGTGAAGGACCTCTTCAAGGAGAACTATAAACCACTGCTAAAGAAAATAAGAGAGGGCACAAGTAAATGGAAAAACTTTCCACACTCATGGATAGAAAGAATACGATGAAATTGGCCATACTGCCTGAAGTAATTTATAGATTTGATACTATGCCCATCAAGCTATCATTGACTTTCTTCACAAAATTGGAAAAAAAATATGCTTTAAATTTCACATGGAACCAAAAAAAGAACCCGGATAGCTAAGACAATCCTAAGCAAAAAGAACAAAGCTGGAGGCATCATGCTACCTGACTTTAACCTGTACTACAATGCTACAGTAACCAAAACAGCATGGTACTGGTACCATAACAGATATATAGTCCAATGTAACAGAACAGACGTCTCAGAAATAACACCACACAACTACATCCATCTGATTTTTGACAAACCAGACAAAAACAAACCATGGGAAAAGGATTCCCTATTTAATAAATGGTATTGGGAAAAGTGTGTAGCTATATGCAGAAAAGAGAAACTAGATCCCTTCCTTAAACCTTATACAAAAATTATCTCAAGATGGACTCAAGCCTTAAATATGAGAACTAAAACCATAAAAACCCTAGAAGAAAACCTAGGCAATAATATTCAGGACATAGACATGGGCAAAGACTTCATGACTAAAACACCAAAAGCAATTGCAATAAAAGCCAAATGGTCAAATGGGATCTAATTAAACTAGAGAGCTTCTGCACAGCAAAAGAAACTATCATCAGAGTGATCAGGCAAGCTACAGAATGGGAGACAATTTTTGCCATCTATCCATCTGACAAAGTGCTAATATGCAGAATCTACAAAGAACTTAAACAAATATACAAGAAAAAACAACCCTATCAAAAAGTGGACGAAGGATATGAACAGGCACTTCTCAAAAGAAAACATGTATGTGTCCAACAAACCTATGAAAAGATGCTCATCATCACTGGACATTAGAGAAATGCAAATCAAAACCACAATGAGATACCATCTCACACCAGTTAGAATGGCGATCATTAAACAGTCAGGAAACAACAGATGCTGTAGAGGATGTGAAGAAATAAGCACGGTTTTACACTGTTGGTGGGAGCGTAAATTAGTTCAACCATTGTGAAGACAGTGTGACAATTCCTCAAGGATTTAGGACCAGAAATACCATTTGACCCATGTGGGCAGCAAGTCACCCAGGTGCCGAGGCAAGAGACCGAGGGCACGAGCTGTTCCAGTGTAATAAAATATATAAAATAACAGGAGTTATGCTAGATCTATATCATAGATATGATTATATATAAATATCATTAATCATTAGTTTGTAATAATTACCTTTATTCCAATATTATAATAATCCTCGCTCTATAATTATAACCTAAAAAAAAAAAAACAGGCCTACAGAGATAGGAGCTGAGGGTACATGGTGAGAAGTGACCAGAAGACAAGAGTGCAAGCCTTCTATTAGGCCTAGATAGGGCCACCAGAGTGCTCCTTGGTCTAGTGGTAACTCCCCCTTTTCCAGGGGAGTTTAGAGAAGACTCTGCTCCACCACCTCTTGTGGAGGTCCTGACATCAGTCAGGCCCACCTGCAGCTACCCGGAGGCTGTGCATCAGCAGTCGTGCTCCTGGTCCGCTTTCATGTTCCATCCTGTACACCTGGCTCTGCCTTCTACATAGCAGTAGCAGAATTAGTGAAAGTATTCAAAGTCTCTGAAATGCAGAAATAATGGCATAAGCTGTCTCTCCTCTCTCTCTCTGCCTCAGCTGCCAAACTGGGAAGGGTCCCTGTCTGGTGGACATATGACTCACGTGACCTTATCAATCATTGGAGATGACTCACACTCCTTACCCTGCCCCTTTTGCTTTGTATGCAATACATAAAAGTGCAGCCAGGCATTCAGGGCCACTACTGATCTCCACGTCTTGGTGGTAGTTGTCCCACGGGCCCAGCTGTCTTTTCTTTTATCTCTTTGTCTTGTGTCTTTATTTCTATGATCTCTCACCTCTGTATACAGGGAGAAAAGCCCACAGGCCCTGTAGGGCTGTCCCCTACAGACCCAGCAATCCTCTTACTGGATATATACTCAGAGGGTTATAAATCATGCTGCTAGAAAGACACATGCACACATATGTTTATTGTGGCACTGTTCACAATAGAAAAGAACTAGCAAGTAACCCAAATGCCCATCAATGATATACTGGATAATGAAAATATGGCACATATACACCATGGAATACTATGCAGCCATAAATAGCAATGAGTTCATGTCCTTTGCAGGGACACGGATGAAGCTGGAAACCAAAATTCTCAGCAAACTAATACAAGAGCAGAAAACTAAACACCCATGTTCTCACTCATCAGTGAGAGTTGAGAAATGAGAACACATTGAAACAGGGAGGGGAACATCATATACTGGGGCCTCTCTAGGCTTGGGGAGAGGGATAGCATTAGGAGAAATATCTAATGTAGGTGACAGGTTAATGGGTGCGGCAAACCACCATAGCATATGTATACCTATGTAACAAACATGCACATTTACCCCAGATAGTAAAGTATAATTTCAAAAAAGTGGTACATATACACCATGAAATGCTATGCAACAATTTAAAAGAGAAAAATCATGCTATTTGCGGCAACATTGATGTCCCTGGAGGCCATTATCCTAAGCAAATTAATGAAACAACAGAAAACCAAATACCACATATGAAACCCTTAAGTGGGAGCTAAGCATTAAATCATCAAGAAATAAAGATGAGAACAATAGACACTTAGGACTGCTAAAGGAGAGAGGGTAGAGGGGTACAAGGGCTGATAATTAATTTTGGAGTGCTATGCTCCCTACCTGGGTGACAGAATTATTTGTACTCCAAACCTCAATGTCACATAATATACCCAGGTAACATACTTCTACATGGACCTCTTGAACCTAAAATAAATTTGAAATTTTTTTTAAAAAAGAGAATAAAAGCATACTGAGAAAAAGAAAATAGTAAAAGATATAATACAATAAAACACACAGCAACAACTTTCATGAAGCCAAAACTACAAGAGATGTAAAATGTCAGATAGAAACAAAAGATGAGAACTGCACTGGGTATGAGACAGATAAAACAAAAAATTAGACAAAAGACCCACGATGTAATCAATAAGATAGATTGTGCTTGTGTGCACAAATGTTGTACTTTATACTATATTTTCTCAATAGACAGAACAAACTCCTTACAAAGTCCTGATGGAAAAACAGATTTAATACTAAGTGGCAAAAAAAAAAATTCAAACAATACCCCTCTCATCACAAAAATATAATTGGAAATTATTAATTAAAACAGGAAAGAAAATTGCAGCTGGAATTATGAGATTCTTGCTGTATTAGCCTGTGTCACTATGAAAGAATAACTGATGCTGGGTAATTTCGTCAGGCTATACAAACATGGCACCATCATATGCTCAGCTTCTGATGAGGCCTAAGGAAGCTTACTATTATGATAGAAGTAGGAGGGAGAGCAGACACACTTCATGAGCTGAGTGAGAGAGAAAGGTAACAGGTGCCAGCTGGTTTTAAACAACTAGCTTTAATAGTAACTCATGCTCATGGGGAAAGCACCAAGCCATTCATGAGGAATTCATCCCTTTAATATAAACACTTCCACAAGGAGTAACTTCCAACTTGGGGATCACATTTGAACACGCAATTTGGAAGGACACACATCCGAATCACATCACCTGCATTTGTGTAAATTTTAACAAATAACCAATAAAATTGGTTGCCTGTGGAGAAGAGGTGGGAATGGAGTGGAAGATATGGGCACAGTATGTCAAGAGGGAATTACAGGACCCAACCAGTAAAGGAATAGCCTTAACTGAAGAAACAGGAAAGAAAATTGCACACCTGGATAAACATTATGGGTTGAATTTTGTATTTTTGTTGTACTTTTGAAATTTTTATGTTGAAGTCTTAAACACTAGTACATCCAAAAGTGGTCTTAATTGTAATTCGGGTTGTTGTTGGTGTAATTAGTTACCGATTTATGCCTAGTGTTCCATTGTTGGAATGCTAAGCTTGTGGGAGTTATTTAAATCCAACTGCATGAGGTCATTGAAAAGGTCTGATTTTCACACACAAAAAGTTTGGAATCTCAAGCTTAAATGGGTTAAGAGGAAGTCTTCCTGGAGTGAGATGGATTCCTAATCCAGTATGACTGGTGCTGGTGTCCTGATAGAAATGGAAATTTGTACACAGAAACACATACACATAAGAAGAGGACTAGGGTTATGTTGCCACAAACCAAATAATTAGCACAAACTTGGAGGCAGAGGTAGGAACATATTTCCTAGTCCCTTCAGAGAGAGAGAGCATGGCCCTTTGACCCCTTGATTTCAGACTTTTGGCCTTCAGAACTGTCAGAATATGAACTTCTGTTGTTTAAGCTGCCTAGTCTGCAGTACTTTGTCATGATAGCCCTAGCAAACTATTACAAGTTTGGGTCATTTGGACACTTACAAAAGAAACTTTACATAGGTATTATACATTTAAAACTGCATTTTCCCCAGGAAGCTTTTCAATGGGATGTTCTCTGTCTTCATCAGGGATTTTTAGCCAACAGTTGAAAGCCACTGGAATAAGCAGATGGAATCTGTCAACCTAAGGTTTTTCAGCCTCAGAAGATTGACATGTGAGGGTTGCATCATTATTGTGGGGTTGCACTGTGAAATGTAGCATGTTGAGAAACATTCCTGATCTTAACCAAATAGATTCCAATTCCAATAGATGTGACAATGAAAAATGTCACATAGAACTAAAACGTCGAAGAAAGGATACTAGAAGCAGGGAAGGGTAGGGGGAAAAGGACATAGGGAAAAATTTGTTGAAGTACACAAAATTACAGCTACATAGGAGGAATAAGTTGTACTTTCTATACTACTGCAGGATGACTACAGATATTGAATGTTCCCAACACAAAGAAATGGTACATGTTTGAGACGATGTAGGTATGCTAACAACCCCAATGGGATCACTATACATTGTACGTATCAGAACATCACTGTGCCATGTGAATATATACAATTATTATATCTAAATTGAAAATTAATTTAAAATTTTTAAAAATGTTATTTAAATGTCTCTAGAGTTTGTTACACTTGCAGGAAGCAAAATCACCTCAGGGTGAAATGACTGCTCTATGGAATTATGCTCAGGCATAATTTTGAGACAGGGTCTCACTCTCTTACTAAGGTTGGAGTGCAGTGGTGTGAACTTGGCTCACTGAAGCCTCCACCTCTCAGGTTCCTCCCACTGCAGCCTCCCGAGTAGAGTACCTGGGATTACAGGTACACATTACCACCGGCTAATTTTTTGAATTTTTCATAGAGATGAGGTCTTGCCATGTTGCCAGTCTGCTTTCAAACTCCTAGGCTCAAGCAATCCTCCTGCCTCAGCCTCCCTAAGTTCTGGGATTATAGGTATGAGTCACCATACCATCCTGTGTTTTCCTTTCTTTTTAATATGTACAAGCTGATTCTTGGTAGACTTTCAGAGTGAGAGAAATCTCTGGTTGCTTCAGTGGGCTTTGCATAACCACCCTTTGCTTCTCATAGGCCTGATGTAGTTATTTGAGGACCATCTATTTACTGCATTTCTACATTTTATTTCATGTCTTCCTATATTATAGTAACATTTTTACAAATTTAAAATATATTATTGTTTTAATTTGTATAAATGTACAGTGTACAAGCTCAATTTTGTTACATGAACATGTTGCATAGTTGTAAGTCAGGGCTTCCAATTTACCGATCACCTGAATAGTGTACATGATATCCATTAAGTAATTTTTCATCTCCCCCCCTCTCTCAGCCTCCCACCTTCCAAGTGTCCAATATCTATTATTCTACTCCCTATGTCCATTGTGGACATTACTTAGCTACCGCTTCTAAGTGAGAATATGTAGATTTGTCTTTCTGTTTTTGAGTTGTTTTCCTTAGGTTATTTACCCATGATAAAATATTTTTAAAACAAGACTACTGTATTAGTCTGTTCTCACACTGTTAATAAAGACACACCCAAGACTGGGTAATTTACAAAGGCAATAAGTTTAATAGACTCACAGTTCCAGATGGATGGGGAGGCCTCACAATCATGGCAGAATGTGAATGAAGAGCAAGGTCATGTCTTTCATGGCTTCAGGCAAGAGAGCTTGTGCTGTCTTAAAAGGTAACTTCCCCTTATAAAACCATCAGATCTCATGAGACTTAATCACTATCAGGATAAGAGCATGTGAAAGACCTGCCTCCATGATTCATTTATC
The DNA here is from genome assembly GCF_000001405.40 of Homo sapiens. Lineage (NCBI taxonomy): Eukaryota > Metazoa > Chordata > Mammalia > Primates > Hominidae > Homo > Homo sapiens. The sequence goes on from NC_000024.10 coordinate 15,143,057, forward strand.
TCCCACCAGGACCCTACCATGACACAATGAAATTATGGGAACTACAATGCAAGATGAAATTTGGGTAGGGACACAGCCAAGCTATATCAACTACTTATTAGTCAATTTGGTCAACCAATGAGCAAGAAAATAACCCTTTATTTTTTAATTTTTTTAATTTTTTATTTTTTTTAGAGGAGTCTCGCTCTGTCACTCAGGCTGAAGTACAGCGGCTTGATCTCAGCTGACCGCAACTTCTGCCACATGGGTTCAGGCGATTCTCCTGCCTCACCCTCCTGAGTAGCTGGGATTACAGGTGTAATCCAGCTAATTTTTGTATTTTTAGTATGCCAGGTCCATCCCGTAGATCCTGGCAAAGAAACGCACTAAAGGAGTACTCAGTGAAAGAGCAGCCAAGGGACTCCCAAAGAGTGAGCAGTTTCGATAAGCTGGAACTGCTGGAGCTGCTAGTTTTTATTTAGTACAGACATGATGCTGAAAGCCTGAAGCCAACACAATCTGTGGGTAATTAACATTATTGTTCCCCCTTTCTGGGAGTAGTCTCATGTGAGGATGATCAAAGATTGATTCCTGGTTAACATAAGTAAACAAGCCTCTTTATGCTAAGTTCTCCTATATTTTCTTGTACCTATTCCTCACCCGTCTGCTTCAGGTAAGAGAAAAGCTGCCTTCACCTTACTCTTCCCTGAAGCTGTGCAGAGCCTTCTGACCATTCAGAAGGCCTGCTAATTTCTCTGTAGTGTCTCCCACCACTCTGACCAATCCCCCATATTAGTAGAGGCAGGGTTTCATCACGTTGGTCATTCTGCTCTGGAATTCCTGACCTCATGTTCTGCCTGCCTCAGCCTCCCAAAGTGCTGGGATTACAGGCATGAGCCACCATGCCTGGCCAAAAATAACCATTTTTAAAAACGTGTAGTAACTAGTTGATATACACTTCACCATCATGTTAACTTCAAAGGCTTGCATAACTTAAATGATTTGAATTAAGTAGGGTTTTTAATTAAATGTTATCTAAAATGACTCTATCATGGTAATTTACTTTGCTTGAGAAAATATCAATAATATCAGATGTAGTATCTATGGGAAACTGTCATTCTCTGGTTCTCTATGTGGTTTTTCTTCACTCATTTACTTTCTACGTGACATATTTGTGAGACTCACAGTCAAAAAGAGATCCCTTCAGTTTGATAGTAATTTGTGACTTACAGGGTTTATTTTACTAAAGAACTCGTTTCAAAATTCTATTTAAGAAGTTTGTCCTTCCATGTCAAACACTGTTCCAAATGGAGGCATATAATCTCCACCAAATAATAATTGAACTATTTAAGGCATCCCTTTCATCATGCTTTTTTCCTTTCGATTTTCGTTAATTTGATGGTAAGCTATACTACCTATGAAGAGGCACAGGACATCACACCCAGCTTTTTGTTTTTATATATGCAGTTGGGAGTACAGGGAGATAGGGAGTAGAATGATAGACATTGGACACTTGGAAGGGTGAGAGGCTGGGAGGTGTGGGAGGTTGAAAAATTACTTAATGGGTACAATGTACACTGTTCAGGTGATGGGCACACTGGAAGTCCTGACTTCACAACTATGCCACATGTCCATGTAACAAAATTGATTTTGTACCCCGTACATTTATACAAATAAAAACAGAAACGTTTTAAATATTGTTTAAAAAGTTACTTTAAGTACTAAAGTCTCAGTTTCCCTTGACGCTAAAAGCATACAATGCTTCTGTAATTAATAATGCTTTTATTCTTCCATCAGTTTTATAAAGATGAAGTCATCCATGGGTGTCCTATTTTCACGTTGTTCCCACAGATCCTTTTGTCTGTTATAAAGTAGAGATAAATACCAGCATCAAAAACTTAAGGAAAAATGGAGGTGTTTACTTGTAGATAGATAGCTCTTTTTTTTTTTTTTGCATTTCTGTGAAAATCAAGTGAAAAACTACCAAGTTATAAATTAGTTTTCCAACCTGTTTCATCAGTACAAACAATCTGTGAAATTTCTAAGGGAAAGTCAACTTTCTCACATACAACCACATATCTCAAAACTATAGAGCATTGTCTTGTTTTCTTTTCTTTCATCCAAAAATTTACTACGTGGATATGATCACCTAATTGCTGATATTTGATTGCTCTAAACCAAGACCGTAAGTTGTTTAAAAAGGTGGTTATGTTAATATGTTTTGATTATTTTCATTCAATTGTTTTAACTGGTCTAATTACCCATATTAATCAAATGGTACATTTCAAATCTAACTTATTAGAAAATATGGATTCCTTAAGAAAAATCAATTATATAGGAGGTCACAAAGTTATGGATTTCTTAAGTAAAATTAGTTATCTAGAAGGTCACTTTCATAGGAAATATATGTATATTTTAAAGATACTGGTGTAAATGTCAGATATGAATTGAACTTATTTCTTTACAACTAATTGGTATGTGTCAAAAAAATCTTTACAAATCTTCATAATAGTAATGGAAGCAAAAAAATATATATTTTCATTTTGTTTTTTACTTTCTTTAATTTATGTCATTTATATCAGTAGTCCAATTTATTTTAGGACCTGGGAACACAAATTTATATTTCTTTTTAAACTGAATGCAATAACAAGATAAATATGATTACATATTTCTTCCAGAAGAAATCTCACATAAAACTCTAATTTCAATTTATAGCATTTTCAACCACATACTTCATTAATACTACACTACAGACCAGCATTTGCAAAAATAAAAGCTGGTTATAAGAAAAAAAAAGTTATTGTGGATTTTACATAACCATTAGGGTCATTAAGAATGACAGATAGGATTTTTGCCTCAATGTTCATCAAGGATATTTGTCTAAAATTCTCTTTTTTGGTTGTGTCTCTACCCAGCTTTGGTATCAGGATGATTCTGGCCTCATAACATGAGTTACGGAGGATTCCCTCTTTTTCTATTGATTGGAATATTTTCAGAAGGAATGGTACCAGTTCCTCCTTGTACCTCTGGTAGAATTCAGCTGTGAATCCATCTGGTACTGGACTCTTTTTGGTTGGTAAGCTATTGATTATTGTCACAATTCAGAGACTGTTATTGGTCTATTCAGAGATTCAAATTCTTCCTGGCTAGTGTTGGGAGAGTGTATGTGTCAAGGAATTTATCCATTTCTTCTAGATTTTCTAGTTTATTTGTGTAGAACTGTTTGTAGTATTCTCTGATGGTAGTTTGTATTTCTGTGGGATTGGTGGTGATATCCCCTTTATCATTTTTTATTGCATCTATTTGATTCTTCTATCTTTTTTTCTTTATTAGTCTTGCTAGCAGTCTATCAATTTTGTTGATCCTTTCAAAAAACCAGCTCCTGGATTCATTAATTTTTTGAAGGGTTTTTTGTGTCTCCATTTCCTTCAGTTCTGCTCTGATTTTAGTTATTTTTTGCCTTCTGCTAGCTTTTGAATGTGTTTGCTCTAGCTTTTGTAGTTCTTTTAATTGTAATGTTAGGGTGTCAATTTTGGATCTTTTCTGCTTTGTCTTGTGGGAATTTAGTGCTATGAATTTCCCTCTACAAACTACTTTGATTGTGTCCCAGAGATTCTGGTATGTTGTGTCTTTGTTCTCATTGGTTTCAAAGAACATCTTTATTTCTGCCTTCATTTCGTTATGTAACCAGTAGTCATTCAGGAGCAGGTTGTTCAGTTTCCATGTAGTTGAGCAGTTTTGAGTGAGTTTCTTAATCCTGAATTCTAGTTTGATTGCACTGTGGTCTGAGAGATAGTTTGTTATAATTTCTCTTCTTTTACATTTGCTGAGGAGAGCTTTATTTCCAACAATGTGGTCAATTTTGGAATAGGTGTGGTGTGGTGCTGAAAAAAATGTATATTCTGTTGATTTGGAGTGGAGAGTTCTGTAGATGTCTATTAGGTCCGCTTGGTGCAGAGCTGAATTCAATTCCTGTGTATCCTTTTTAACTTTCTGTCTCACTGATCTGTCTAATGTTGACAATGGGGTGTTAAAGTCTCCCATTATTATTGTGTGGGAGTCTAAGTCTCTTTGTAGGTCACTCAGGACTTGCTTTATGAATCTGGGTGCTCCTGTATTGGGTGCATATATATTTAGGATAGTTAGCTCTTCTTGTTGAATTGATCCTTTACCATTCTGTAATGGCCTTCTTTGTCTCTTTTGATCTTTGTTGGTTTAAAGTCTGTTTTATCAGAGACTAGGATTGCAACCCCTGCCTTTTTTGGTTTTCTATTTGCTTGGTAGATCTTCCTCCATCCTTTTATTTTGAGCCTATGTGTGTCTCTGCATGTGAGATGGGTTTCCTGAACATAACACACAGATGGGTCTTGTCTCTTTATCTAATTTGCCAGTCTGTGTCTTTTAATTGGAGCATTAAGTCCATTTACATTTAAAGTTAATATTGTTATGTGTGAATTTGAACCTGTCATTATGATGTTAGCTGGTTATTTTGCGTGTTAGTTGATGCCGTTTCTTCCTAGTCTCGATGGTCTTCACATTTTGGCATGATTTTGCAGCAGCTGGTACCAGTTGTTCCTTTCCATGCTTAGTGCTTTCTTCAGGAGCTCTTTTAGGGCAGGCCTGGTGGTGACAAAATCTCTCAGCATTTGCTTGTCTGTAAAGTATTTTATTTCTCCTTCACTTATGAAGCTTAGTTTGGCTGGATATGAAATTCAGGGTTGAAAATTATTCTCTTTAAGAATGTTGAATATTGGCCCCCACTCTCTTCCGGCTTGTAGAATTTCTGCCGTGAGATTCGCCGTTAGTCTGATGCGCTTCCCTTTGTGGGTAACCCGACCTGTCTGTCTGGCTGCCCTTAACACTTTTTCCTTCATTTCAACTTTGGTGAATCTGACAATTATGTGTCTTGGAGTTGCTCTTCTCGAGGAGTATCTTTGTGGCATTCTCTGTATTTCCTGAATCTGAATGTTGGCCTGCCTTGCTAGATTGGGGAAGTTCTCCTGGATAATATCCTGCAGAGTGTTTTCCAACTTGGTTCCATTCTCCTTGTCACTTTCAGGTATGTCAATGAGATGTAGATTTGGTCTTTTCACATAGTCCCATATTTCTTGGAAGCTTTGTTTGTTTCTTTTTATTCTTTTTTCTCTAAACTTCCCTTCTTGCTTCATTTCATTCATTTCATCTTCCATCACTGATACCCTTTCTTCCAGTTGATCGCATCGGCTCCTGAGGCTTCTGAATTCTTCACATAGTTCTCGTGGTTTGGCTTTCAGCTCCATCAGCTCCTTTAAGCCCTTCTCTGTATTGGTTATTCTAGTTATACATTCGTCTATATTTTTTTCAAAGTTTTTCACTTCCTTGCCTTTGGTTTGAATTTCCACCTGTAGCTCATAGTTTGATCGTCTGAAGCCTTCTTCTCTCAACTCGTCAAAGTCATTCTCTGTCCAGCTTTGTTCCATTGCTGGTGAGGAACTGCAATCCTTTGAAAGAGGAAAAGTGCTCTGCTTTTTAGAGTTTCCAGTTTTTCTGCTCTGTTTTTTCCCTATCTTTGTGGTTTTGTCTACTTTTGGTCTTTGATGATGGTGAGGTACAGATGGGTTTTTGGTGTGGATGTCCTTTCTCTTTGTTAGTTTTCCTTCTAACAGACAGGACCCTCAGCTGCAGATCTGTTGGAGTTTGCTAGAGGTCCACTCCAGACCCTGTTTACCTGGGTATCAGCAGTGGTGTCTGCAGAACAGTGGTTTATTGTGAACCACGAATGCTGCTGAATGATCATTCCTCTGGAAGTTTTGTCTCAGAGGTGTACGCGGCCGTGTACATTGTCAGTCTGCACCTACTGGGGTGTGCCTCAAAAATCTTCAATAAAATACTGACAAGCTGAGTCCAGCAGCACATCAAAAAGCTTATCCACCATGATCAAGTGGGCTTCATCCCTGGGATGCAAGACGGGTTCAGTATACGCAAATCAATAAATGTAATCCAGCATAAAAAGAGAACCAAAGACAAAAACCACATGATTATCTGAATAGATGCAGAAAAGGCCTTTGACAAATTCAACAACCTTCATGCTAAAAACTCTCCATAAGTAGGTATTGATAGGATGTATCTCAAAATAATAACAGCTACCTATGACAAATCCACAGCCAATGTCATACTGAATGGACAAACTGGAAGCATTCCCTTTGAAATCTGGCACAAGACAGGTATGCCCTCTCTCACCACTCCTATTCAACATAGTGTTGGAAGTTCTGGCCAGGGCAATTAGGCAGGAGAAGGAAATCAAGGGTACTCAATTAGTAAAAGAGGAAGTCAAATTGACCCTGTTTGCAGATGACATGATTGTATATCTAGAAAACCCCATTGACTCAGCCCAAAATCTCCTTAAGCTGATAAGCAACTTCAGCAAAGTCTCAGGATACAAAATCAATGTGCAAAAATCACAAGCATTCTTAAACACCAATAACAGTCAAACAGAGAGCCAAATCGTGAGTGAACTCCCATTCACAATTGCTTCAAAGAGAATAAAATACCTAGGAATCCAACTTACAATGGACGTGAAGGATCTCTTCAAGGAGAACTACAAACCACTGCTCAATGAAATTAAAGAGGATACAAAGAAATGGAAGAACATTCCATGCTCATGGGTAGGAAGAGTCAATATCATGAAAATGGCCATACTGCCAAAGGTAATTTATAGATTCAATGCCATCCCATTCAAGCTACCAATGACTTTCTTCACAGAATTGGAAAAAACTTCTTTAAAGTTCATATGGAACCAAAAAAGAGCCCTCATCACCAAGTCAATCTTAAGGCAAAAGACCAAAGCTGGAGGCATCATGCTACCTGCCTTCAAACTATACTACAAAGCTACAGTAACCAAAACAGCATGGTACTGGTACCAAAACAGAGATATAGATCAATAGAACAGAATAGAGCCCTCAGAAATAACGCTGCAAATCTACAACTATCTGCTCTTTGACAAACCTGAGAAAAACAAGCAATGGGGAAAGGATTCCCTATTTAATAAACGGTGCTGGGAAAACTGTCAAGCCATATGTAGAAAGCTGAAACTGGATCCCTTCCTTACACCTTATACAAAAATCAATTCAAGATGGATTAAAGACTTAAATGTTAGACCTAAAGCCATAAAAACCCTAGAAGAAAACCTAGGCATTACCATTCAGGACATAGGCACGGCAAGGACTTCATGTCCAAAACACCGAAAGCAATGGCAACAAAAGCCAAAATTGACAAATGGGATCTAATTAAACTAAAGCGCTTCTGCGCAGCAAGGGAAAGTACCATCAGAGTGAACAGGTAACCCACAAAATGGGAGAAAATATTCGCAACCTACTCATCTGACAAAGGGCTAATATCCAGAATCTACAATGAACTCAAACAAATTGACAAGAAAAAAACAAACAACCCCATCAAAAAGTGGGCGAAGGACATGAACAGACACTTCTCAAAAGAAGACATTTATGCGGCCAAAAAAACACATGAAAAAATGCTCACCATCACTGCCCATCAGAGAAATGCAAATCAAAATCACAATGAGATATCATCTAACACCAATTAGAATGGTGATCATTAAAATTCAGGAAACAACAGGTGCTGGAGAGGAGTGGAGAAATAGGAACACTTTTATACTGTTGGTGGGACTGTAAACTAGTTCAACCATTGTGGAAGTCAGTATGGTGATTCCTTAGGGATCTAGAACTAGAAATACCATTTGACCCAGCCATCCCATTACTGGGTATATAACCAAAGGACTACAAATCATGCTGCTATAAAGACACATGCACACGTATTTTTATTGTGGCACTATTCTCAATAGCAAAGACTTGGAACCAACCCGAATGTCCAACAATGATAGACTGGATTAAGAAAATGTGGCACATGTACACCTTGGATTACTACACAGCCATAAAAAATGATGAGTTCATGGCCTTTGTAGGGACATGGATGAAATTGGAAATCATCATTCTCAGTAAACTATCACAAGAACAAAAAACCAAACACCGCATATTCTCTCTCATAGGTAGGAATTGAACAGTGAGAACACATGGACACAGGAAGGGGAACATCACACTCTGGGGACTGTTTTGGGGTGGGAGGAGGGGGGAGGGATAGCATTGGGAGATATACCTAGTGCTAGATGGCGAGTTAGTGGGTGCAGCGCACCAGCTTGGCACATTTATGCATATGTAACTAACCTGCACATTGTGCACATGTACCCTAAAACTTCAAGTATAATTAAAAAAAACATTAAAAATAATAATAATAAAAAAGAATGACAGGTGATCCAAAATACAACCTCCCTCAGACTAATACAAATTTATCTTATTTTAAAATACTAGTGGAGTATCATTTTGAAAACTATTTTCGTAGATTATCACATACTCTTGTAAATGCTTTCTTGTATATTATCTAGAATACTGTTTGGGCGTTATGGCTTATGCCTGAAATCACGGCACTTTGGCAGGCTGAGGTGGGAGGATTGCTTGAGTTCAAAACCAGATGGAAACATAGTGAGACCCCCGTCACAAACAACAACAAAATATATAGCTGGGTGTGATGTCCTGTGCCTCTTCATAGGTAGTATGTTTTTTTAAAAAATGGTGGGATGGGTGCAGTTGTTCTTGCCTTTAGTCCCAGCTACTCTGGAGGCTGAGGAGAGAGAATTATTTCAGCTCAGAAAGTCAAGGCAGCAGTGAGCTGTGTTTGCACCAGGGCACTCTAGCCTGCATAACAGAGTGAAATCCTGTCTCCAAAATAGAAAATAAAAATACAATTCTACCCAAGAACTGGAGCCAAGCTGGTATCATTTATAAAATATGGAATACCGTTTGTGCTTTATATACTTGGGATGTATATTACATTTTCCCCACATCTTTCTGAAGACTTCCCAGTGATCGGATGTCAAAAGTCTATTTTTTGACACTTTTATTTTCTTTGTCTTTTATGAGTCATGTTCCAGGATAAAGTGGGTTTTGGATCAAAATGAAGTTGATTCAGTGACTGGATTCATCACAAATACACTGAATTGAATTGTGCAAATTACCTAGCTTATAATAATTCGGACATGTGTAAAATTATGAGGATTTTACAAATCATATTCTGTTCCTTTTATTGAATTAAGAACAGAGATTGTTCTTAATTTATCCATGATTGTTGTAGGAATTAGAACTATTAATTGAAAAGCATCCACTAAGGTCACTGACCTTGTCCAGCCACTGATACAGGAGAAATTGTAACTATCATTGTGATTTCCATATGATTTTCCCTATAATTCCCTTTACTTATCAAAGTTAAGAACACAGTGGCTCATACCTCTCATCCCAGCATTTTGAGAGGATGAAGCAGGAAGATTGCTTGCAGCCAGAAATTCAGAAGCAGCCTGGGCAACATAGAATAGACCCTGTCTCTGTAAAAATTTTTATAATTACCAGTGCATGGTGGTGTGTACCTGTAGTCCCTGCTCCTTGGGAAGCTGAGGCAGGACAATTCTTTGAGCCCAAGAGTTTGAGGCTGCAGTGAGCTATGATCACACCACTGCACTCCAGCCTGGGTAATACACCTTGTCTCTTAATTTTTGTTTAAATTAACAAATAATTCCCAATTCAATAATGAGTTGAATTATTATATCTTCTCTGTGAATTTCTATACTTTATCCTATGTTGTAGTCACTGATGATAGCCATAAATATTTCTGGTATAAGAAAATACACATACCTCAATTTTCATGAAATTTGACCTAAAAATCTCTGCAGTTGCTTTTAAGGACTAAAGGTGATACCAATATTTTTAAAGCATGAAAGAACAAACAAAATCCATATGTAAGACACAATGCAAAAAGAAAGAAGAATAAACACTATTATCTGTGTTAGTATTATCTTAGGAGAAAATTCAATGCAGTTACCTATTTCTTATTATTATTATTATTATTATTATTATTATTATTATTATTATTATACTTTACGTTTTAGGGTACATATGCACAATATGCAGGTTAGTTACAAATGTATAAATGTGCCAAGCTGGTGTGCTGCTTCCATTAACTCGTCATTTAGCATTAGGTATATCCCTAATGCTATCCCTCCCCCATCCCCCCACCCCACAACAGTCCACAGAGTGTGATGTTCCCCTTCCTGTGTCCATGTGTTCTCATTGTTCAATTCCCACCTAAGAGTGAGAATATACGGTGTTTGGTTTTTTGTCCTTGAGATAGTTTGCTGAGAATGATGATTTCCAATTTCATCCATGTCCCTACAAAGGACATGAAGTCATAATTTTTTATGGCTGCAGAGTAATCCATGGTATATATGTGCCACATTTTCTTAATCCAGTCTATCATTGTTGGACATTCGGGTTGGTTCCAAGTCTTTGCTATTGTGAATAGTGCCGCAATAAAAATACGTGTGCATGTGTCTTTATAGCAGCATGATTTATAGTCCTTTGGGTATATACCCAGTAATGGGAGGGCCGGATCAATTGGTATTTCCAGTTCTAGATCCCTGAGGAATCGCCACACTGACTTCCACAATGGTTGAACTAGTTTACAGTCCCACCAACAGTGTAAAAGTGTTCCTATTTCTCCACATCCTCTCCAGCACCTGTTGTTTCCTGACGTTTTAATGATTGCCATTCTAACTGGTGTGAGATGATATCTCATTGTGATTTTGATTTTCATTTCTCTGATGGGCAGTGATGGTGAGCATTTTTTCATGAGTTTTTTGGCTCCATAACTGTCTTCATTTGAGAAGTGTCTGTTCATATCCTTCACCCACTTTTTGATGGGGTTGTTTGTTTTTTTCTTGTAAATTTGTTTGAGTTCATTGTAGATTCTGGATATTAGCCCTTTGTCAGATGAGTAGGTTGCAAATATTTTCTCCCATTTTGTAGTTGCCTTTTCACTCTGATGGTACTTTCTTTTGCTGTGCACAAGCTCTTTAGTTTAATTAGATCCCATTTGTCAATTTTGGCTTTTGTTGCCATTGCTTTCGGTGTTTTAGACTTGAAGTCCTTCCCCATGCCTATGTCCCGAATGGTAATGCCTAGGTTTTCTTCTAGGGTTTTTATGGTTTTAGGTCTAACATTTAAGTCTTTAATCCATCTTGAATTAATTTTTGTATAAGGTGTAAGGAAGGGATCCAGTTTCAGCTTTCTACATATCGCTAGCCAGTTTTCCCAGCACCATTTATTAAATAGGGTAAACTTTTGCCATTGTTTGTTTTTGTCAGGTTTGTCAAAGATCCGATAGTTGTAGATATGTGGTGTTATTTCTGAGGTCTCTGTTCTGTTCCATTGATCTATCTCTGTTTGGTACCAGTACCATGCTGATGCGGGCTCTTTTTTGATTCCATATGAACTTTAAAGTAGTTTTTTCCAATTCTGTGAAGAAAGTCATTGGCAGCTTGATGGGGATGGCATTGAATCTGTAAATTACCTTTGGCAGTATGGCCATTTTCACGATATTGATTCTTCCTACCCATGAGCATGGAATGTTCCTCCATTACTTTGTATCCTCTTTAATTTCATTGAGCAGTGGTTTGTAGTTCTCCTTGAAGAGGTCCTTCACGTCCCTTGTAAGTTGGATTCCTAGGTATATTATTCTCTTTGAAGCAATTATGAATGGGAGTTCACTCACGATTTGGCTCTCTGTTGGTCTGTTATTGGTGTATAAGAATGTTTGTGATTTTTGTACATTCATTTTGTATCCTGAGACTTTGCTGAAGTTGCTTATCAGCTTAAGGAGATTTTGGGCTGAGACAATGGGGTTTTCTAGAAATACAATCATGTCATCTGCAAACAGGGACAATTTGACTTCTTCTTTTCCTAATTGAATAACCTTTACTTCCTTCTCCTGCCTAATTGCCCTGGCCAGAACTTCCAACACTATGTTGAAAAGGAGTGGTGAGAGGCCGTCCCTGTCTTGTGCCAGATTTCAAAGGGAATGCTTCCAGTTTTTGCCCATTCAGTATGATATTGGCTGTGGGTTTGTCATAGATAGCTCTTATTATTTTGAGATACGTCCCATCTTTACCTACTTTATTGAGAGTTTTTAGCAGGAAGAGTTGTTGAATTTCATCAAAGGCCTTTTCTGCATCTATTAAGATAATCATGTGGTTTTTGTCTTTGGTTCTGTTTATATGCTGGATTACATTTAATGATTTGTGTATATTGAACCAGCCTTGCGTCCCAGGGATGAAGCCCACTTGATCATGTTGGATAAGCTTTTTGATGTGCTGCTGGATTCAGTTTACCAGTATTTTATTGAGGATTTTTGCATCAATGTTCATCAAGGATATTGGTCTAAAATTCTCTTTTTTGGTTGTGTCTCTGCCTGGCTTTGGTGTCAGTATGACGCTGGCCTCATAAAATGAGTTAGGGAGGATTTCCTCTTTTTCTATTGATTGGAATAGTTTCAAAAGGAATGGTACCAGTTCCTCCTTGTACCTCTGGTAGAATTCGGCTGTGAATCCATCTGGTCCTGGACTCTTTTTTGTTGTTAAGCTATTGATTACTGCCATGATTTCAGAGCCTGTTGTTGGCCCATTCAGAGATTCAACTTCTTCCTTGTTTAGTCTTGGGAGGGTGTATGTGTGGAGGAATTTATCCATTTCTTGTAGATTTTCTAGTTTATTATTCGTAGAGGTGTTTGTAGTATTCTCTGATGGTAGTTTGTATTTCTGTGGGATTGGTGGTGATATCCCCTTTATCATTTTTTATTGTGTCTATTTGATTCTTCTCTCTTTTCTCCTATATTAGTCTTGCTAGCGGTCTATCAATTTTGTTGGACCTTTCAAAAAACCAGCGCCTGGATTCATTAATTTTTTGAAGGGTTTTCTGTATCTCTAGTCCCTTCAGTTCTGCTCTGAGTTTAGTTATTTTTTGCCTTCTGCTAGCTTTTGAATGTGTTTTCTCTTGCTTTTGTAGTTCTTTTAATTGTGATGTTAGGGTGTCAATTTTGGATCTTTCCTGCTTTGTCTTGTGGGCATTTAGTGCTATAAATTTCCCTCTACACACTGCTTTGAATGTGTCCCAGAGATTCTGGTATGTTGTGTCTTTGTTCTCATTGGTTTCAAAGAACATCTTTATTTCTGCCTTCATTTCGTTATGTAACCAGTAGTCATTCAGGAGCAGGTTGTTCAGTTTCCATGTAGTTGAGTGGTTTTGAGTGAGTTTCTTAATCCTGAGTTCTAGTTTGATTGTACTGTGGTCTGAGAGACACGTTGTTATAATTTCTATTCTTTTACATTTGCTGAGGAAAGCTTTACGTCCAAGTATGTGGTCAATTTTGGAATAGGTGTGGTGTGGTGCTGAAAAGAATGTATATTCTGTTGATTTGGGGTGGAGAGTTCTGTAGATGTCTATTAGGTCCACTTGGTGCAGATCTGAGTTCAATTCCTGGGTATCCTTGTTGACTTTCTGTCTCGTTGATCTGTCTAATGTTGGCAGTGGGGTGTTAAAGTCTCCCATTATTATTGTGTGGGAGTCTAAGTCTCTTTGTAGGTCACTCAGGACTTGCTTTATGAATCTGGGTGCTCCTGTATTGGGTGCATATATATTTAGGATATTTAGCTCTTCTTGTTGAATTGATCCCCTTACCATTCTGTAATGGCCTTCTTTGTCTCTTTTGATCTTTGTTGGTTTAAAGTCTGTTTTATCAGAGACTAGGATTGCAACCCCTGCCTTTTTTGGTTTTCTATTTGCTTGGTAGATCTTCCTCCATCCTTTTATTTTGAGTCTGTGTGTGTCTCTGCACGTGAGATGGTTTTCCTGAATACAGCATACTGATGGGTCTTGACTCTTTATCCAATTTGCCAGTCTGTGTCTTTTAATTGGAGCATTTAGTCCATTTACATTTAAAGTTAATATTATTATGTGTGAATTTGAACCTGTCATTATGATGTTAGCTGGTTATTTTGCTCGTTAGTGATGCAGTTTCTTCCTAGCCTTGATGGTATTTAAAATTTGGCATGATTTTGCAGCAGCTGGTATCGGTTGTTCCTTTCCATGTTTAGTGCTTCCTTCAGGAGCTCTTTTAGGGCAGGACTGGTGGTGACAAAATCTCTCAGCATTTGCTTGTCTGTAAAGTATTTTATTTCTCCTTCACTTATGAAGCTTAGTTTGGCTGGATATGAAATTCAGGGTTGAAAGTTCTTTTTTTTAAGAATGTTGAATATTGACCCCCAATCTCTTCTGGCTTGTAGACTTTCTGCCGAGAGATCCGCTGTTAATCTGATGGGCTTCCCTTTGAGGGTAACCTGACCTGTCTGTCTGGCTGCGCTTAACATTTTTTCCTTCATTTCAACTTTAGTGAATCGGACAATTAGGTGTCTTGGAATTGCTCTTCTCGAGGAGTATCTTTGTTGTGTTCTGTGTATTTTCTGAATCTGAATGTTGGCCTGCCTTGCTAGATTCGGGAAGTTCTCCTGCATAACTTCCTGCAGAGTGTTTTCCAACTTGGTTCCATTCTCCCCGTCACTTTCAGGTACACCAATTAGATGTAGATTTGGTATTTTCACATAGTCTCATGTTTCTTGGAGGCTGTGTTTTTTTCTTTTTATTCTTTTTTCTCTAATCTTTCCTTCTCGCTTCATTTCATTCATTTTATCTTCCATCGCTGATACCTTTTCTACCAGTTGATCGCATAGGCTTCTGCAGCTTCTGCATTCTTCACGTAGTTCTTGAGCCTTGGCTTTCAGCTCCATCATCTCCTTTAAGCACTTCTCTGTATTGGTTATTCTAGTTATACAGTAGTCTAAATTTTTTACAAAGTTTTTATCTTCTTTGCCTTTGGTTTGAATTTCCTCCTGTAGCTCGGAATAGTTTGATTGTCTGAAGCTTTCTTCTCTCAACTCATCAAAGTCATTCTCCATCCAGCTTTATTCCATTGCTGGTGAGGAACTGCATTCTTTTGGATGAGGGGAGGTGCTCTGCTTTTTAGAGTTTCCAGTTTTTCTACTCTGTTTTTTCCCCATCTTTGTGGTTTTATCTACTTTTGGTCTTTGATGATGGTGATGTACAGATGGGTTTTTGGTGTGGATGTCCTTTCTGTTTGTTAGTTTTCTTTCTAACATACAGGACCCTCAGCTGCAGGTCTGTTGGAGTTTGCTAGAGGTCCCCTCCAGACCCTGTTTGCCTGGGTACCAGCAGCGGTGGCTGCAGAACAGCGGATTTTCATGAACTGTGAATGCTGCTGTCTGATCGTTCCTCTGGAAGTTTTGTCTTAGTGGAGTACCTGACCATGTGAGGTGTCAGTCTGACCCTACTGGGGGGTATCTCCCAGTTAGGCTGCTTGGGGGTCAGTGGTCAGGGACCCACTTGAGGAGGCAGTCTGCCCATTCTCAGATCTCAAGCTGCGTGCTGGGAGAACCACTGCTCTCTTCACAGCTGTCAGACAGGGACATTTAAGTCTGCAGAGGTTACTGCTGCCTTTTTGTTTGTCTGTGCCCTGCCCCCAGAGATGGAGCCTACAGAGGCAGGCAGGCTTCCTTGAGCTGTGGTGGGTTCCACCCAGTTCCAGTTTCCCAGCTGGTTTGTTTACCTAAGCAAGCCTGGGCAATGGCGGGTGCCCCTCCCACAGCCTCACTGCCTTGAAGTTTGATCTCAGACTGTTGTGATAGCAATCAGTGAGACTCCATGGGCATAGGACCCTCCGAGCCATGTGTGGGATATAATCTCCTGGTGCACCGTCTTTTAAGCCTGTCGGAAAAGTGCAGTATTAGGGTGGGAGTGACCCAGTTTTCCAGGTGCCGTCTGTCTCCCCTTTCTTTGACTAGGAAAGGGAACTCCCTGACCCCTTACACTTCCCAAGTGAAGCAATGCCTCACCCTGCTTGGGCTCATGCACAGTGTGCTGCACACACTGTCCTGCACCCACTGTCTGGCACTCCCTATTAAGCTGAACCTGTTACCTCAGATGGAAATGCAGAAATCACCCATCTTCTGCATTGCTCAAGCTGGGAGCTGTAGACCGGAGCTGCTCCTATTTGGCCATCTTGGCTCCAGCCCCCACAGATACCTATTTCTAATGCAGGGTTTTGTGACAACAAAAGGAATTGTACATGTACAATGTACAATCTCCACAAGTACAAATGAATAATTGTACAACTTCCAAAATTCCATTTAGCCTATATATGACAACTAGAGGAATTACTGAGTTGATAAATGTTATAGTGTGGAGTAAAAATTCTGCAGATTATGTGCCTAATACATTACCTGGTTTAATGTTTACAAATGTTTAGAAATGCTGTAAATGTTTATATATTCTATAAATGTTTATAAATTATAGTTTATAAAGTCAAAAGCTTAAGGCAGAAATTAAGTTTCAGTATCTGCTGTGAGTTGAACTGTGTGATTTCTTTCCTTTTTCTTTCTGCAAAAATGATCACAACCAAAACGGCACATGTAAATTTCCTGACATTTAGTCATTAGAAATTGCTTTGTACTTCATTTTAATATCTGACATATAATCCATAATGTCACAGAATATGGCAGATTTTGGGGTCTCCCCCTTGTTTAGTATTTTATTTATAAAATAAAATTTTGGAAGTTGTATTTTATATATGGTCTAATGAACAATTTGAACTCTGAGTAAACTTTTTGATGTTCAAGTTTACCTTGCACTTTATATGTTAGAAGTTCTGAAATATGCTATGAGAATCCCCTTCCAGGGTAAGTCCCAAAATTCCTTGATAGATGCAGATTCTCAATGAAGCCAACATTAAGCTACTTCCAGGGACCTACCGGGTCCACCTTCCAAGCTGCTTGGTTCTAATGAGGCCGAGGCCATGTGTGCCATACAGTGGTTCCTCACAGCTGCCTCTCTGATCACCTAAGTCAGCTCCCCTTTTATATCTCACACAAGTGGCTTTAACTCAAAGAACATAAGTTTGACATCTGACTGGAAGATTAGCTGGAAAAAAATGTAAGTTTAGGTTTCTGAGCTGTTCAGTCAAGAAGAAAAGAAGGAGATCATAATAAACATTTAGAGATTAATACATGTTCAAAGAGACAACTCAAGTTTTCATCCACAGCTAGAGGTACCTTTTGCACCTTCTGTGACTGCAGAAGCCAGATATTAATGAAAAGTCACAGCTGGTCAGACTAGGGATCAATGTCATGCTCACTTCACAGCTTCTATTCAGACACATGACTTATCTTTACTCAGAAACAAATCATTACAAATGCTGGTGCCTGCTGTACAGCTATTGTGGCAGCAAATGTCTTTTTTTATTTTCTTCCCATTTCTTTATTCTCTATCTCAATAAGCAACAATCCCTACAAGCAGCTGACTTTCATATAACAGAGTCAGCATTACATATTTACCAACTTGGCAACATTCAGGCTCTGTGTGTCCATATGGATCTTAGAAGTATTTTCACTACCTCACTATCTCACAATTGGTCAGCTACATTGATGCTGATGGAGCTGGAAGCTTAGTAGGTAGCAATATTTGAGGTACATGTGTAAAGATTGATGCTTGCCACAGAATGGATGATAAAGACTAAGTCTTTGTTATCAAATACCACAGACTAGGTGGATTAAAAAAAAAAAAACAGAAATTTGTTTTTTCATAGTCCTGGAGGCTGGAATTCTAAGATCAAGGTATGGGCTGCTCTGTTTCCTCCTAAGGCCTCCCTCCTGGACTTGCAGACTCTATCTTCTCCCTGTGTCCTCACATGGTTGTCCCTCTCTGTTTGTGCCCTAATCTTTTTATAAGGACACCTGTCCTGTAGGATTAGGGCCCATCCTAATGATCTCATTTAAGCTTAATTATCTCTTAAAAAGCCCTGTCTTTAAATACAGTCCCCTCGGGGGTAAGAGCTTCAACATGAATTTTAGGGAGACACAAAGCAGCCCATACCAGTCCATGAAAGGTCAGTATTCTAAACGCTCTGTGAAATATCTTATCATCCACAACCATGCAGCATACCCTTCATTTCACCTGGAAGTAAAAGTGAACAGAAATTCGTATTCTTACTACTATACACGCTGGCAGACTTTGCTTGGTGCCCAGTGGGAGAAAAGCTTACCACTTGTTTTGTTTACAGAACAAACACCTTTTGCTTGTAAGCTCTGTCACCCAGCAGATTTACTGTTGTGTTAAGTGCATATAACAGATCATGATTCTGATAGGATTAGTAGAAAGCCCCACTAGGATCATTATAATTAAATCTCTCATTTGTGTAAGGAAATGTTATGCCATCTTTGCAGTCTTCTCATTTTGGATAAAAGCTGCCTGCTTTTTAAAGGGTCCTGGTAGAGATTGTTCAGCTCACTATCAGAGTCCTGTTGTCAGTCATGCATCTTGAGGTACACATCAGAAAGTGGGTGTTTTCCATCCCAAGAAAGAAGTGAGCCCATGGACACCATTATGAAGGGGAATTAGCTGTATAAAGTAGGGATCAGACAAGTCTAGCAGACATAAATTGTTTGAAAAAGCAAAATGTTCACATTTACCAATGTGCCTTCTCTTGCATGTGACCTCCTCATTACCACAAGGAAAGATAAAAATGATCATGTGTTTCTCCAGTGAAACAGAACTAATAGGAGATAAGTAATTGGATAGATGAACACACGGATAGCTAGCTAGATGGATGGATGGATGGATGAATGGATAGATGGATGGATGGATGGATGAATCATAGATGGATAGATGAATGAATAAATGAATGAATGAATGGAAAGATGGATGAATGACTAAACAGACAGACAGATAGGTGATGAATAGATAGATAGTATGATAGATATTCTTTATTATAATAAGTGTCTCACATGGTTATAGAGGCTTAGAAGTCCCACAACCTGCTGACTGGAAACTGAGAACCAGAAAACCCTGTAATGTAATTCAGTCCAAGTCTGAAGGTGATGATATCTGAGGTCAGGAGGAAATGGATATTCTAGCTTAAAAATAGAGACTGAATTCACCCTTCCTCTGGCATTTTGTTCCGGCTGGACACTCAACAAACTGGATGAGGCCTATTGACTCTGGTGAGGGTGGATCTTCTTTACCCACTGTGTCAGTCTTCTCTCACACTGCTATAGGGATGTATCAAAGACTAGGTAATTTATAAAGGAAAAAGGTATAATTAACTCCCAGTTCTACATGCCTGGGGAGGCCTCACAATCATGATGGAAGTTGAATGAGGAGAAAAGTCACATCTTACATTGCAGGAGAAAAGACTGTATGCAGGGAAACTCCCCCTTATAAAACCATCAGATCTCATGAAACTTACTATCACAAGAATGACATGGGAAAGACCTGGATGTCATGATTCAATTACTTCCCAGCAGGTCCCTCCCACAACTCTCAGGAATTATGGGAGCTATAATTCAAGGATGAGTTTAAGGTGGGAACACAGTGAAACCATATCACCCAGTCTACTGATTCTAATGCTAATGTCTTCCAGAAACACTCTCAGAGACGCTCACAAATAATGTTTTACCAGCTGTCTGTGCATCCGTTAGGTCAGCTAAGCTGACACATTCAATTAGCCATTACATCAGGTAACAAAGAAATGACATATTTACACCAGATTTAGATAGAAAGACATACTCTACAAATCATGCTTACATTATTAGGACCATTTTATTGCTCCAAAACAATGAGATATGAGGAGATAAAATGATGCTTATTGCAGTGTAGCAACAGAATGGATGTTCAGAAGGACAACTGGGTGTTTACTGGAACAAATAAAACCTACCTGCAGCCAGAGAAACATCACAGGTGGCATATAGAGAAGTAATAATTAGATCAATTCCTAGATTTTTCATCAGTAACATTAAGAAGTCATACAATGCAAATGATGAAAGAAATTTTCTGTCAATATAAAATTCAAAAACAGTAAAGAATATCCTTCAAAACATTGTACCAGTAAGTGCACGTTTAAACAGAAAAGTCCTGAGACAGTGTATCCGCCATGGTAGCATAATAGAAATTTTATGAGTGGGAGAAATGGATGACAGTAAAATGAAAACATTGCAATGTGTATACTCAGAAACAAGGAAAGATAGATAGATGATAGATAGATAGATAGACAGATAGATAGATAGATAGATAGATAGATAGATAGATAGATAGATAGACAGACAGACAGACAGACAGACAGACAGACAGATAGATAGAATATATTATGGGGTACCAAAATGCAGGGCCCAAAAATGTGTAAAATATATGTGTGAATGTAATAAACCTAATATCCATGGATTACGATGTTCTGTGATATTGAAGTCTGTCTTCTGAAACATGTATGATTCAGAAACATCATTTCCCATCCCATCCCCTTTATTTTTCATTTATTGGTTCACTTGGCTATCATTTTGTACACAGACCAATACTGGAGTCTCTGTCCTCAAAATATCTTTCTAACTGTTATGCATTAGGGGAGAACCTTTGGATAACCATATGTTCCAGGTACCTGGGCCAATTCTGGTGTATACCTCTTGTTCCAGCATAAGAGGTAATAGTTATTTCTCTCCAACAGGTGTTCCAGTATGTATATTACAAATTCATTCTGTGGAAAAACACCAGGATTGACCGGGTGAGGTGGCTCACACCTATAATCCCAGCACTTTGGGAGGCTGAGGTCGGTGGATCACGAGGTCAGGAGTTCGAGACCAGACTGGCCCACATAGCGAAACCTTGTCTCTACTAAAAATACAAAAATTAGCCGGGCATTGTGTTGTATGCCTGTAATCCCAGCCACTCAGGAAGCCAAGGCAGGAGAATTGCCTGAACTGGGGAGACAGAGGTTGCAGTGAGCCAAGATCATGCCCCTACACTCCAGCCTGGGTGATAGAGGGAGGCTTCTTCTCAGAAAAAAAAAGAAAAGAAAAGGGAAGGGAAGGGAAGGGAAGGGAAGGGAAGGGAAGGGAAGGGAAGGGAAAGGAAGAGAAGGGAAGGGAAAGGAGAAGCAAAGCAAAGCAAAGCAAAGCAAAGCAAAGATGAAAAACACAAACATTAACTTTGCAATTCCAAATGGTTGAAATCAAATCCCTTCAGTTTATCTGGGACTCATTAAAAACTGTTAGAATTTTAGATGAAATCGACTAGGCTGGCCAGACTCAATAGCTCATGCCCGTAGTTTCAGCATTTTGGGAGGTCAAAGTGGGAGAATTGCTTGAAACCAGGAGTTTGAGAACAGACTAGACAACTGTACTAGTCCTTTCTCATGCTACTAATAAAGACATGCCCAAGACTGGGTAATGTATAAAGAAAAGAGGTTTATTGGCTGCATAAATGTCTTCTTTTGAGAAGTGGCTGTTCATGTCCTTTGCCCACATTTTTATGGGCTTGTTTTTTTCTTGTAAATTTGTTTGAGTTCATTGTAGATTCTGGATATTAGCCGTTTGTCAGATGAGTAGGTTGCGAAAATTTTCTTCAACCATTGTGGAAGTCAGTGTGGTGATTCTTCAGGGATCTAGAACTAGAAATACCATTTGACCCAGCCATCCCATTACTGGGTATATACCCAAAGGACTATAAATCATGCTGCTATAAAGACACATGCACACGTATGTTTATTGCAGCACTATTCACAATAGCAAAGACTTGGAACCAACCCAAATGTCCAACAATGATAGACTGGATTAAGAAAATGTGGCACATATACACCATGGAATACTATCCAGCCATAAAAAATGATGAGTTCATGTCCTTTGTAGTGACATGGATGAAATTGGAAATCATGATTCTCAGTAAACTATTGCAAGAACAAAAAACCAAACACCGCATATTCTCCCTCATAGGTGGGAACTGAACAATGAGAACACATGGACACAGGAAGGGGAACATCACACTCTGGGGAATGTTGTGGGGTTGGGGGAGGAGGGAGGGGTAGCAATGGGAGATATACCTAATGCTAGATGACAAGTTAGTGGGTGCAGCGCACCAGCATGGCACATGTATATATGTAACTAACCTGCACGTTGTGCACATGTACCCTAAAACTTAAAGTACAATAATAAAAAAAAAAGAAAGAAAGAAAAAAAAAAAAGAGGTTTAATTGACAGTTCCATGTGGCTGGGGAGGCCTCAGGAAACTTACAGTCATGGTGCAGGGGGAAGCAAACACATCCTCCTTCACATGGTGGCAGCAAGAAGTCCAGATCAATTGGGAGAAAAGTCCCTATAAAACCATCAGATCTTGTGAAAACTCACTCACTATCACAAGAACAGCATGAGTGTAACCCGTCATTAAATTACATTCCACCAGGTCTCTCCCAGGGCATGGGATTATGAGAATTACAATTCTAGATAGATTTGGGTGGGGACACAGTCAAACCATATCAGAAACATAGCAAGACCCATTCTCTACAAAAATACAAAAACTAGCTGCTTGTGGTGGCTCATGTCTGTAGTCCGAGCTACCTGGTAGGAAGGTGAAGTGGGAGGATCACTTGAGCCCAGGAGGCAGAGGTTGGAGTGAGCTGGGTTCACACCACTGCACTCCAGCATGAGCGACAGAGAGAGATCCTGCCCCAAAAAATACATACATAAATAAATAAATAATTAATTAGTGAGGCAGAATATGGTCCCTCTTAATGTTGCCTGTATATCACACACACACACACACACACACACACACACACACACACATATATTTTCTACCACCAAAGCCTCTCACCACTCTCATTACTGAATGAAGAAATAGACTATGAAGAAGAGGACCTTCATCATTTGATCATAGTAATATAAGCCTATCTTGTGGCCAAAAACTAGCTGTCATACCCCAGACAAAAGATTCTTAGTTGCATGAGTTGGACTTCAAACTATCTCCAAGTTCCATACGTCCTTTTCAGTGTAAGAAACTTATCATTATTTTTCCTTCACAAATTTAGATATACATTCCAAATATTTTAAAGGAAGGAAAGTGGTTATTTTTAAACCTTTTTTATTACAGGGAAATTGAATCAAAATAGTAGGCAGCAATGTAAAATGATTTGTCTGAAAGAGGTTTTAATAAAACATGTGGCATTAGTAACAGCAATAGCTGTGAAAGCTTTTTTGAGTAATTCTTGACAATTCCATACCACAAAGTCCAGCTCCTCTTCCTTTGCTGCAGAGCTTTTTAAAGTCAGACATGAATCAGAGTTCTAGAAGCACTGATACCAGTTGGTGAAGTCCTGTGACATGTTTTATTATTCTGCTTGGAAAAGAAAAAGGACCCTTAAAATAGAAATTGGTGAGAGGACCACTCATCAGTGCTCAGCTAGTATTACTCTATGAATTATGCACGTAATTTTCTTTATAGGTTTTACATAATCGTCCCATTTTGAGCAAAAATGTGAACTGACCAGCAAAAATGTTAAACATCCAAAAAAAAAAGAAAGGAAGAAAGGAAGAAGAACGAAAGAAAGAAAGAAAGAAAGAAAGAAAGAAAGAAAGAAAGAAAGAAAGAAAGAAAGAAAGAAAAAGAGAAAGAAAAGAAAGAAAGAGAGAAAGAAAGCTGAACACAGTATTAAGGGAAACAACTTGAATGAATTTCTGAGTTTGGGATTGCAATCTTGTAGGTCTCAGACAACATTGCTGGTTGGCAGAGGGTTCACAGTCTGCGATTAATTTATAATATATCAAAGCTGCATGAGTCTGTATGAATACATACAACTGGTGTCCATGGTTTCTGCTCACTTCTACAAGACTCGATGTCCTTAGGAGAGCAAACTGATACTTTTATATATGCTTAATTAACATGATAGGAAAAGCTTTTATTTTTTCCCTATTCAATATATCCTTATAATTAGACACTACTACAATTAATTTTTCACCTGTAAAGTAATAGCTTTTGTTTAAAGCTAGATAATTAAATCTGAATACAATTTGTGGTTGCAGAATCTAGAAAAACAAGACCCCCCTTTTAAATTTATGCATTAGTTTATTTTATAAAAATATACTCTAAACATTATAAACTCATTTCTAGAATGTTTGCCTATTTGCTTGAAATGTATTGGATAATATATTCCATTTCACAGGATACTATTTCTTCTCAGATCTCTATTTTGGTTTTACATAGATTTGTTTCCAGTTTAAAAAAATCATTCAGTTAAAGTAATGATGGCTTCTTATTTCTAGCAGAAAGAATAACATTTATCTAAAACAAATTTTATAAAATACAAAAATAGCATTTATTTCATTGAGTAAACAAACTTTTTTATATTTTAAGATAAATCTCAAGTACCAAACTTTTAGAATCTGAACATTTCATTATTTGTACATCAAAATAACATTATGTAAAAATTCCATGTAAAAATATATTATACCCTGAAAGTCTAACAAAACCACTTAGTCACTCTTTTGCACTAAATAACATATAGATAGGTTTTTAATCTTGCAATTATGTAATAAAATAAGGGTGTCTATCCTGTAAACAAACCAAGATGAGTTATTTTGACTCCAAGGAAATGAGATGTTTTAAAATAAATGTAATTATTTGTTGGAGATAAATGAACATGACACTCAAAAAAACCTTTAATTTTCTGATCTCCCTTGTCATTTTGTGTCATGCGTTTAATGAGAAGAGCTGATAGATGTCAAATTTTCTAGATGCTCATAAGACTGAATAATACAGTGGGTTTTTTTTTTAACCTGAAGTATTTTAGTAAATGAATTCAGGTCACAAAGCTTCCATTGTGTTTGCCATTTATAGTAACAGAGGCCGATACTGTATGTGAATTGAAGTTCTGCTTATTTTTTTAACCTGTACAGGTAATAATAATAATTGTTATTATATACAACACAATTAATAATCATTATTATACAAATGTATAATTGCATTATATAAGGATATATTATACAATGACAAATAATATAATTATAACATAATATATTGTATTACATAAGTATCTGTAATATAATACACATAATAATATAACAATATTATATACTTACATATGATGATCATTATAGAAACAACAAATATCTCTTGAACATTTATCTTATACTCGTCGTTTCAAAGTATGTTATATGAATTTGCACTTTTAATCTTCACTACAAATATATAAGGTGAAGGAAAGTATAGTTCAAATTTAAAAATAAGAAAACATAGAAACAGAGAGCTAGATAAACTGCTGGAGATACCGACCTTCATCACATACAGAGATTTGATATCATAATTGAATTCCTTTTCATGATTAAAAAAGTTGCTATATCATGATTTACATCTATGAAAAATGCAAGTAATTATCATTTACTCTTTGCCCAGAAAATTCCTACAGTTGAGTTGTTCAATCAACAAACTGTATTGATTGAACTGCAGAAAGAATAGCCAGTCATGCTATCGTAAGTTTATCTTATGGGTGTAACTTTTCCCTTGCATCTCACTTTATCATTAATTGCCTAAAATGCAACCATTATCTGTATTTATTTCATTATGTTTAACACATCAGAAGAATACCTACTTATGAGAATTGTGCAAAAAGAGAACAAAGATCACAAAAAGATTTGACCTGTGTAGCTATTTGAAGACCTAATGGTGCCGTTTTTGTGAATGATGGCTTTCCAAACTTATTCCCTGATAAACCTGTGGTTTAACAATTTGGCATAACCTATTTGTTGTAGCCATAACTTGGTGTATGATTAAACATGAATTTTTAATTTGGTAGTTGTGGTGCAAACTGCTGAGATACTGAAATACAATATTAAAG
This sequence comes from Homo sapiens, assembly GCF_000001405.40. Lineage (NCBI taxonomy): Eukaryota > Metazoa > Chordata > Mammalia > Primates > Hominidae > Homo > Homo sapiens. The sequence goes on from NC_000024.10 coordinate 15,168,686, forward strand.
CAAGTCAGAAACTTCACCCTACAATCTATTTGTTATCCTCTAATTTTACAGAGCATGCTCATTTCCTCTTCATGTTATTTCCAATCAACTACATGCTATGTAAAGGAAAGTTGGGCCTTACAAAGAAGCAAATACCTGTTTTCACTGTTTGGGGGCTTCTGTGAACTGTTTCTAATTTATCCATTAGACCTTGCAATGGAGAAATGAAAGAAAAGAAATAATTTTGAAATTGGGTTGACCAAACAGAGGAATAAAATAGATTCAAATTTTAGTTTATTCTTAAGCAGAAATAACCAATCAGGTAATATGAATGTGCCCATATTATGCTGTAGCATAATGTAGACATAATTTTGGCTTGACTTTTGATGGTAAAAGTTAACAGGCACAAAAGTAATATAGCTATTAAGGGACTTGGAGAGTAGGTGGGGCAAACAAGGCAAAAATAAAAGTGTAGATATAATGCAGGTCAGTGTCCATCTAGTCAGTGTAGCCAAGATGGAAGAGAATACAGTAGAAAAGAAATCCCAGACATTATACCAGGCATAGAAGTTGAGGCAGAAGAAGAAAACCTGAACAAGAAGCCCTGGAACCTGCCCCCTGCCTCCAGGGCAGAAAGAACAATAGCACAATGTGGCTGATTTCACAGTGAGAATGAAACAGTTTGCTGCTTAAGGTGTTTTGTTGTTGTTGTTGTTTTTTTCTGTTTGTTTGTTTGTTTGTTTTCCTCACTCTGTCACCAGGCTGGAGTGCAGTGGTGATTTCGGCTCACTGCAACCTCTCCCTCCCAGGTTCAAGTGATTCTCCTGCCTCAGCCTCCAGAGTAGCTGGGACTACTGGTGAGTGCCACCAGGCCCAGCTAATTTTTGTATTTTTAGTAGATGCAGAATTTCACCATGTTGACTAGGATGACCTCTATATCCTGACCTCATGATCTGCCCTCCTCGACCTCACAAAGTGCTGGGATTACAGGATTGAGCCACCATGCCGGGCCTGCTGCTTGAGTTTTAACCATACTTCTTCATGTTGGTAGCTGACTTAAGATATGCTTCATTTTCTTCGAAATTAACAAGTGTTTGGCAAGGATGAATGAAAAGATAGATTCAATAGATAGATAGATAGATAGATAGATGAGATAGGTGGATAGATTGATAGAATAGATAGATTAGATAGATGAGTTAGAGAGAGAGAGAGATTACACAGATTAGACAGACAAATGAGATGGACAGAGAGATATGTAGGTAGATAGATGCATAGATAGATATAGATACATAGGTGGATAATAGATGGAAATATACATGATAGATAGATAGAAAATAGATAGAAATATACATGACAGGTGGATGCATAAATGGTAGACATAGTAGAGATAGATATATGATAGATAGATAGATAGATAGATAGATAGATAGATAGATAGATGATAGATGATAGATAGATAGATAGATAGATAGATATAACAGATGAATGGATTAATAAATAAAGAGCATAGATGGATGCATAAATATGCAGACAGATGCCAGATAGGTAGATGATAGATATGATTGTTAGATATGATGGATGAATGTATAGATAGATATGATGGAGGGAAATATAGTCTGATTGATATGTGTACTTATATACCTTATTAAATAAAGGTCTTCAATACACAAATTATTTATCTTTTCATAGTTCATTTAACAAAAGAGCCTATGATTATAGTACTGTTCTAGAGATTGCTTTATCTAAAAAACAATCTAAATATTAATCTAATACCACTCAGGTGGTTTCTCTCTGTGAAAAAGTCCTAATTCAATGAATATTCAGAGAACACATGGTCCAATGATCAACCACAGAGAAAGAGGATTTTATATTCAAATAAGACAGATTAATAGTTAGATAGATAGATAGTAGTTAAATTTTTACATCAACCAATATAATGTGACTTAAAATTTGACTTTTCATTAATCTATAAATCTGTTATGCCTTTTTTCAAAGAAGGGTATTTGCCAAAAACTGACTAGATATTGAGTTGTTGAATAAAACCTTTCATATTTTGATATGACATATGAAAAAGTAAGAGCAATATTGATATGATAACTGTTTATAGAGGGTCACTGGAGCTCCAGGTGCTGCTCAGCAGGTAGTGGAAAATCAGGGTAATTATGATATGATGGGTGACCTCAACTGTCATAATTCCGTGAAAATCAACACCAAAAACAAAGCAGGATACAAAAACGTCCTCTACGGAAATAATTCAGATTATGAATCTGGAATCACTCTGTCCCAAATCTTAGGAAAATTATGTTCATATGTATCTTACATCAGAGACAATACAGACAGAATAATTTCATAACCTTCAGGTCAAACATGTTTATTAACTGAAATAAACGAAAAAACTTAGTGGCATTTTAATTTTAAATTTGCTTAATTGGTCCATAAATAAAAATATAATTAACTCTAAGTACTTGCATGAAATGTGAATATGTATGATGACAGAAATTAAAACGAAACCCTTGTCAGAGTTTAAAATGCCATAGAATTAAACATAAATAAAATTTTCTTCTGGAGGTTTTTTTTTTTTTGTTCTTCACAAGGAGTAATGATACCTATCAGTAAGATGTTAAATTTCTCTAACATAATACACAATTTTATTTATAATTAAAAAATTATTGTTTGTTTATCAGAGAAGCTCCAAATGTAAATTGCTTATTTTTAAAATTGTTTAAATTGTAGCCCCAGTTTGCTCTGTAAAGGGCTCTTTGACCCATGCGTTTGCCAGAGGAATATCACTTATCTTTCAAATCTAATTGAATTTTAAATTCTTTTTAGAAACATTTTAATCTCACATTTATATTTGGATAATGTTTTCATGATAGAAAGTATCTAAATAGAAATATGTCTATACTTATACTACACTTATATCTATATTATATATAGTGTATATATAGAGTAATTTGTATGTATAGGAGCTATATAGTATTAATAATGTTATATTTTCATATTTTAGTCAGAACTTAATATGTATATATAATATGCTTTTATTTTTTTAGATATATAGAAGAAAAATTGGAGAATAAAGGAATTAAGGTGAAACAGACATTATTGAGAGGTTTTTATTTGTTTAAAACATACGTGTTTGATACTTTGGAGTTTAGTATTTATTTCTTCACTGAAATAATTCTTCTTCCATATGGCCATTAAAATAAATGAATAAATGTCAATTTATTGAGTCAATAGTTTTAATTTTCTTAATGTTAAAAATGATTTTACAATTAATGACCATTTCACTTGAATTAGAAGTGAAAGTTAATAAGGTAAGGTTTTTATAACAAAAATTATTTTAAGACAAAGTTAAAATTTAAAAATAGAATAACAATGACTCTAAACTCTAAGTTGTTTCCCAAACTACAATAATATTTTTAGCGAAGGTAGAGGGGTAAAAATATATGTGTTTTATTGTTCTGTAAGACTAAAATAAGAAATCAAAATATGATTTGTTATGTAATAAAGTATTTATTCTACTTAGATCCAATTCTCATCTCCGAATAGATTTTTGGTATTTTATAGTTCCTATTAACAAAAGTAAAATTCTAGCTGGCCAAACAACTTACCCTTAGTGGTTTTCTTTTCCTTAAACACACAAACATCTTTAAGCAACACTGCTTATTCAAAAATTTATTAATGTAATAACTATATTTTAAATATGAATATGTATTACATAACATAAGTAATTATTAAATACTGGTAACTAATAACTTGGTCAATTCAATACAATTTAATTATTGATAATTTGTAAATTATTAAAGAACTATGTGCATCAAATATATGTTGTATCAAGAAGACACTATCACTAATCGTAATACAACTTAACAAAGAAAAATATTTTTTCACAAAACACCTTGTCGTCATAGAATAAAACATGCATAAACACTGTAACATGGATGTACTGTATTAAAAATTAATGTGGTAATTCTTACTGCTTGTGTTCTTTTTTTTTTTTTTTTTTTTTGAGATGGAGTCTCGCTGTGCTGCCCAGGCTGGAGTGCAGTGGCGCGATCTTGGCTCACTTCAAGCTCCGCCTTCCGTGTTCACACCATTCTCCTGCCTCAGCCTACCCAGTAGGTGGGAACACAGGCGCCCACCACCACACCCGGCTAATTTTTCGTATTTTTAGTAGAGACGGGGTTTCACGGCGTTAGCCAGGATGGTCTCGATTTACTGACGTGATCCGCCCCCCTCGGCCTCCCAAAGTGCTGGAATTACAGGCATGAGCCACCGCGCCCGGCCTCTTATGTTCTTAATAGTATGTGATGTGTTTTCTTGAATTCTTAATTCACCATTTCCAACTGAAATTTGAGTTAATACATTTACCAATACTTGTCTTAGGGGTTATTTCGTTTTTAATGTTTTTTTGTTTATGTTTTTGTGTGTTTTTTTTTTTGAGACGGAGTCTCCCTCTGTCGCCCAGGCTGGAGTGCAGTGGCACAATCTCAGCTAACTGCAACAGCCACTTCCCGGGTTCAAGCAATACTGCAGCCTCAGCCTCCCAAGTAACTGGGATTGCAGACCGGCACCATCATGACCAGCTAATTTTTTGTACTTTTGTTAGTGAGGAGGTTTCGCCATGTTGGCCAGGCTGGTCTCAAAACTCCTGGCCTTAATTGATCTGCCTGCCTCGACCTCCCAAAGTACTGTAATTACAGGCTTGAGCCACCGCACCCAGCCTAGCTTTTAAATTTTGAAAACATAAAAAATAGCAATATTTTATGCAATTTGAGAGAGTAAGTGTGCCAGTGTCTATTATCAAAGGTATTTGGTTTTGGAAGTTGAACTGTAATTTGAATCAATAAGTAAGATACTGTTATTTGATTTGAGAACCCACAGGTAAATTATGTGATTTGAAAATTTGCAAAAGTGCATTACTCTTCTTTTGAATTTTAGTTAATAATTGACAAAGTACCTGTTAGCAGAGATATCTGAACATTGAAATTTTGTTTGACATATAAGCTAATAAGTATAGAAATGTTATTTGGAATTGGGTTAATATATGTACCAGACCTTGATATGATCTTACTTTGTGTTGTCACTTTTATTTAGGAATTCAAATAGTAAATATACTGCTGTTATTTGGACATTGAAATTGGGTTAAACTTGAATTTAAATCTATGTATACCTGTATACCAGTGTGACAAAGAATTTGAGCCAGTAAGTGCACAATTGTGAGTTATCTGCCTTGTTTGTATTATGAAATTTAAAAATAAACCTGAACTAATAATTAACCAATATTATTTCCATTTGGAACTAATAATAAGTGTACTTACTGGAACTTATTGGTGTTATTGGAAAATAACAATAAATTTGGGGGTGAATTCAGATTCTCTGGAATCTTGTCTAATTTATTTTTCTGGTTACTCTCAGAAATAATTTCAGAAATGAGTGTGACATCTTTCCCTGCTGACTGAAACCACTAACTTTCCACACAAGGGTAATATATATATAGGACATTACACCTCGTCACCTTATTCTGTGAATGCTATTCATGTTTTAACAATTCCATTGACTTAATCATAGCTTCATTTTCTTGCTTGACAGCTTCTCAATTTCATTGTTTCTGAAGTTTCCCATGGTAGACCCAAGAGCCCTGATCCTGGTATAGGGTCCTACCCAAAAGGTGTAGATTTTAGCATTCTACAGAAAAGTCTGTATAAGTTTAGATTGAGGATCACTCAGATTGCTTGAGAGATAGTTCTGCAGGATATTTGTGTGAGCAAAATAGCTTTTGCCCTCACCAACCTCCTCCTCTGAATGTGTGTCCTGTGTCTTCATTTAATCAATGCTCATTCAGCAAACACAAGGCAGAGTTGCTCATTTGCTTTTGCATGGCATCTCATTTTGACTGGGGCAGCCTATATGAAATTTTGTACATAACAAAAATTTCCGTGAAATGGCCAACTTGGTTGAGCTCTTTATTTTAGGACTCTTTATAAGTTCCCTGATGTATGGCCTTCCTCTCACTCTATTTTTATCACCTGTACATCTGATTCACGTAAATTATTTCAGACATCCCAGCCTTTGTAAACTTGGCAAATTCTATTTTAGTACTTTGAGCACAATTTCTCCTCTTTCTCTGTCACCCCACTCTTCTGAATAACTCTATCTTTACTTTCAGATTTCACTGAAGTGACACTGCACTTAAAAGTGTTCAGAGAAACCTTCATTCATAGGTAAAACAAATTTTTGGGTTTGCATTTTCTTAATACCTTGTGTGTTTCTATCACATAATTCACCCCCATGTATATGCATTGTCTCCCTGCTAAATGATGAGCACTTGAAGATGAGGGCTGTCTCTTACCCATTCCTGGTCAGTGTGTTGAACATATGCTAGACACTCTGTTAACATTGACTAACTTTATCAGCACCACACATTAACTTAATTGCATTCTGATGTATAGAGGAAAAAAAAAGTGCCTTAAAAAATCACAGTTTAGACGGACTTTCTCATGATCTTTAATGCCATTTATTATTATAGAAATGGATAATGAAAATCCTGGAAATAGCATTCCCAATATCCCAGTCTGAAAATAATAATATTTTCAAAGCAATACCCCATAAGCCTTTCCGTTTGAATTTTGTTTAATATTGAATGGCTGATGATCGCCATTGTGTGCCCTATGGATCTTCACTTGTCTAGACTTACCCATCAGTACTCTTTTTTATTTTTATTTTTTATTTTTTGAGTAGGAGTCTCGCTAAGTTGCCCAGGCTGGAGTGCAGTGGCGCGATCTCGGCTCACTGCAAGCACTGCCTCCTGGGTTCACGCCATTCTCCTGCCTCAGCCTCCCAAGTAGCAGGGACTACAGGTGCCAACCATCACGCCCGGTTAATTTTTTGTATTTTTAATAGAGACAGGGTTTCCTCATGTTAGCCAGGATGGTCTTGATCTCCTGACCTCGTGATCTGCCCGCCTTGGCCTCCCAAAGTGCTAAGATTACAGGTGTGAGCCACCACACCCAGCCCCGTCAGTACTTCTTGTAAATGCTTGCCACAGAGAATGGCCACACAATTCTCCATCACCATATAGGTGTCCACTGAACAACAGAGGGATCTGGGCACCAGTCCCCTACACAGTCGAAAATCCATGTATAATATTTGACTTCCCCAAAACATAACTACTAATAGGTTATTGTTGACTAGGATCCTTATTGATATCACAAACAGCCAATTAACACATATTTTGTATGTTATATGTATTATATATTCTATTCTTACAGTAAATAAGCTAGGGAAAAGAAAGTGTTATTGAAAAAATATAAGGAAAAATACCTTTACTAGTCACTAACTGGAACTGGATCATCACAAAGGTCTTCATCCTCTTCATGGTCACATTTAGTAGGTTGAGGAGGAGGAAGAGGAGAGGTTAGTCTCGCTGACTCACTGATGACAGAGACAAGGAAGGAAGGAAGGAGATCATTATATAAGGAGAAAGAAAATCTTCATGTAAGTGGACTTGTGCAGATCAAGATAATGCCTTACGAGGATCCACTTAGTTCATTTCCCTAAAACCTTATTTGGGTCAACTTTAACCTATGTGTAGCACAGCCAGCCACCTACTGCTTCCTCTCTATAATTCAACATTATTATGAGATCTGTCGACCACTTTTGCAATTTCCATGATGAAATTACCCAATCAACTTAGTGCCCATAAGCCAAATCTTCCCCAATTCTATTTGTTCAGTTTCATTTTTGGATATAAATAGAAAAAAATTAGAAGGATGACATCTTTTCCCCCTTTGTGCCTAGATTTCCACTGTAAAGTAAATACAAGACATGCTTTTTTGAAAAAACATGATGATGTTAGGTGGATAGTTTAGTGGTTACAGAGTAGTTCTCCTCAATAAGATAATTGAAAAATAATTCATGCTGTGTAATTTTATAGTGTTTGGTAGTTTGAATGCATTAAACCATTGCTGAATTCTAGTTGATAAAAGCATCAGTGACCCAATTGTTGTACTGCTTTATTATTATTAATTTTTAATTTGTGGAGGACAGTAGTCACATTCATGAAGAATTTGACATTTATTTTCCCAATAGAGGAAATACTACATTGCATCCATAAGGACTAACATTATATTGCATCCAGGATCAGAAGCACTGAGAAGTTGATGCTGTGAAAAGTTTAGAATAAGGAGAGTTTATTCTAATCCCAGGAAAATTCTAATTAACTCTAATCCCAGAAATAAGATTAAAATTCAAAAAATTAAAACAAAAATACCTAATCCTATCATACACAGAATGTAGTATGTCCATACAAAATGATTATACAGTTACTGAAACTATTACTCATAACAATAGTAGCCTAAACATTCCTTCTTTTCTTTCCTTCATTTCTCACTCGTACTTTGTCTTTCTGTCTCTATTTTCTTGCTTCCCTCCTTTCATTTGTTATTCCTACCTTTTTCTTTTTTCATTTCTTTTTTCTTTCTTCCTCCCTCTCTCCCTTTCTTCTCTTCTTTTTCTCTTTCATTCTCCTTCCTGCCTCCCTCTCTCCTTTCACCTTTGATTTTTCCTTTCTTTCTTGTTTCTTTCTTTATTCTTTCTTCCTTCTCCCCTCTTTCCTTCCTTTCTTTATTTTCTTCTTTTCTTCTTTCATTTTTTTAAATCTTTCCTTCCTCCCCGCTACCCCCATAGAATAGTGATCTACAACTTTAAGGATAACTTCTTATCCACATTTCCAGTTGCTAAGGAATAGCTATTTTTTGTCTCTTCTATCCATTCAAAAGAACTCCAGTTGTTTATGTAACTTATATTTCTGGCTTATATTGTAAATAAATAAACAATAAACTATTCTTAGCTGCTTCTCTATTCAGCAAATTAGGTAGCGGCTGAGCAGGTGGTCCTCCCCTGTCTTCCATTTGTGGAATCCCTCACAACAACATTAGGTCAAGGATACAAAGGAAGATGCCAGACACAAGATAAATGAAGGCTTACATTCTGGAGCAGACCACACTGCATCTAGATGTCAAATTGAGAGGGTCTATTGCATCATAGGTTCTAATTGATGGCATGTTGTTGCAGGAAGTAGGCTAGTCCTGTATCTCTGCAGGAAGGAGACTACTCCAATATCCCAAGAGGATGAAAATGTAAGTATCAGAGTGTGTATACACTAAACACATCCTAGTGTGAAGGCTAACTTGGGTTGAGCTCACCCAAACCTTCTGTTATGCCCTCACTCATCCTGGGCAATATACTTTTAGATACTGGAAGCAGATCCTGTGACTAGCCTGAATTTCAGGAGCATATTCCTTCATAAATAGCATTGCCTGCTCTGTTTCCTTTAGGAAGCAAAAGTACAGGCTTTTTTTGTTTATAAGATTGTCAGTGGTACCCACTGGTCAAAAATAGTTGATACTGCCAGCAGAGATGTGCCAATGGCCACAGCTACAACCAGGTATAACCAAATGTAGACCACAGAATAGTTGCTACAAGTGTAAATGCAGTATTTACTGTGTTTAGCAGGGCTTCTTCATGTCTACCTCTAGTAGCGACCCTGTGAAGAAGGGTTGTGGGTAGTAAAAGGTAATTCATTCTTAGCACCATCTGCAGAGTTATCTTGTCTACTTGTGTCTTGCAAAATCCTCTACATCCCCTTGCAAGAGTCACTATTTTGTTTGAAACTCTTCAGAAAGACACTGAGTTCTTTAACCCTCATTTGCTCTGGGATATCCTCTCACAGGGTTCAGACAATAGTATCTCAAAATATGATACTTTGTGCATGCTAAACTGAAAAAGGAGCCTTATGTTCTCTCTCACCTCCCACCCATATCCCACCAGCTCCTCCAAAGCACAGGATGAAGTTGTTCTCTGAAGTCCCCTTATTTGCCTGTATTAGTCTGTTCTCACATTGCTATGAATAACTAGCTGGGACTGGGAAATTTATAAATAGAAGAGGTTTAATTAACTCGCAGTTCTGTAGGCTGCATAGCAAGCATGGCTAGGGAAGCCCCAGGGAACTTACAATTATGACAGAATGCAAAGGGGAAGCAGGCATGTCTTACATAGCAGAGCAGGAGACAGAGAGAGAGAATGTATAAAGCAGAAGTTCTAAACACTTTCAAACACCCAGATCTCTTCAGAACTTTGCCATGAGATGAGCAAGGGTAAAGTCCTCCCCCATGATCCATTCACCTCCCACCAGGTCCCACCTCCAACACTGAATCTTACAATTCAACATGGGATTTGGCTGGGGACAGAGCCAAACTATATCTTTGCCTAAAAGCCATAACCATCAAAGAAGAAAACAATGACATCCAGTCCCTTCTTTGAGTTTGGATTAAGTGAGCCCATACTGCTGGAAGAAACTGAAATCTGTCAACACACATGGATGGGCTTTTGTCACAAACCACTGCTCTGGAGTCCTAGTAGACTTTGTCCCAGGCCGTTGTGCATTCTTTGACCCGCACATCTCATCAAAATGAGAAGGTTGATTTCCTTGTGATTTTTTTTGTCCAAGAAATGTAGGTATCTCCTCCTTTTGCTGTAACCTGGGCAAAAAATCTCACTTACTCTAGTATGAATCAATGTAGTCATTTTAACCAGGGGCAAAATTAATTAATTAATTAATAGTAATTAATCATTCATTGCATTTTAACAGAATTTTTCTTCTCTCTCTGCTCTCATAACCTGTTTTGCCAAGACGCAAGCCCACATTCTTTCTGTAAGCTCAGTATGGTAATACAAGTTTCTGCACCTCACTGGGGAGCTGGGTCGTCTTCATTCTGAAGCCTCCTGTGTCATCTAAAACTATAATCAAATAAATGTGTTTGTCTTATCTCCAATTAATCTGCCTTTTATGAGTTGATTTTTCAGCTGACCTTTGGAGGGCAAAAGGGAAATTTTCCCTTGTCCCTTATGACTCTCAGAAGATTAACAAATACTAAATTCCCAAGTATCTTCAGCTTTTGCTAAATGTCCAAAACAAATGTGTCATGCACTGGCAGATGACAAAGGCAAATTTATTTGTGTTTCTGTTGTTGTTGTTGCTGTTCTGAAGTATCTAACAGCATTCAGAGGGAAGTTCCCTGTAGAAAACCTAGTCAAGGTCTTCTTACATTGACTGATTGCTGACATCAGTTGAAGGGCAGAAGTAAAATCATAAAATTATTCAGGAAAGAGGGATTCCAGTTTCAGGAGTTAGCTTCCTCTGGCTTATTGAAATCATTGTTTCTAATTTTTTTTTTTTTCTGACAAGCCCCTATAGAGCCTGTTTTCATTACCAGAGGAAGTTGTTCAAATTCTCTGTCTTTTCATGGATCTTGTCACCTCCACTAATGCATGCTTTTATGCCTTCCTTCAAGCAGCTTTAAAGATTTTGATGTATTAAGTGTGGCTGTGCCCCTATGTGTATTGATTGCTGTCAGTTGAAAGGCAGAAGTGAAATCATGGAATTCTTTGGAAAAGAGGGATTCCAGTATTGGGAGTTAGCTTCCTCCAGCTTCTTGAAATCATTGTGTTTCTAGACGTTTTTCTAACGAGCCCCCAAATAGCCTCTTTTGATTACCAGAGGAAATTGTTCAGGTTCTCTGTCTTTCCATTGGTCTTGTGACCTCCACCAATTCATGCTTTGATGCCTTCCTTCATGCAAGTTTAAAGATTTTGACAGAGCAAGTATGGTTGTGTTCCTACATGTAGAAGACAAGGTGAGTAGGTGAGTTCTCTGATTCAAAATTAGCCTTCCCTCTAGCCTTGTGAGCAAGCCAAGAGGACCTCACATCTCACCAAAATGAGAAGGTTGATTTATTTGTGATTTTTTATCCAAGAAACGTAGGTATTTCCTCCTTTTGCTGTAACCTGGGCAAAAAAAAATCTCACCTACTCGAGTATGAATCAATGCAGTCATTTTAACCAGGGGCAAAATAAATAAATAAAAATAACAGTAAACTCAAAAAGCATTGATGAACTATATAGATTCTTACTGAAGCCTTTAATAGGAAATGCAGATAATTTACCTGACAAGCAACTCAAAAATGCTTTCTAGCCTTCCTCTCTAAATGTCTCACTTCCATAATTCTGCACACATGGGTGAATGCAACCTCTTTTTTTTTTCCATGCCCACTGCTCAAATCTCTTTCCAGTTTCTGAAGTTTCTCTGTTTATTTTATCTGATTATATTTTGTTCAATTATACAAAGCAATAGAGTTCTATCTGTATGTTGGGGCCAAGAAAAAACTTCCCCTTCAGTTTCACTGAAGATTACTGACAAGAGACTGGTTAATAGGAGAAAAGGATACAAGATTATTTAATGAGTACATGGGCCCCTTCAGAAGGAAGACCCAAATATGGGGAAACTGTCAATTTTTAGGCTTAGGTTCAAAAAACTATGTACAGCCAAAAGAAATAGGATTCTACTAAAAGGGCCTGTTCTAAAGCTAATGGACTGAGTGGGGAAACCCAGCCAGGCCTGTTGGTCTAGATTCTCCTTGACCTCTCTGAGTGGCAATCCTTCATTCTGGGTATGTGGCAGGAAGGTCTCTGGGATAGGAGTGCTAGGACGCACAGTCAAAGAAGGTAGGTCAGGGAATTTTTTTTTATGGCCAGTTTTTACACAGAAAATTGGTGGGAATGTTAGAGTTATATTTTTAGATTTTATGGCTGGCTTTGGGGACAAGGTGTTTTGCTTTCTCTGATCTGGGGGAGGGGAGGGGAATATGGGTTCTTTTTTTTTATGTAGTGCCTCTGGGGAGAATGGGACTCAGTGACAGGAGGGAAGGTGACATAGTTTGGCTGTGCTGCCACCCAAATCTCATCTTGAATGGTAGTTCCCATAATTCCCACCTGTCATGGGAAGGACCAGGTGGGAGGTAATTGAATCATCTAGACAAGTCTTTACCATGCTATTCTTGTGAGAGTGAGTAAGTCTCAGGAGATCTGATCGTTTTATAAAGGGGAGTTCCACTACACACATTCTCTTGCCTACCACCATGTAAGATGTGCCTTTGCTCTTCCATTGCCTTCTGCCATGGTCGTGAGGACTCCCCAGCCCTGTGGAACTGTGAGTTCATTAAAGCTCTTTCCTTTATAAATTACCTAGTTTGGGGCATGTCTTTATTAGCAGTATGAGAACAGACTAATACAAGAGAAGGTCAGAAAAAAACTCTTGCCTCTGAGACGTATTCTGAGGCCCTCATTTTGGGACGCTTTTTTTCTGAGTCCTAGCCTGTGCTTCTCGAAATTTAATTTGTTTCTTATTATTCTTCTAAATTACACACAAAATGGCATTGAAATGAACAAAACTTTCATTCTTCATATGTACTTCAACAAGCCTCAACTTTTAGAACACCCTGCTGCTATGGAGACCGTGGTTTATTTATTAACATGGCTTTAATCTGCCCGGAAGGGTCAAAATAATAATAATCCTTAGCTTGATTTACATTGGAGCCTACATTAAGTTTCAAATGGTTTTATTTCAAGCTTTGTGAAGAGTGTTAGAACTTTTGTGGTCCCCAAGTATTGCCCATACAAGGAGGAGATTAGTGTAACCCAATTCATCCCATCACTGGGTTTGAACAAAACATTACTACAAACATAGTATTTGTGATAGTAGAACTCCATAAAAATTAAGTAAATGCAAGACATAAAATTATCAAATCCAATGGTAGTAAAGCCAAATCCATTCCATGATTTCAAGGGAGAGTGAAGACCAGGCTTATATTTCCAAATGAGTCCACAGATATTGTATATTATAGCAGAAATTGTTTCAGGTAGGATATCTATTATAGCATAGTTTTCTTACTGAAACCAGTATGATTCCCTAACCTGAATTATACCTTATAGATGTCTTGACCATAAGAAATGGTACTAACTATCCTCAAAAGTACACTTTAGCTTTCTGAAACATTTTAAAGCAACTCTATCATTTTGATGCTTGGAAAGCAATGCTGGAGTTTGAAAGGGTTCACATTATTCTGAACACTAAGGAAAAGTTTTCTCATGACTCCATGGCAAGTTTAATCCTCTGGTGTATGTCTAGGGTCACTTGTTAGCTTTAAATTTTATTTGCTCATGTTTTCTTTGAGCTGTATCCTTGGCATGATTAAGGATTTTGGGAACATTCATTTTTATGCAGTTTTTCTAATACAATAGTAATTAATGAAGAAACGTATATTTGTTTGTTTATTAGCTTGTTTTGACACTTATCTGGGAATTGGTTTCCTTTTTTAACAATGTAGTATTTAGATTCTCTTATTTCATTCGAGGGAATTTTCTTCTTAGGATAGGGTGACAAGGAAAATATCAGTAGTTTATAGATTTTTTAAATGAAGAAAACACTAGTTCTAATTAACAAGAAGAGGAAATAAGTAATCTTTTCATAGTTAATCCATCTTCCCACAGGAATGCAAAAGATGTAATGAATTAACTGATTTTAACTTGCAGTCTTCCATTTAATGCTGCAGGTGCACCAGAGTATATAAAATTTTCCACGTTCAACATAAAGAAGTAGAAGATATTGAATTTGAGAGGTTCTTGTTGTTATTTTTATTACTACTGCCTGAAGATGACATATATTAATGGAGGCTCCTTCGTAAGTGACAAATATGTTTATTATGAAAGGTAATGGGCAGACACTCATCACATAGTTTTACCAGAAATGAAGATTAAAATCTACATGGAGAAATAGTAGACATTATTATCAATGTGAACATTCATATGAAAAATTAATTGCAATGCCTTTATAATGAGTCCCACGGAAGTCTTTCCATGTTTCCTGAGTAGCATTCCCAGAGAATTTCAGCCCTGGTGGCCTGGTACTAACAATTCACTTGCAAGTGATACTGTGTTAACTGACCTGTACTCTGCAAAGATGTCTGGTGGCAGCACAACAGCACTGCAGAAATAAGAGGTTAAGGAATGTACATAAAATTAAACAAAATTGTAGGTGCTTCAAAAAATGAATGAGTCCTTGCATCACAGATGAATCCAATATTTCTGCATGTCTTGTTTCAAGAAGCATGAAGCAAAGTGGCAAAAAACTTGAATACACATTTCAGCAAAGAGGATATAATATCTAGATGTCCAATCAGCACTTGAAAAGATGTTCAACATCACTGATCCTGACCGTAATGCAAATCAAATCCACAGTGAGATGCCACTTTACACCCTGTTATCAAAACACATACATAGAAAATAACCAGTGTTTGTGAGGATCTAGATAAACTAGAACCATGTGCATTGCTGTAAGAAATGTAAAATTGATACAGACAGGAGGCAGGGAAATACTGGGTAGAAAAGGGTGGGTCCCACCCTCAAATCTGGAAACGCATGGCCCTAAATGGGAACAGTCATTCCTGTTTTTGCTCCCAAATATTGCATTTCCCAAGATCACTCAGGCCTACCATGCCCTTATTTTGTGCCCATATAAACCCCAAGCTCCATGAGCAGAGGAACAGAAGAGCAGCAGAACAGCACAGCAGCACAGCAGAGAAGGAGAGAAGAGAAGAGCAACTGAATGTCAAGAGGAAATGAACTGGGGACAGTCAGAGAGGAGACTGGCCACCAGACAGCAGAACTCCAGGAGATGTTCATCCTCCCACTCCATCCCCTTTCCAGCTACCCATGCATCCTGCTAAAAGCCACCTCTATCACTGAATAAAATCCCTGCATTTACCATCCTTTAACCACATTATTCCTGGATGCTAGACAAGGACTCGGATACCAAGATGGCAGGATGTAAAAGGCTGCCAGCTCAGGCTGGTTTAACACTTAGCTATCCATAGAAGGCAACTGCTAAAAGAGCATTAATTATAACACACCCTTAGATGCTACTGTGGAGCTTGAGCCCAAATATGCTCACTCCAGCTCCTGCACCTACCCATCTGTGTGCTTCCACTCCTGGAATCTAGGTTTAGCTGTTTCTTGGAGATTTTGTTTCTTTAGGAAGGCTCCTGTTTCACATAAAATATGTGTTGAGTAAATGTGTGTCCTTTCCTCTTATTAATCTTTATTTGTTAGAGCGGTTGTAACCACCCAATGGGTTCACGTTGCCTGCTGCTTAGACAGAGATGATTTATCAAGACAGGGGAACCGCAATAGAGAAAGAGTTATTTATACAGAGCTGGCTGTGAAGGAGACTAGAGTTAGCTTTATTACTACTATAATTAGTCTCCCTGATAATTTGGGGAGACTTTTAAGAATAATTTGGGGAGAATTTTAAGAATAATTTGGTGGGTAGGGGGCCAGTGAGTTGGCAGTGGTGACTGGTTGGATCAGAGATGAAATCATGGGGAGTTGAAACTGTCTTCTTGAGCTGAGTCAGTTCCTGGGTGGTGGCCACAAGATCAGTTGAGCCAATTTACTGGTCTGAAAGGTGGCAGCTGACCCATTGAGTGCAGGTTCGGCAAAACATCTCAAGTACTAATCTTAGGTTGGACAATAATGATGTTATCCCCAGGAGCACTTTGGGGAGGTTAGAATCTTGTATCCTCCAGGTAGGGCGCGGTGGCTCATGCCTGTAATCCAAGCACTTTGGGAGGCTGTGGTGTTTGGTATTCTGATCTTGTGATAATTTGATGAGAGTGATGGTTTCCAACTTCATCCATGTCTCTGCAAAGGACATGAACTCATCCTTTTCTATGGCTGCATAGTATTCTTATCACTGATGGACATTTGGGTTGGTTCCAAGTCTTTGCTATTGCGAACAGTACCACAATAAATATACATGTCCATGTGTCTTTATCGTAGAATGATTTATAATCCTTTGGGTATATACCCAGTAATGGGATTGCTGGGTCAAATGGTATTTCTAGTTCTAGATCCTTGAGGAATCGCCACACTGTCTTCCACGATGGTTGAACTAACTTACACTCCCACCAACAGTGTAAAAGTGTTCCTATATTTCCACAACCTCTCCAGCATCTGTTGTTTCCTGACTTTTTAATGATCATCATTGTAACTGGCGTGAGATGGTATCTCATTGTGGTTTTCATTTGCATTTCTCTACTGATGAGTGATGATTAACATTTTTTCATATGTCTGTTGGCTGCATAAATGTCTTGGTTTGAGAAGTGTCTGTTCATATCCTTACCCATTTTTTAAGTAATTACAGGGCTAAAAAGTCAAGAAAAAAACAGATATTCATTATCACCATTATTATTTGACAGCATTTTGCAATTTTATCCCCAAACAAAATTTTTCTCAATCCAGGTCAGGCCTGATGGCTCCATACCTGTAATCCCAGCATTTTGAGAGCCCAAGGTAGGAGGATCGCCTGAGCCCAGGAGTTTAAGAACCGACTGAGCAATATGGTAAGATCCATATCTACTGACAAATATAATAAAATAGAAGAAATATCCCCATCTCTAAATCTATTATGATTGAAAAAACATGATTGACAATGATAAAGCTGACCAACTTGCTTATTCAAAACAAGGCATATGAGTTTACCTAGAAATTTCTCTCTGGATCAAAAGAACAAAAAGCAATATGCCCAGTGAAGAGTGATGATTTTCTTCTAAAATATCAGTGAGTCATGCATACTATAAAAGAAGTCTCAGAATCCCCTTTTCATAGTAGTTCTATGTTGTAGAAGTAAAATATGGAGTTATCATTTAGCCTGTGTTCCCTTGGACTGCACTGTGGTACTGATGGAGAAAGACTGGGAAGATTCCCTTTATAGCATCAGCCTAAGCATTCTTCCCTGCTCAGGGCTATCTACAACTTCTTTCTTCTTCAACAGAAAGGATAGCTTTTTCAACTTCAGTTGGAAGAAAAGAGTCAAGATAAGTGAGGCTAAGAAGAACAAGCTGTAACAATAAGCCCCTGCACCTCTTGACTTATGTAATCCACCAAAAGGAGGAGGTACAGAGAGCAAGTAGAGGTAAACTTGAATAATGAGGCTTTCAAGATTCAGGAGGATTAACAAAACAGCATTCAGAATTTCTTTGAGTTCCATGCTACTTCTAACCTGTTATTTCCTTGGTCTACACAGTTACAGAACAAATTATGTTTCATATATGTAAAAAGTGTGCATCTCTTTGTTTTTCTCTGTATCTCTCTGTTCTTCTCTCCTTTGGAGAGGGGAGATTTTGGCCTGAAAACAAATTAAAGATGTGAAGTCTAAATGGATTATTTCTTTAAAGTTCAGTGAAGACTGAGAAAGCAATTTTTTAATTCTACAAATTCAAGATAGTAAATAAAATCAGTATAATAAGAACACATTGCACTGGCAGTTACAGAAAAAAAAATCCAAGGTTTTGTTTGTTTGCTTTTATGTTTTTTAACTCTATTTCTTATTGGGTAAGTTCTTAACTTTGCAGACACTCATGATAATAAGTGTCACTGTATTCATTGAGAGTCCTGTTGCAAACATTCTAAATATATTTTTACATATATAGGTATGAAAGTATATTGTGAAGAGCTGATGTTTTGGAATTAGATAGACAGATTGTTAGATCAAAGATGGATAGATAGATAGATAGATAATTGACAGGATAGAGAGATGATTAATATAGATGTTAGATAATAGATGAATGATAAAGATAGGTGATAGAGATACATGATTCCTAGATGGATGACAGTGATAGGTGATTGATAAGAGACAGATGATAAATAGAGATAGATGATTGACAGAGAGATATAGAAGGTAGATAGTTAACAGGTGATAGATATAGATGATTGATATAAATGATAGATAAAAAGATGATGATACATAATAGATACATACATACATGCATGCATATATACATGCATACATAGTGAAGGGGATTAGAATATGCTATCCGAAATGTGCCATTTTGGCATAAGGATTATTTTTAGCTGAATGTACCTGATAAGCAACAGGTACAGAAAGAACTCCTGCTCTCCTTCTTAAAATCATGACATAAATTTCACTTTATAAAGTTAATGTAAATTTATATTTGTAAAGGGGTTTCTCTTCCCTATAAGTGGTTTATTAAAGTATAATAAACTGTACCAAACAATTCCTAACTACCATATATTTCTTCATCACATTCCTACAATTTGTTGCTACAAGAAGCCCAAATCCCCCCCTAACTTTTCTTTGTCTGGTCATTTCTCCACAATTCATCATCTCTTTTGAAAGTGGTAGATAAGCCCTGGGGTCTAACTGCCTCTTTCAGTTTTTAACCTCTTTTCTGTGGGGTCCCCATGCACATAAAAATGTCAGTATTAATAAAGAAACATATGTCTTTTAAAATCTATATTTTGTCTATTTAGATCACAGGCCCTGTCGCAGAACTGAAGAGATAGATTAAAAGTCTTTTTTCCTCCCTTACCACAGATAGGTAAGACAGATAGACAGAACAACAAGTTAGAAACAAAGAAGGATAGATACCTGATAGATTAGATAGATAGATACATAGATACATAGATAGATAGATAGATAGATAGATAGATAGATAGATAGATAGATAGGGGAGAACAGTTGGATGGATGGATGGATGATTAGGCAGATAGATAGATATGCAAAGAAAGGTGATAAGTAAAAAGATGACAAGTTCTGTCTTCTCCAGAATGTTATTTAGAGGACTAAATAGGATAATCTATATCAATACCTATTATCATCTGCTGTATAACGTATGTATTTTATATATAAATAAAATTTACTATTTTTTATGTTCTTCTAGATTTTTTTTCCTGACTGAACATCTTCACTTACTGAAACATTTTCTTTTTTAACAATAAAAGTGAATTCTGTAGTGAAATTCACTACACGAAATGCAGTGAAAAAGCACTGGAAAGTAAGCTCATTTAAAAATGGTTTTTGATACTCATCTATAAATGTAATGGTGGAGGAGCAGCTTTGAATTCCCCATAACTCTTATTAACAAAGTTGCCTTCTTCGTGGTCTGTAGTCTGCTCTTCCGCCTATAGAGTTCAGATTCCAATCGCTATCACCTTTAAGAATACTGTAACTAACCTGCACAATGTGCACATGTACCCTAAAACTTAAAATATAATAATTTAAAAAAAAAAAAGAATACTGGGCCGGGCGCGGTGGCTCACTTGTAATCCCAGAACTTTGGGAGGCCGAGGTGGGTGGATCACGAGGTCAGGAGATAGAGACCATCCTGGCTAACATGGTGAAACCCCGGCGCTACTAAAAATACAAAAAATTAGCCGGGCGTGGTGGCGGGCGCCTGTAGTCCCAGCTACTCGGGAGGCTGAGGCAGGAGAATGGCGTGAACCCGGGAGGCGGAGCTTGCAGTGAGCAGAGATCGCGCCACTGCACTCCAGCCTGGGCGACAGAGTGAGACTCCATCTAAAAAAAAAAGAAAAAGAATACTCTCAGTTCAACTAATCAGCCATCTCTAAGAACCCTCATGGCAAGCACTGCTGGGGTAAAAACAGGCACTAAACTTATTTGTTATTACCACCATCAGGATAAAATCCAAAAAATGAGTCCCCAGAGTTGGGCGTGTTGGCTCGAGCCTGTAATCCCAACATTTTGGGAGGCTGAGGCAGGTGGGTCGCTTGAATTTAAGAGTTGGAGACCAGTCTGGGAAAGACTCCATCTCTACAAAAAATTCAAAAATTAGCCAGGCATGGTGGTGTGTTCCTGTAGTCTCAGCTACTTGGGAAGCTCAGGTGGGAATATGGCATGAGCCCAGGAGGTTAAAGTTTCAATGAGCTATGATCACACAAATGCACTGCAGACTGGCTGACAGAGTGAGATCTTGACTCAAAAAAAAAAAAAAAAAAAAAAAGAAAAGAAAAAAAAGAAGCGGTGGGCAGGGCAGAAAAGTGTGGCTTGGACCACATGTTAAAATATCTGGTCCCTAGACTCTGGTTCTCTTTTGGTTTCACCATGAACTAGCAATTACTCTGGGAAAATCTCTTATACAAACTTTGTATCTCAGTCTTCTCTGTACCAAATCGTGTTAACTTGCCCCCACTGTTATTGGGGACAGAATAAACATTAAGAAATTAAATTACAGCATGTTAAGTTTTCTAAAAGCAAGAGAGATGGAACATCAGCCTGAGGTTATATAGTGGCTCCCTATTCCTGGCTGCCTGTGTTCTATCCCAGATTACCGTTATGCACCAACTCTGGTAATTCCATCTGTTGTGCCATGCAAGGGCCACTGCAACGATGGGTTCACCCATGCTAAATTGGGCCAGTGAGTGGCAAAAAGACATTTACAGGATGTTCCTGAGAAACAAGCCAGTCATTCTCCCTTCATCAAGGTGCAAACGAGGAAGCTTCGGTTGCTGTCAGCAACTGCCTGTAGCTATGATGACACTGATGCCACAAAAGGCAATGTGAGGGGACAGCTGAGTTATTGAAACAAGCTTTTGTGAATTCCGCTTTCCACCTGGATTTAATGGTTTGAGTATGGCTGTCTGTGCTTTGTAGCCTATTGCCTCTCTATGGAGTTTATTATTAAGGTATCTTTACATATTGGCTGAGCATGGTGGCTCACAACTGTAATGCCAGCATTTTGGGAGGCCCAGTCAGAGAGATCACTTGAGGTCAGGAGACTGACACTAGCCTGGCCAACATGGTGAATCCCTGTCTCTACTAAAAATACAAAAATTAGCTGAGTGTGGTGGCATGCACCTGTAATTCCAGCTACTTGGGAGGCTGAAGCATGAGAATCCCTTGAACCCAGGACATAGAGGTTGCAGTGAGCCAAGATTGTGACACTGCATTCCAGCCTGGTGACAGAGTGAGACTCCCTCTTAAAAAAAAAAAAAAAAAAAAAAGGTAAGTATCTTCACTTATTAAGCATCTGCTGCAGGACTAGAACTGAAGAGTAAAATCCATGCACAAAGCACAGTCTCTCCTCTGTGAGAGACTTTCTAAGTTTGTAAATTGATCATCAGAAAATTCCCTCCTTTGCAATTCAAACATCTCACCAAAGAGGTGAATTATTTTTCTTCTTTATTTAACAGAAATTGTACAAATTATTTTGTGTCTAATAGTTAACTGTCAAATACCTAAGTTGGTTTTATAAGTATCTTTTCTGAAAATATTTTGATTTGTGTGTTTACTTTTTCTTTCATCTCAAGACAAGCCCACAAAGAATAAGATTTAAAAGTGTCAATCTGTATAAATGTTTGCACTATAGTCTTAATGAAATAAACAAATTATAAGTATAGGATAATCCCATGCTTTAAATATATGTGTCATGTATACAGCTATGAACTTGTTTTGTGCAAGTATATAAATTTGGTCTTAATTGCTTAGAAACTGAGATGTTGCAGGATTATTTGGCAATGAAATTGGGGATGTTGTACAAATCACTTGATTCTTTTTTTCCATAGAAATGAATCTAACATTTGAAATAGCTTCCATGAAATTCTTACGCCATATCCAGAAAAAAAAATTAAAAGTACTGAGAAAATGCAATTACTTTTTTCTGTACAAACAGACATAATTAATAATGTGAATATAATGCCAAATTAACAAATTCAAATAATTTTTCATTCACCTACTTCTTTAGAGAATCATTGCTTTTGTGCCTCTGCATTATAACTAAAAATAAACAATAGTTACCTAATTGTCTCTTGTTATGTTTATCTGTTTTTTATATTAGCAGTCTCTGAGATTCTCTCTAAAATCACTAACATATCAAGAACCTTCAGTAGAGAAATGAGTGCTCATTAGAAATATATTGACTGCTTAGCTCTGATCATAATGCATTCAATTCTACAGATGTTACAAATTCCATAGAGTAGATATTATGGATTAGTCAGAAGGAGCCTGTCGTTTTTGTAAATACGTATAATTTTTGTGACTAATCTAATTTGAGAACATTTCTGAAGTAAGCATACTAAAATAAAGCATATTCCATAACTAATTGATTTAGATCAAGGAGTGGAAACTGTCATCCCCATCATTCCCCCTCTCTTAGCAAATACTTTATAATATCAATCCTATAAAAAGCACTGCAAAAAAGTTTCCATTAACATTTAGCAATTAGTCATATTTGCAAACATATTCTCTGTTTCATTTGGATTTACAGATTTCTCATTGATTTTATTTATTTATTTTTATTTTTTGACACAGGTTCTCACTCTGTCACCTAGTCTGGAGTGCCCTCATACAATCATGACTTATAATAGCTTCAGTCTTCGGGATTCAAGCAATCCTTCTGCCTCAGCCTACCAAGCATCAGGGAACACAGCTGAATGCCACCACGTCTGGCCAATTTTTGTATTTTTTATTTAGATGGGGTCCCATATTGCCCAGGCTGGTCTTATACTCCTGATATCAAGCAATTATCCTACTTTGGCCTCCTAGACAGCTGGGATTATGGGTGCGAGCCACCGTGCCTGGCCCACTTTGTTTTAAATAGCATTAGTTTATCTCTTGGTAGATATCAAGATTAATTAAATGCTTTTTGCTTATTCTACAATTAGAATTCAGAACACATTCCTTGTCTAACCAGTAGTTCTCACCTTAGAGCACATCAGAATTGTCTGAGGAGTATTTAAAAATATGGCTGGGGTCATTCCCACATAATTTAATTCTATCACTGATGCTTCAATATGACTTGCTTGTTGACACATTTGTTTTTCTCCCTCAGTAATATGGACATTTATTCTGCAAATATCACTACATGGCTTGCATCTGCTTGCTTTCTTATTTACTAGCCATTCAGTAACTCAGTTTTCTGCTTCATTTTTCTGAAGGATACTTCATTAAGCAATATATACTCTGCTATTCAAAAATTATTGACAAATACAACATAGGAAGCACCAGAGGCTCTCACTGAACCTTTCATGTGGGAGGCATTTTGAACATACAGAAAGAGTTTTAATCCAAACCATGCTCTGCCTATATTAGCAAATGTGCACTTCACTATTTTCCAAACTAGAAGCATGTGTAACAAATGTGTTACAGAATGATGAAGGTATAAAAGGAAGGGTGGATTAGTCAGGGTTTTCCAAAGAGACATAACCAATAGGATAGATGGTTGGAGAGAAAAAGAGAGAGATATTATAAGATAATAGTTGCATAGATAGATTAGATATATGAAGTAGTGAGATGAGATAGATAGATGATAGCTAGATAGATAGATATTTAGATAGACGGACAGATAGATGATAGAAACAGATGAGATAGAAGGATAGATGAAATAGATGAGAGAGACATAGATAAATGAGAGATGAGGTACATAGATTAGACAGATAGATAGATAGATAGATAGATAGATAGATAGATAGATAGATACACAGATATCTTATCTTATAAGATAGGATGGGGTGGATGTGTAGGTAGATAGATTAGATAGGTGCACACCTAGATAGATTGGATAGGTAGGTAGGCAGATAGGATAGATAGATGAGATAGAGGGATGAATGAGATAGGTAAATCAATAAGATAGAGAGATGACATAGATAGATGATAGATTAAATATAGATAGATAGATAGATAGATAGATAGATAGATAGATAGGTACATGTAGAGGTAGAGATGTAGAAGGGGAATTCACATTTAAGTCAAGGACTTAGATACATTTTATTCATAAGTTTTCCTTATTTTCTCAAATCTAAGGCACAACCAGAGAAACTGGACATTTTTAAAAGCTAAGTTTGGGCCAGGCATGGTGGCTTATGCCTGTAATCCCAGGATTTTGGGAGGCCCAGGTGAGCAGATCACTTGAGGTCAGGAGTTGGAGGCCAGCCAGACCAACGTGGTGAAACGCCATCTCTACTACAAATACAAAAATTAGCTGGGTGTGGTGGGTGTGGGCCTATAACCCCAGCTACTTGGGAGGCTGAGGCAGGAGAATCACTTGAACTGTGGGGGTGAAGGCTGCAGTGAGTCAAGGTTGCACCACTGCATTCCAGCCTAGGCAACAGAGTGAGGCTCTGTCCAAAAACAACAACAATAAAAACAAACAAACAAAAGCTGAATTTGGGAGCCTAGCACATACTAAATATAAAATTGTCTAATCACTCCCAATCTTCAGTTCACATTAATGATACAATCATCCATGTTATCTGACGAATTCAAGAGGAACTCAGCTGCAGCTGGAAGTAGGTAACACCCTGAAATAAGGGCAGTTGACTTTGACCCTTGCATTAAACCACTGCTTGTAAATTCACTGTAAACTATAAAACTGTAGCTCAGGAACACTTTGCTACCCTTCAACTCCATTCCCAGAGTAAAACAGAGGTGAGTCTTGAAAGCAAGCCTCATTCACTCTTCATGGACTGCATTGCTGTGACCTCTCAGGACTCACATGCCTTAAGTCACTCACCTGTTCCCATCAGTCTAGACCCAGCAGCAATGGCTGGCATCAAATGTTCAAGGAGCAACACTCTGACACTGTCATTTTTATTAAATGCAACAAAATGGACTATTAACACCATCTGTTCGTTGTGGCAGATTTCAGACATGCCATTCCAAATAGTCTAGGAGCTGCTGATGCTGGATTTTGCAGAATAAAATCACCTTCTACTCACTCAAGCAAACAGTAGAAGCACAAAACCACTTGCCAAAACTCTGGGGTTTTTCTGTGTGTTTGTTTCACTTGTAACTATTTTTAATTATCCAATTTCCACTGAAGACATAAGAAACACTGTGTATGTCCCAGATTTCCCCCATGGCTGGAGGTTGTGACACACCCAAAGCATCATTGTCATAAATCTGTGTACTTTACACAGTTCATCAGTTGAAGACCAGGTCCCATGGAGAAAGGGGAAAAAAAAGTGTGGAGCTGCACTGATCACGTAAGTAAATTCCCTTTTGTGGAAATGTCCCAACTGTGAGGAAATATCACTGAGAATGTCAGGGACAAAAGAAAACATCCCCTTCGCCCTCTGAAGTTTCACTGAAAATCACTGACAAGAGGCAGATTAATAGGAGAAATGGCGCAAACATTTATTTTATAACATTTTTATGTGACATGGGAGCCTTCAGACTGAAGACCCAAAGATACGAGGGAAACTGTGCATTGTTATGCTTAGGTTCAAGCAGGTATGAACAAAATCCATGTAGAAATAGCATTGGAGGAAAAGGGCCTGATCTAAAGCAAATGGACTGAGGGTGGAAACCCCGCCAGGCCTGTCTGTGTAGATTCTTCTTGCCTCTCTCTCTGAGCAGCGCTCCTTCCTTCCGGGTGTGCTGCGAGACCCTCTCTGGAATGCGGGTCTTAGGATCTACAGTCAAACCAGGTAGATCAGAGGATTTCTTTACGGCCAGTTTTGACACTGAGAGGTGATGGAGGGTAAGTTAGAGTCCTATTTTAGATTTTATGTCTGGCTTTGGGGAAAAAGAGGCTCTGGTTTCTATGAACCACCTTGGGGAGGAAAAATTCTAGTTTTTATGAGGCCTGGAGGGAGAATAGAACTGAGAGACAGGAGGGCAGGAGAACGTGAGAAAGAAACTTTTGCTCCCGAGGCTTCTTCTGAGGCCTTCATTTTGGGATAGTGTTCTCTGAGCACAACATTAACTAAGGAAGAGATTTAGGCTTTGTCCCTGTAGTAAACGCTAGTCCATGTGGGGCTGCACAAAGCCTTCAGTGTCAAATTCACCATACATCAGGCCACAATTTGGGTTGGAGTTGACTCATCTCTAAACTGTTCTCCACATCCACAAAATAACTGCATGCCACCTATTGGTGCAGGACTAGGGAGCCAAATTCAGAATGCAGAACCCTCAAGGAGCTTTTCATTGTATTGTATTGCATTGCATTGCATTGCATTGCATTGCATTGCATTGCATTGCATTGCATTGCATTGCATTGTATTGTATTGCATTGTATTTATTATGACAGAATGTGTTTCTGTCACCCAGGCTGGAGTGCAGTGGTGTGAACTTGGCTCACTGGGCAACTTCTGCCTGCCAGGTTCAACTGATTCTCCAGCCTCAGACTCCAGAGCAGCTGGGATTACAGGTGCTCACCACCACGCCCAGCTAATTTTTGTATTTGTATATTTGTGGACCTAAATAGATACAAATATAGATACATGGATACATTGATAAATGAAGATGATAGAAGATAGATAGATAGATAGATAGATAGATAGATAGATAGATAGATAGACAGATAGATGGATGATAGGTATAGGTAGAGCTATAGATGTAGACATATAGAAAAAGATGTATCTTATCTATTGGATATATTTTGTTTACTCATACATTGCAAATGATTCTTCAAAACAACCTTCCTTTATTCCTCCCTTTAACACATCATTGTCACCACTCAGAGCATATATGTCCTATATTGTCTGCCTGTTCCAGTTAATCTAGACCCAATAGGATATGTTACATATATTGCACAGGAGATATATAGATATATATATAGATATAGATGTAGATATATAGATATATATATAGATATAGATGTAGATATAGATATATATATAGATATAGATGTAGATATAGATATATATAGATATAGATGTAGATATAGATATATACACACAGGTGTGTATATTTTATAAGGACATATATCCTTATATATAAAAATATATACATATAAAAATATATAGAATATATATACAAGCATATATTTTTATAAAAATGTTTTTTTACCAAAAAGTAGTTCATACTGATCATGTTTTAATTTTTTAAACCAATATCCCTTACCCATATAATTTTTTCATTTAATGACAGATCATGATCATTTTTTCATCCCAGTAAATACTTGTATATTGTTTTGTAGACCCAATGGCATTCCAATGTGTGGCTATGCATTTATTATTTAATCATCCATGCTTTGGATACTTCTTAGCTTTGCTAAATGGCCTTAATATAATAAAATTGTCCACTTGACCTCAACCCCAAAATGGTGTCAAGTAACAGTAACAATTTTCTCCCTGATAGAGAAAAAGATGCATAGAGGAAATGCAACATTTATTAGTTAGACTAAGCTCAGATACTGTCAAGTCATGGCTAATGATACATGCCTGTATATTGCCTTACTCATGGAACATATTCAGTAAATGATGTCTTAATCAATGAAACTATGTAATTGCAGATAACTAGAGTTTTTAAAGAGGCTAAACAGGCAAAGATTTGTAAGAGGCTGAATAAACAGCTCATAATATGAGTTATGCATCAGTTGAGACAGACAGAGGACTCAGTATGAAGGAGTTCAAAATGCTGGTATTATTCCTGGTGAATCAAATACTGGAGGTCATGATTAGGTATGTAGCAGCACTGGGGTTCTCATGATAGTGACCAAGAGGTTGGTAGGCTTACCCTCAAAGCTGCAAGAAGCATTGAGCCACCCATTGCCCTATCTTTCATGGCAAACATCACATCTGAAATGGGGTGTGGGACAACTGGGTTGAGCTTCCCAAGGCAGGGAACCAGGTGAGAGGTTGCGGGACAGG
Organism: Homo sapiens; assembly: GCF_000001405.40. NCBI lineage: Eukaryota > Metazoa > Chordata > Mammalia > Primates > Hominidae > Homo > Homo sapiens. The sequence continues at coordinate 15,196,970 of NC_000024.10, forward strand.
GACTAGTGAAATAGTTCCCAGTAGAAACACAAGGCATGTCACAGAAGGGCTCCTACGAAACTAGATTATGTTTTTGATTCTCTCTAATATCTATTAATCATCAAAATAAAGGACAGGCTTAGAGGTTCTTTCAAAACAATAAATACATACTTGTGAGCCTAAATGATTATGTTAGCTAAAAAAAAAAAGTATATATGTAAGTGTCTCCAATTTGTTTCCATAGCTGTCTTCACCTTTTCTGGGAAAATACCCTTATTTCAGGGGGAAGCATTATATATAAGCTGGTGGAATGGCTCATGGCTGAACTTACCTAGAATGCTAAATCATCATCTTAAATGCAAAGATAATATGTCAGCAGAATTCATATCTGGGCTGATTATTTACTTAAATGCTGAAAAAAAGTAAAATAAACTGCTTGAAGAAAAAATATTCATGGTAGACAGAAATGTGCAGAGGCTGGAACTGACAGCTGCAATAAATGGCTTGGTGGGCCCTGATAGTAAATGCAATTAGAATCCAACTCTCTAATTAGACATTCTGAAAATAACAAATATGCCTGTTGAGAGGAAAGTCCAGAAGTAGATAAACTGAGATGTGAACCATGCGCTGATGGGATTACACATGACCTTTTTTCCTTCTTTACCAAGTCCCCAATTTCTAAAATTTGCTTTTCCTTTAAATACATTTCTATGGTTTTGTTTGTTTGTTTGTTTGTTTTTGAGATAGGATCTTACTGTGTTGCCCAGGCTGGAGTGAAGTGGTGCAATCGTAGCTCACTGCAACTTCAAAGTCCTGTGTTCCAGTGACTCTCAATCTCAGCCTTCTGAATAACTGAAAGTAGAGGAAAACACCAACATGCCTAATTAATTTTTTGCAGAGCTAGAGTGATGCTATGTTGTCCAGGCTGGTCTTGAACTTCTGGTCTCAAATGATCCTCCCACCTCAGCCACCCAAGTAGCTGGGACCACAGGCATAAGCCACCACGCTCAGCTAATTTAAAAAAATTTGGTAGAGACAGGGTCTTTTCATGTTGTGCAGGCTGGTCTTGAACTCCTGGCCTCCAGTGATCCTCCTACCTTGACTTCCCAGAGTGCTGTGTCCATAGGCATGAGCCACGGTACCTGGCCAGAATATATTAAACCTTATAATCAGTGGAAGTATATGTTACTTCCAGAAGAGGAGTGACTGATTCATCCTCACCTTCAGTAGGGGAGAATGTTAGTACTGTGCTATTGGCTCATTTTTAACCATTTTTAGGACTCCCATCTTGGCTTCAATATGTTTCCAGCAAGCACCTGGGGCACTTTATCAGATTCACTTGGGGTGGCGGAATGATTGCACCTTTATGCACAGTGAGCTGCAAGTGTCTGGGATTTTGCATCTCCCTTCCCTTCCCCAGTGGTTGACAGCTATGGGGCATCAAAACTTGCTTCTCTGCATTGGAACAACACTGAGTGAATTTACAAAATGAGGCTCCTCTGTTCTGTCAGTGCCTGATGCCTGACTTTACACCTATTGGTGTAAAGGTGGTTACTTTCCCTTCTGTCCTCCTTCCTGAACTTCTGACCACACTCCCCCTGGAAGCATTTCATAGTGAACACCTCTGGTCCCTGCTCCCTTGTGCTCAAAGCCTACATAATCCCCTCCCCTTCAGCAGGAACGAGACCTGTGACTTGCTTCTAGCCAACAGAACGTGGGCAAGGCAAAGGACTTTTGCAGATGTCAGTAAGGTTACAAATTAGTTGACTTTGAGTTCTTTAAAAGGGAGAATCTCTTCTGTGGGCCAGACTTGATTAGGCAAGTAGCAGTAAAAGGCAGATGTGTTCTTACCTAAGGTCAAATATTTTCTCTCTAGTTAATTTACATTCCCATCAACAGCATAAAATTGTTCCCTTTTCTCCACATGCTCAACAACATCTATTGCTTTCTGACGTTTTACTAGTAGCCATTCAGACTGATGTGAGACAGTATCTCATAGAGGTTTTAATTTGCATTTCTCTGCTATGATTAGTGATGTTAAGCATTTTTTTACATGTTTGTCATTTCTATATCTTCTTCTGAGAAATGTTTTTCATGCCCACTTTTTAATGTTTTTTTTTTTTTCTTACTGAGTTATTTGAGTTTCTCATAGAGTCTGGATATTAGCACTGTGTCAGATATATAGTTTTGCAAATATTTTTACCCACCTTTTAGGCTGTGTGTTTACTCTGTTGATTTTATGGAAAACAATATGGAGATTTCTCAAAGAACTAAAAATAGAACTCCCATTAGATCCAACAATCCTGCTACAGGGTATATATTCAAAGGAATAAAAATAACTACATCAAAACGATGCCTGTTCTTATATGTTCACTGCAGCACTCTTCACAATAGCAAAGATATAGAATCAATTTAAGTGTCCGTCAACAAAGGACTGAAGAAAGAAAATCTGTTGTACATATTCCATGCAATACTTACTACTTAGCCATCAAAAAGAATACAATTATGGTTATGTATTTTGCAGCAAGACAGATGGAACTGGGGGCCAATATCTTTAGTGATACCATTCAAAAACAGAAAGTCAAATATTGAACAATATCACTTTTAAGTGGGAGCTAAATAATGTGTACACTTGGACATAGAGAGTGGAATAATAGACACTAGAGACTAGGAAAGGTGGAAAGGTGGGAGAAAAGTGAGGGATACAAAATTACTTAATGGGTAAAATGTACACTATTCAGGTGATATCTACACTAAAAGCCCAAACTTCTCCATGGAATTTATACATGTAAAAAATCTGCACTTGCGGGCCAGGCATGGTGGATTATGCCTGTAATCCCAACACTTTGAAAGAGCCCAGGAGTTGAAGTCCATCTTGGACAACATAGCAAGACCCCCATCTAAAAAAAAAAATAAAAACCTGATCGGTCTGGAAAGACAGATTCTCCATTACTTGAGGACACTGGGTATTTACAGGGAGGATGAAAGAGTAAGATGTGTCTTCAATTGTATATGCTATATTTTATTTCTGGGGAATATCGGAGCTTCAGTAAATATGGCAAAAATGCTAGCATTTGTAAAACATGAGGGTTGGATTTATGAATGCTCCCTAGATAACTCAAAAAGATTTGTAATATAAGAAGCTTCGTTGACTGGGTTCAGCAAAATATGTTGATGGAATATTTAGTTGAAAATTGGAAAAAAAAATCTGTTTCTGTTTTATTCCAAGATTAGCCTTATTTTATCTTGTAATTTAATCTTTTTCCCTTATATTTTATTTCCATTAAACTACACTGTCTAAGACAGCAATTCCAAATAAAAGCAACCTTGCATATAACGTAATTTAATGTGGAATAATGTCAAAATTACAGCTAATGGTGAAGGTGGAAAAAAAAAAGGCCCATTTCAGAATTTCTTCCAAAAAGTCATTGCCTGATTTATAGTATCTCAAAGAATAAAGTGAAGGAATTCAAACCTTGAAAGGTCAAGGAATAATAAAAACATCTCATTATGCATTTCCTAAAATAAGCAAACTTATACTTCATAAAACTTACAAATTCCTGCTGTTTGCAAATGCATGGTATATAGTTTTCATTTTTCTTTCCTATTCTTCATGACATTTTCATGATATTTGAAAAGAAAAACCAAATCATGAATTAGAAACCACTCTTCGAAGAAAAAAAAAAGAAGTAGGAAAAGGAGGGTAAGGGGAACAACAAATGTAGGAAAATTATGCCAGAATATGTTTATTGCAAGGTGAAGTGAAATTTGTGATTTCAGAACTTATCTTAAATGAGCTCCATGTGACATCCAGTTTTAATATTTTAGCAATTTTTGCATTAAGCAATGTTCTTAATTAAAGTAATAACTGCTCTTGTATGAAGGATTATTTAACCACATGGCTTTTTTTTTATGTCATTCACTTGAATCTTGGAGAAATATTTGCAAGAGTGAGGGTTCCCACCCATCATCCACCATGAGCTGCAGAGAAACACAGCTTATCAACATGGGTTGAAGCTTTACAGGGCCTTTTCACAAGTCTATTATAATCAACCCAAACCTGTGGTCCGACAATAAGGAGCTTAAGAGTGCTTGCACTTCTAAGAGAAATAAGGAGTTCTTTTTAAATAAACAAACTGGCAATGGAAGAAAAGGCAACTACTAACCACCATTTCTCTTAATTTTCATTGCATGCCCATGGTCTGTAAACACTTCCTCTTGGGTCCAGCATGGTTGGTCCCCAATGGCACAGCCATGGATGGTGGTAGAACTAGCACAGGTGTGTTTCCTCCCCAAGGATGCCACCAGGGGAGGGCCGAGAGAATGGAATTGATTCTCAGAGTATCATCCCTGAAGGATGGATGGGGAATTCCCAAGGTTATGATAAAGTGAAGGCCTGTATTGTATTATTGTATTGTACTGTACTGTACTGTACTGTACTGTACTGTATTGTATTGTATTGTATTGTATTGTATTGTATTGTATTGTATTGTATTGTATATATTTAGTGGATACAAGTGCAGTTATGTTGCATGGGTACATTTCATAGTGCTGAAGTTCGGGCTTTTAGCATATTCCTCACCTGAACAATGTACATTACACTCATTTCATAATTTCTCATCCTTCACCCCCTTCTCACTTTCCTATCCTTCCCAGTCTCCAATGTCTATTATTTCACACTCTATGTTCAGCTGTACACATTATTTAGTTCCCTCTTAGAAATGAGAAAATGTGGCATTTGACTTCCTGTTTCTAAGTTATTTCCCTTAAGATAATGCCCTCCAGGTCCATCTATGTTGCTGCAAGGGACATGATTTCATTCTTTTTTTATGACTGGGTAGTATTCCATGGTGTATATATACCACATTTTCTTTCTCTAATCATCCACTGACGGATACTTAGGTTGATTCCATATCTTTGTTATTGTGAATAGTGCATTGTTCAAAAGAAGACATACAAATGGCCAAAAAGCATATAAAAAATGCTCAACATCGCTAATCATCAGAGACACAAATTAAAACAATGATGAGATATCACGTTTCATCTGCAAACATGGCAATTTTCAAAAAGCCAAAAAGATTACAGAAGTTCGTGAGGATGCAGAGAAGAGGGAACTCTTACACACTGTTAGTGGGATTAGTACAACTTCTATGAAAAACAGTATGGAGATTTCCCAAAGAACTAAAAATAGAACTATCATTCAATCCAGCAATCCCACTGCTGGGTATATACCCAAAATAAAAGAAATCATTGCATCAAAAAGATACCTGCACTTGTATGCTGGTATTTTATAACCCTTCCTGTAGCTCCTGAACACACAAAGCAAGCAGAAACGTGTCCTCTTTTCCTCCCTTCTCAAATCTCTCACCTTTCAGAAGAGGTTTTATCTCTCATTGGCTTATTTCTCCTCCTACTTTACAGAAGTAGCACATTTGAACATAACTGGCCCTTCTTGGTCATGCTGAAGATGGCACATTATAACAACAATTAGGAATTAAAATGGGCATGGCCATGTGTCCCAACATGGCCTCTGGTACATATATAAACCATATACATACTACTGTGGTTACTAAAGGCTGGGAAGCATAGAGAGCAGGGGAGACTAGGGAGAGGTTGGTTAATGGATACAAACTTACTACCAAATGGAAGGAATAAGTTTTTGTGTGCTGTAGTATTATAGGGTGAACTATGATTATCAATAATTTAGAGTATATTTTCAGAAAGCTACACAAGAGGACTTTGAATGTTCCCAACCTAAAGAAATGATAAATGTTTGAGTTGATATATATGCTAATTAACTAGATTTGATCAGGACACATTGTAAACATGTATCAAAATATTACTCTGGGCTCTATAAATATGTACAATTATTATCTGTCAAGTAAAAACAAAAGGAAAAATATACATTCTTAAGCAAATCCTGGTATAATTTACATTTTCTTCTTATCAAGTTGAGATGGTTGTAAGGCACACAATTATAGGAATATCACACATATTTAAAACCAGCCAAGGGAGTTTTTTTAATATGTAAGGATGCTAAAAACATATCCTGGAAGCCTTCCTGGAAATACATAAACACTGGAGATGTGCTCCAATAAAATGAGAGCCCAATTAATTTAAGTTGATTCATTTAATCAATTAAACTATATTTAATAAGAGAATATTTGATTAAAATCAAGTTAAATTTTTTTACAACGTACTATGAAAGGCAGTAAAGCATGAGAGGAGAAGCAGTAAATAGAGGGTCTCTTTAACTATGTAATTAAGTCTAAACAATGCTGTGAAACATCATTGCAAAATGGGAAGTAAATGCTAAATTCTTGAAAGATCTTATACCAGTGTGATAAATTATAATTATGTAATTTTTTAAAGGCATATATATTTGAAAATTTTTTCTTAGGAAGCAGAAGAAATGATCTTAATACACAGATAAAATTTAATGGATGAAAAAGTGAAAAATATATTAAACTGATAGATTCAAATATAAATCTTTGACTCCATCTTAAAACTTCAAGAGAAAAAAAGGTTAAAAATAAAGATGGAGATAGAGAGACAGAGACAGAGAGATTGCTAAAGTAGAAAACCATAGAATTGATAAATGGGCTATAATTGTAGATAAGGATGACATAACAGAATCTTAAAAGTACGTAATATAACACAATCCTATTAAGTTTTAAAATCTGTATGAAATCCATGCTTAAAATATAAATTTATAAATTAAGAAAATTTAGACTAGCTAAAAAGACCAATTACCATGGAAGAAATTTAATGAGCTCTTAAGGTTCTTAACTTCAAAGAAGGCAAACTTCCCCTTTGAAGAATTTTGGAGAATTTACTTCTCAGCATTTTTTTCCCACTGGGGGTGGACTCTTGTCTTTTTGGATCCAGGTGGCTTAATGAGTCAGCCAGTCATATTTGAGGAGGAGGAACATGGTCACAGGTGGAGAAGAAATAATTTTAAAACCAAGTGTCTTATTCAGATGGCCAACCTATTTTTATATCCTGTGGCCAGTGGGTGTGACTGTCATTCCAGTATGCACACTAGGTATAGAATTATGGGGGGCTACCTGCTTCCCAGAGCTAAGCACCATCAGAGAGGTGGTGCAACAGTACAGGTGGCACAGGATGACACAGGTGGTCTTCACAACACATGGGAATTATAAGAACTAAAATTTGAGTTGAGATATGGGTGGGGACACAGCCAAACCATATCATTTGCCAAAGTTAAGGACATGTACCTAGGAGACAGTTCTTTCTCTGAAGGTGATTTTGAGGTCTTCAATATTTAAAGAAGAAAGTCAGTTTATTGGGAAGTACACAGTTCTCATGTGAGAAGGGGATGGGGAAATAGTCTTTCATGCCTTTTTCTGGCTCAGTGAATCTGCATTTTTAAATGAAATAACATAGACAATAGGGCAGAGGCAGCAGTGAGATTCGTCTTGGTGGGCAGAGGGATGACTTTGAGTTCTGTCTTGTCTCTGTGCACCTATGAAGATAAGCTATCAATTTACATTGCCATGGTGTACAGCAATATATCTGTTTTAGGGAAAAGGTCTTGCAGCCCACAAAGAATTTCCTTGTGGCTGAAATTTGTGGTAGGTGTGTAGATTTTTATCTTTGTAGCCTTCTTATTTAGGAACAAAATGGGAGGCAGGTAGTCATGACCCAGGTCTCAGCTTGACTTCTCCCTTCCGCTTAGTGAGTTTGGGGTCCCAAGATTTATTTTTCCTTTCACACACCACTGAGTGAGTTGGGTAAACAGAAAAGCTTTCTCAACAAACCAGGTGATAATTTTCAGTTGCCAAAAAAAGGGAATAGAATGTTCTAGAACTCCTTTTGGGTTTTGCATTTTAATGATGTGAAATTGTTTAGAGATTTTCCTAAAAACAGTTGCCCATGCATGCATGACATGATCTCATTGTCATAAAATAGGAGTTGCTTCCACAGATAGTTCTTTCAAACTCACTAATCATCAGGGGTTAAAACAAAAATGATGTTATTAGTTACTACCTGTGAATAAAAGTCATTGTTTTGGGCAGATGTCATGAAAAATTTAATCAGGCCATTTTTGATAACCTCTGACCACAGGCAAATTCATTTGCTTGCCAGGGAATACATTTTAGAGAGAAAACTTATGGCTTAAAAATCATGCTTCTATAATATGGCATTATAGAGATTTTTCCTACAGCCAGGTGGGTTACTAATAATCTTTGCCATGAAAATGTTCCAGATTATCTTGACAGTGCTCAGAAATGAAATGCAGAAATATAGGAGCAAAATTAATTTTCCCTCATAAGCTAGAGGGGGAATTTTTGTTGGTAATAAAACATCTAGCATTCTAAAGTCACCATTACTAAAGATATTGATGATCGTTTATTCATCCTTTTATCCACTCAGTAGATATTAATACTTTTGTTATTAGCGAGGTTATGTGTTAGCCTTCAGTACAGTTGCTATTAAAAAACACATCTAGCAGGGCGTGATGGCTCACACCTGTAATCTGAGCACTTTGTGAGGCTGAAGCAGGCAAATCATGAGGTCAAGAGCTTGAGACCATCCTGGCCAACATGGTGAAACCCCATCTCTACTAAAAATACAAAAATTAGCTGTGCATGGTGGCACAGGCCTGTAGTCCCAGCTACTCGGAAGGCTGAGGCAAGAGAATGGCTTGAACCTGAGAGGTGGAGGTTGCAGTGAGCAAAGGTTGGGCCACTGCACTCCAGCCTGGCATCAGAGTGAGACTCCATCTCCAAACAAAAACAAAAACAAAAAAACTCATTTAGGCCAGCTGTAGTGGCTCATATCTGTATTCCGAGCACTTTGGGAGGCTGAGGCAGGAAAATCACTTGAGTCCAAGTGTTTGAGATCAGACTGGGCAGCATAGCGAAACATCACACACACACACACACACACACACACACACACACACACACACACAAAGACAGACATTAGAATTGCACAATCCTAACATAGGAATCAATCACATCATACAACAGCAACATGTTTATGCTTATTTACTTTATCTTATTGGACAATTTTCCAGAAACTGATCGAAGCCCTTTATGATGTTAATACTATCCCCATTTCGCAGATGAGAAAACCAGGGCACAAAGGGATTATGTGACTCACCCAAAGTCACATAGGCAGTGAGATACAGGCTTAAACTTTTAATTCTGGAATACTTTTATGTTCACAAAATATTGAAAAGGCTATTAAAGAGAGCTCTTGGTTACCCCACATCCCTTTCCCTCCGTTAGCATCTTGGACTGCCATGGCACATTTGTTGCAACGAAGTCACCCATTACACTTAGTAAACTCCAGACATTATTCCAATGTCCTTAGATTTTCCCTGATGTCCCTTTTGTATTCCAGGATCGCATCCAGGATACCACGCTGCAGTGAGTCATCAAGTCTCCTTGGACTCCTCTGGCTGTGACAGTTTCTCAGAATTTCCTTGCTTTTTATGACCATGATGGTTCTGAGAAGAACTGCTTAGGTATTTTTTAGAATGCCCTGCAATTTGGGCTTGTCTGGCGCCTTTCTCATGATTAGACTAAGGTTAGGTGTTTGGGGGAGGAAGACCACAGAGGCAAAGTGCTGTGTTCCTCACATCACATTAAGGGTACAACTCTCAACACGACTTATGTGAAGGAAAATATCTTGGGTCCTTAAAATGACTACGCTAAAGGGAAAAGTCATCTGGGAACTGCTTAGGGCCAAACTGCCTCCCATTCTGTTCAAAGTCACCCCTGTGCTCTGGAGATAAATGCTTATTATTTGCCTCCTTTAGAGAGGCTATTCAGAAACTCAGAATAATGGAACCATTTGTTTGTTTTCTACCTACGACCTGGGAGCCCTCTACCCACTTTGGGCCTTCCCACCTTTCCAGACCGAACCAACGTTCATCTTATATATATTGATTGATGTCTCCTGTCTCCTTAAAATGTATAAAACCAAGATGTGCTCTGACCAACTTGGGCACACGTTGTCAGGACTTCCTGAGGCTGTGTCTTGGGGCCTCATTGTCAACCTTGCCAAAATAAACTTTCTAAATTAACTCAGATCTGTCTCATATTTCCAGGGTTCACATTTTGGTAACCATAGAGGGATTCTGAGTGGAGGTGCCCCTGACCTTTGACAAATCCGTCTGTGCTTGGTACCAGTATGAGCTAACTTTACAGTTCAAACCAATAGGACAATTTGCTGAGGTCTGACAGCACCCACTCCAGAGAATCCCTGATCTCCCATAGGTGATGCTGATGTGATTGGCTGAGGTCATGACTGTCAGGTTTCTCCATCATAAAATAACTTCTTCCTCCACGTTGTCCACTGTGTTATTTGGAAATAAATCTCGAAGCACAGCCCACACTCACGGATGGAGAGGAGCCTGGATTTTCACACAAGATGTGTATTCTTAGTCATTACACAATCACAAAACTGGGAATCACTAAATGATAGGATAAACAAATTGCATTCCAATCCTGTCTTCCCATCCACTTTTAGATGTTTTATTTTTGTGCTTTGGAGAACCTCACTCCTTTAAGGAAAACTTTTGGTCCAGGGGTGAAACACACAGGTCAACAGAACAAAGGTTCTAGTACGAGGCTATGAATAGAAATACCAATGGATATTGCTGCTAGGTGTTCACAGTAGGTCTGGCTGAGGGGGTGACCTTTCCACTGAATCTTGTTGAATAAGTAAGAGTTATCCAGCATAAAGGGAAATTATTGCCAACGAAGAAACTACCCATCCTGGCCAGGCCTAGTGGCTCACTCCTGTAATGCCAGCACTTTGGGAGGCCAAGGCTGGCACATCAGCAGAGTTCAAGAGTTCAAGAACAGCCTGACCAACATGGAGAAACCCCATATATACTAAAAATACAAAGTTAGCTGGGCGTGCGGGTGCATGCCTGTAATCCCAACTACTCATGAGGCTGAGGCAGGTGAATCACTTGAACCTGGGAAACAGAGGTTGCAGTGGGCCAAGATCTCGTCATTGCACTCCAGCCTGGGCAACACAAGTGAAACTGCTTCTCGAAAAAAGAAAGAAAGGAAGAAAGAAAGAAAGAAAGAAAGAAAGAAAGAAAGAAAGAAAGAAAGAAAGAAAGAAAGAAAGAAAGGGAGAAAGAAAGAAAGAAAGGAAGAGAAAGAAAGAAAGAAAGAAAGAAAGAAAGAAAGAAAGAAAGAAAGAAAGAAAGGAAGAGGGAGGGAAGAAGAAAAGAAAGAAGGAAGGAAGGAAGGAGGGAAAAGAAGGAAAGAAAAGAAAGAAATCACCCATGGTAAGAGCTGAAGATGTGATTAGAAAACTAAGTCCACTATTCTTGGAGCCCAGAGTGCTACATGTGATGCACAAAGTGACAAAGTGACAGACCTGAAAATATACTCACAAAGCACACCACAAAGCACTTTGGAGTTCAAGACTCAAGACTTGAACAGAAACCTCTAGCAGCTAGTGGGGTTTGAAAGTTGACATTGGATCTTTAATTTCTAGTGCAGAACATCAATATATCAGAGTACCAACTCAGTTGGTTTCTAAAGTCATGGTTTACTCAACTGTAAACATCTACAGTCCAGACCCTTGCCAAGGGATACAGTCTTTTATTTTCATTTGATATGATTTTTTAGAGACAGGGTCTCAGTCTGTTGTCCAGGCTGGAGTGCAGTGGTGCTACCATAGTTCACTGCAACCTTGAAATCCAGAGCTCAAGATATCCTCCTGCCTCAGCCTCCTGAATAGCTGAGAATACAGGTGCATGCCACCACACCAAGCTTTCTTTTAATTTTTTTGTAGAGACAAGGTCTTGGTAAGTTGCATGAGCTGGTCGTGACCTACTGGCCTCAAGAAATCCTCCCACCTCAGTCTCCCAGTGCACTGAAATTACAGATATAAGCCACTGCACCCAGCCCAGAGGATATGTCTTAAGCTATGAGCTGAGTCTTACCAATATCTCAGTGTATTAAAAACGTGGAAAACCAACTAAAATAATGGGATACCTGTTGTCACTCATCACATTGGCAAAGACTAACACATTTAAAATACCCTTGAAAATATTGCCCTTCATTGTTCTTGTTCAACATTCAAAATGCATATGCCCTTTGAAATAGTAATGTCATTTTCATAGTATAACCTGCAAAACAAGCTACAGCTTCACTAAACCAAATGTACAAAGAGTCCCGTACAATTATATTTCACAGTGTTTTTGTTTGTCTCTGGTAGGAGAAGCTGGAAACAAAGTTAATGTCCACCTAAAGAAAGGAAAGGAAAGGAAGGGGGAGCAGGGAGAGGAGGGGAGGGGAAGGGAGAAGAAGAGAGGCTAGAGGAGGGGAGGGAAAAGAGGAAGGGAGGGTAGGGAAGGGGATGGGGATGGGGAGGGGGAGTAGGAGGAAAGGAAAGACTAAAGCACCAGGTATTTTATACTGAGTTCCTGTACATTTGGGACAGGAGGGGAGGGGAGCGGAAGGAAGGGGAGGGGAGGGGAAGGAAGAGGAGGGGAGGGAAGGAGGGGAGGAGGGGACGGAAACACTAAACCCCTGATAGTTCATACTAAGTTCCTATATATTTCAGTGTGATGATAATTTAAAATGACAATAGATATTCTTAAGTAAAGAAGTTACAAAACAACAAATGTAAACAGGTCCCATTTGTGCTCCATCATATTTCACATATAAATACTTATATGTAAAACCAAGAATATTTATGAAGAGATGCACAACTTATTGTTAAAAATTATTTCTGGAGAGAAGGATGGGAACAGTTGGATCCACTTATATTCTTTTATTTAAAAATCTCTTTCTCAAAAGTTCAGTTTCTGATAGTAATTTTAGTAGAAAATTGTATAAGGCTATTCCAGGCATATCTCCGTCCCAGTGTTTTGCTTCACTAGATCAAAGGCACCTTTCAGAAGGCTGTCAGCTTAAACACCACTATTCCAGGCTCTCAAAGATAGATTTGCCTTCTGTACTTTGCATTTTCATGTCCTGGGGTTGGCTCACTGAGGAGGCTTCATGAATGTGTAGTTTTAGGACTATTTTCCTTTATCAACCACAGGAAAGCCACTGTTTTCCCTGATAAACTTGTGTGGGCTTATATGTGCGTACTCTCATACAGACGCACAAACACACACACATTCTTTTAAAATGTAAAATCTTACCAAAAGCTTTTGAAAAAAAATCTCCTTAATTTATATTTTCTTTTTAGCATAAAAAATTAGAGACCCACATTAGGTAAGTGAAAGAAAGAGAGAGAATGAGAGAGGGAGGAAGAAAGGAAGGAGAGAGGAAAGGACAGAGGGAGGGAGGGATGGAGGGAGGAAGGAAGGAAGGAGGGAAGGAAATGAAGGGAAGGAGGGAACAAGGAAGGGAGGGAAGGAGAACGGGAAGAAGGGAAGGGAGAAAAGGGAGGGAGGACAGGAACAAGGAGGACAGGAAGGGAGAAAGGGAAGAAAGGAGGAAGAGATGAAGGGAAGAAGAAAGAAAAGGAGGAAATGAGGGAGGGAGGAAGAAAGGCAGAGAGTGAGGAAGGGAAGAAAAAGGAAGAAAAGAAGGGAGGAAGGGAGGAAGGAAGAAAGGGAGGAGGGGAGAGAGGAAGGGAGAGAGGGAGGTAGGGAAATGGAAAGAAGGTGCAAAAGAGGGAGGGAGGGAGGGAAATGAAAAGATGCAAGAGAGGGAGAGAGGCAAGGAAATGAAAACAAGGTGCAAGAGACATAGGGAAGAAGCGAGGGAAGGAAATGAAAAGAAGGTACAAGAGAGAGGGAGGGAAGGAAGGAGAATAAATAGTGTGCAAGGGAGAGAGGAAGGAAGGAAAGAAGGAATGAAGGAAGGAAAGAAGGAAAGAAGGAAGAAAGCAAATCAGGCAGGGAGGGAGGCAGGGAGGAAGGGGAAAGAAGTTGGAAGAGAGAGAGGGGGAGGGAGGGAAATGAAAACAAGGTGTAAGAGAGAGGGAGGGAGGGAAATGAAAAGAAGGTGCAAGAGAGAGAGGGAGGGAAATGGAAAGCAGGTGCAAGAGAGAGAGAGAGAAAGGGAGGGAGAAGAAATATTGTGCAAGGGAGAGAGAAATGAAGGAAGGGAGGAAGGAAAGAAGGAAGGAAGGAGGGAGGGAAGGAAACAAGGAAGGGAGGGAGGGAAAAAGAAGGTTCAAGAAAGAGAAAGGGAAGGAAGGAGAAGAAAAAATGTGCAAGGGAGAGAAGAAGGAAGGAAGAGGGAAAGAAGGAAGGGAGAGAGGGAGGGACGGGGGAGGGAGGGGAGAAGATGGTGTGAGAGAGAGAGAGGGAGAGAGGAAAATGAAAAGAAGATGCAAGACAGAGAGAGAAGGAGGGAAGGAAATGAAAAGAAGGTGCAAGAGAGAGAGGGAGAGAGGGAGGAAAGGAGAGAGGGAGGGAAATGAAAATAACGTCCAAGAGAGACAAGGAGCAAGAGAAGGAGAAGAAATAATGTGCAAGGAGCGAAGGAAGGAAGGAAGGAAGGAAGGAAGGAAGGAAGGAAGGAAGGAAGGAAGGAAAGAGGGAGGGATGGAGGGAGGGGAAAAGAAGGTGCTAGAGAGAGAGAGAGGGAGGGAGGGAAATGAAGAGAAGGTGCGAGAGAGAGGGAAGGAGGGAAATGAAAAGAAAGTGCAAGAGAGAGAGAGGGAGGGAGGGAAATTAAAAGAAGGTGAGAGAGAGGGAGGGAGGAAAATGAAAAGAAGGTGCAAGAGGGAGAGGGAGGGAGGGAAATGAAAATAAGGTGTGAGAGAGAGGGAGGGAGAGAAGGAGAAGAAATAATATGCAAGGGAGAGGGGAAGGAAGGAAGGAGGGAAGGAAGGAAGGAAAGAAGGAAGGAAGGAAAGAAGGAAGGAAGAAGGAAGGAAGGGAAGAGGGAGGGAGGGAGGGAAGGAAGGAAGAAGGAAAGAAGGAAGGGAGGAGGGAGGGAGGGAGGGAAGGAAGGAAGGAATGGAGGGAGGGAGGGAGGAAAGAAGAAGGAAGGTAGGAAGGAAAGGAAGGAAGGAAGGGAAGGAGGGAGGGATGGAGGGAGGGGAAAAGAAGGTGTGTGTGTGAGAGAGAGAGAGAAAGAGGGAGGGAAATGAAAAGAAGGTGAGAGAGAGAGGGAGGGAGGAAAATGAAAAAAAGATGCAAGAGACAGAGGGACGGAGGGAGAGAAAACAAAAGAAAGTGTAAGAGAGAAAGGGATAGAGAGAAGGAGAAGAAATAATGTGCAAGGGAGAGAGGAAGGCAGGAAAGAAGGAAGGAAGGATGGAAAGAAGGGAGGGAGGGAGGAAGGAAAGAAGGAAGGAAGGAAGGAAGGTAGGAAGGAAGGAAGGAAGGGAAGGAGGAAGGGATGGAGGGAGGGGAGAAGAAGGTGTGTGAGAGAGAGAGGGAGGGAGGAAAATGAAAAAAAGTTGCAAGAGAGAGAGGGAGGGAGGGAAAAGAAAAGAAAGTGTAAGAGAGAAAGGGAGAGAGAGAAGGAGAAGAAATAATGTGCAAGGGAGAGAGGAAGGAAGGAAGCAAGGAAGGGAGGGAGGGAGGGGGAAAGAGAGTTCAAAAGAGAGAGAGGGAGAGAGGGAAATGAAAAGAAGGTGAAAGAAAGAGAGGGAGGGAGGGAGGGATGAAAATGAAAATGAAAATAATGTGCAAGAGAGAGAGGAAGGAATGGAGGAAGGAAGGAAGGGAGGAAGGAAGGAAGATGGAAGGAAGGAAGGAAGAGACAGAGGGAAAAACAAAGGTGCAAGAGAGAGATGGAGGGAGGGAGAAGGAATAATATGCAAGGGAGAGAGGAAAGAAGAAAGAAAGGAAGGAAGGAAGGAAGGAGGGAAGAGAGGAAGGGAGGGAGGGAGGGAAAAAATGAACAGAAGGTGCAAGGGAGATGAAAGAAGGAAGGAAGGGAAAAGAAAGGGAGGAATGAAGAAAAAGAAAAGGAGAGGAGAGGAATAAGTGAAAGAGTAACTTGGAAATAATATGTTTGAGTCTATAACTGAATAAATGAATTAATAAAGTTTTATGTTTTTTCATAGCTCTGATACATTTCTTCCACTTCATTTTCATATATTTTTGTAAAACCATTTTTATAAAATCTGAGTACAATTTTTCTTTTCTGCACTGTAGGTTGATTTTAAACATTCAATGTGGTCCACAGCCAAGAAATATAGCTAATGTCAGCTGTCCATGTGAGCCATAAATAAATATTTCAAAGGAACAATGGTACATTCAGGAATGTATATCAAATTGCGTGCCCAAAAGTGGCATGTGGAGCCAACACCACGTAAAAGACTGCAGGGTGATGAGGAGCATCGATTGAGCCATTGCACTTTTGCTGACTCCAGCCTTTGCATGGAGCTCCTCCGCTTACATATGGAGCCTTGACTTCTACAGGAAAAGAGACAGGAATGCTGCGTATAGTGGGGGTGGACACCATGTGACAGGATTAAGTAGGGTTTTTAAGGATGGCATGGGGAAAAGGTGCAAGACTTGAGGCAGAGGAGGGAGCCAGCCAGGCTGCTTGGAAGAGGCGTGCTTCTGTCCCGGTGAAGACCAGACTAGAGCAGCCAGTCCGGGGGGCTCCGACTCCCTCCAGGAATGGGGAGGAGGATCTAGGGACATCAGCAGGAAGAAATAAAGTCACAGAGGTGAAGTAGAGGTGGAGGAGGCCTGATGGGACAGCACCTCAGAACTTCCTGGGGAGTCTGGCCTTGACTCTAGAGTAATGGTAGCCACTGCAGTGATTTGAGCTGAGGGGCTAAGATCACCAGATGACCTAGAGTCCGTGGTCAAAGGCTCCCTTCAGCTGTGTGCTGAGGATATTTGGTTTGGGGAGGCAACTGCAGGAATCCAGAGAGAGATGGTCCATTGCAACACAGACCAGAAGTGTAAATGAGAAGTTGGGCTGCAGATCTAATTTGAACACAGTGAGATTTAGAAAGTTGAGAAATTGGACCAAATTTGTGATGGGAATTGGGTTCCACAGTTTAAATTCAGATCTTGGAGTCTCACTATGTTGCCTAGGCTGCAGTGCAGTGACAGGATGTCACTGTAGCCTCCTCCTCCTGGATTCAAGTGAATCTCTTGCCTCAGCCTCCAGTGTAACTGGGATTACAGGTGCCTGCCCCCATGCCCAGCTAATATTTGAATTTTTACTAGAGACAGGGTTTCATCGTATTGATCAATCTGGTCTCCAACTCCTGATCTCAAATTGTCTGCCCACCTCAGCCTCCCAAAGTGCTGGCAAGAAATATTATAAGAAAATTAGAGGGAGAGAAGCTAGTGCTTGGGATAGGGAGTTGCAATTTTAGATAAAGTAGTGATGGAAGACTGCTCAGAGAAGGCGATGTTTGAGCAAAGACCTCAAGGAGGGAGGAGAGAGGATTGTTTGTTTCTAGAACGTGCTAATAGCAGGGGACAGCTAGAGTGACCAGCCAGTGTTAGGACACTGAGGGAGGGGCATGCCTGGATTGCCCTAGGAGTCCAGAGTGGCCATGGATGAGTGAGGGATGGAGAGTAGCAGGAGGTGGGGCCACAGAGGTAATGGCAGGGACAAATCTTTGCATGTTACTGCAAGGTTCTCAGATTTTAGGATGCAGGAGAGAAGTATCATAGGATATTGAGAAGTATCCCTGGTGTTTGTCCAATAAATGTCAGCAGCACCACCCACCCTGTTTCCTGCTTCCAGGTTGGGACATTGACACAACGTTGTCTCCTATTTTTAAAGGGTTACTCCATTAGCGGGATTTGAATAACCTTGAGGGCTTTGCACTGTCGATGCAAGCACTGAAGCAAAAAACACAAATATCATTACTATTCTCCTGAAAGACCCAATGGTAGGATTTTCTATAAGGTCATGATGAGATTAATGAGAAGAGGTCATATTCTGGATATGTTTTTAAATTTCAACAGACAGGACTTAATGAACTGGATATGAAAAAAGGAGTAAATGAAGATGCCTTCATGGCAACCTAGAAAATCTTGGACAATGCTAGCAGATGCAGGTGCAGGCAGTGCTTGATGCATGTCTTGGCTTCTGGTATCCCAAGAGGTGTGGTTGGTCCCCCAGTCCACATCATCTACTTTAGTCCATGTACAAGAATTCTTAGACACTCAGAAACACACACAGTTTCTAGAACTAAGGACAATTCTACGGTTTACAAAACCATCATGGATGATGGGCAACAATGTAATGGAATCTGTTGGTGCCATGCATGTCGATTTCCAAGAAGTGTTATGAAGCTTTATTGGAACTCTGGTCATTGTTGTCTTCTTTTCTAGATGAGTAGCTCCCAACTCTGTCTGTACCCCAAAACCACCTGGGGAGGTTTAAAGAATCCTGTACCCCAGCTGTATCCCACACCAATGACTTCTAAGTCTCCAAGCATGGAATCCAGGCATATATATTTTTGGAAGTTACCCTTAGATTTTTTCCTAAATGTTTTGAGCAACTGTCCATTTTCTCTTCATCTTTATCCCCTAAACTAGTGATACTCTACAGGGATTATTCTTTCCCTAGGGATATTTGGCCATGTCTGGAGACATTTTGGGTTGCAATAACCCAGTTAGCATCTGTTGGGTAGAGACCAGGGATGTTACTCAGTACCCAACAATGCACAGCACAGCCCCTACCACAGAGAATGACTTCACCCTCAAATGTCAAAGTTGAGAAAACCTACCCCAAACCCTCAAATGTCAAAGTTGAGAATGAGAAAACCTGCCTCAAACCCAAGGAATTTGATTATTACATTGATGGGTTCATTAATCATTGCCAGACATTTTTAAATGTCTTTCCTCTTTTTTTGGTACTTTTGAGTTTAATTGACAAATTGAAGTCCACATGGGAAGAAAACAAGGAAATAGAGGAAGAGAGAGATAGAGTACAAACACCTGTGTTAAGTCACCATTTCCTGCAGCCTTGAGTGCCGTTAGTAGCTAGTGAGGGGGACAATTAGCAGTTTTTGAAAGTGATGAGAACAACTATTTGCATGTGCTTTTCCTTCCTGAATTGTGTTTGTGAAAGCCAAGTTAATCATCTGATAGAGTCACATTCACATGCCAGGTGTTGAGGTTGAACACCAATGTCTGTTTCCTCAAGGTTTTGAAAATGGTGCACAGAAGGGCCTGCTTTTTGCTGAAATCATGCACATGGATAGTGGGAACACTTGCATTCTTAACAATCACCTGGTATGACTTAGGAAGTGGCAGCAACCTGGGAGCAATCTAGGATGATGTCCTGATAGGGGTTTGCTTTCCTGAGTAGCCACTGCCCAAGTTTGCTTCTCTGTTTGTGGGAACTTATTTTTCAGGCTGACTTAAATAGTTACCAATTTGGAGTAATATTGCTCCTCTTCAGGGATATTTAGCCATGTCTGGGGACATTTTTCATTGTCAAAACTGGAAGTGGCAGAGTGGGAGTGGTGCTGCTGGCATTTGTTGGGAACAAGTGAGGGATGCCACTTAAGATACCACAAAGCAGAGGATTGCCCTCCACAATAATGTTCCAGCCCCCGATGACAATATTGTCAAGGCTGAGAGGACCCAGATAGTGAAAAGTAGGATAAAGAAAAAATGAATAAACATGAATAATCACTACCATGTGATTTAGATAGAGGCATCAATATTCCTTCTCTTCCTCTCCAATATTTCCTCCTTCTTCTGTTGATTTTCAAGGGAGTTTTATTGTGAAAGTTTGATCCTGTCTTCAAGTTCCAAGAGGGATGGAACCTGAGCTAAAATTTAATGCCTGGCCATTCTTGGAGTAATATTTTAGTTTCTAGAACTTGGGAATACCAGTGCCCAGCTGATGCTGTTCTCATTTATGTATTAGCCTACTAAGATTTTGTGAACGGTTACAGTAAAAACAATGGTCAACTTTTATTCATCCCAGAAAGTCTCTGTCATGTTTGATCATAGACACCTTTAGCAGAGTAATTTCTACTATTCCTTATTCTATTAGGGTGATCAACTCATCCTGGTTTGCCCAATACTATCATAATTTCAGGAGTGAAAGTCCTATACTCTGGCAATTTTCTGTATTGCAGGGTGGCTAGTCACCCTACATTCCATGGAATTGATTTTCCAAGTAAAAATTTTTGTGAAATGCAGCACTAGTGTTTAATATTTTATTTATTATTTTGTATTTTATTTGGTATTTGGTATTTTTCCAAAGGATAACTTGGTAATTAGCATTCTCCCATTGGGAAAATAATTGATTAAAAATCTCATCATAGAATAGACATTTCTTTGTACACATGGTTGGACCTTCAACTAGGGAGAGAAAAGATTATATTTTTAACAATTAAGGATACCTATTTTAGAGAGTTGTTTCTAAATTATTCCAGCCTTTTCATTTCAATATTAAATGTATTTTTATCAGCTTTTGTAAAGGTTATGGACCACTGGAGATGTCCCTAAGAGTCAGATTTTTGATAATTTAAATAATCTCTTTTGCCTACCTGTTAGTATTGTAATCATTTTTTTCCTTTTCCAACATGAGGTCATAAGTTAAATTTAAATAATAGCCCTATTAATAACTGGAACCCACTGGTGAGATCTCTGAGAAGGCCTATAGCCCACATGTTGACCCCAAGTGAGTGCATTCATTGAAATGTCATGACGGTAATACCAAGAGGGCTGATCACAATCCACCCTCTGTGCCCCTCATCCCACACTTTCACATCTTATCAATGAGTTCTAACACAATAAACTTACATGCACTTGATAGAAGAATTGCCATTTTAATTTAAAAACTCAGCAGAAACTGAAGTTGTTTGTATCTCCAAATCTCAGTTTTCCTCTGTAGCTCAAAGCCAGTGGAAAGCTGACAAAATCCAACACAATATATGAGAATTATCCATGTGACATCAAATATGTTATGTTACATTCCCAAAGTGGATTCACACATGCACATATATGGCAATAGTAAATGAATGTGTGTAGAGGAAGTCAATAGGAATTCAATATATATGTTTGTATTTGAATTTAATCAAAATCAATATGTCTATGTACACAAATACACACATTTATACAGATAGACATACATAGACACACATGAATGTAGATAGATTTTATACACACACACACACACACACACAGAGGGATACATAGAGATAGATGATAGATGATTAGCTAGATAGGTAAAGATAGATATAGACATATGTAGAGATACGTAGGTATAGTTAAGTACGTAGGTAGGTAGATAAGTTGATTGATTGATTTCATGATGCATCCTGGAAAGTTATATGCAAGTAAGTTCCTAATATCAACTCATTTTTATGCCATTTTTTTCCTCAAAGTAGAATGCTGCATGCTTACAGAAATATTTCTTTTTATTTGTTTTAATTAATTAACTAATTAATTAATTTATTTATTTCCAAGACCAAGTCTCACTCTGTCACCCAGGCTGGAGTGAAGTGGTGCAATCTCCAGTCACTACAACCTCTGCATCCCAGGTTCAAGCTATTCTCATGCCTCAGTGCTCCCAATACATGGGATTTCAGGCATGTGCCACCATGCCTGGATAATTTTTGAATTTTTAGTAGAGACAGGGTTTTACCATGTTGGCCAGGCTGCTCTAGAACTCCTGACCTCAGGTGATCCACCCACCTCAGCCTCCCAAAGTGCTGGGATTACAAGTGTGAGCCACTGTGCCCAGCCTTCTCTCTTTTTTTAATGTGTATGTTTGGAGGATTCTGGATAAATAACAGGGAAGTGATATAAATGTATGTACGGAATTAACTCGCAAAACCCCTTTCTTGAATCAGACATTAAGTGGGTTAATTTAGGCCAGGATAGGCAAGCACAGCCCACAGGCCAAATCTGGCCCACTGCCTGCTTTTATAAATAAAGATTTATTGGAATGCAGTCACATGCATTTATTCAGATATTGCTTGTGGCTGCTTTTGTTATACAATGGCAGAATTGCCTATTTATGGCAGAGACTGTGTGGTTCACAAAGCCAAAATATTTACTATCTGGCCCTTTGTAAAAAGTCTTTGGGCTGGGTAAGGCGGCTTATGCTTGTAACCCCAGCACTTCGGGAAGCTGAAAACAGATGCTCACTTGAGGCTAGGAGTACTGGACAGCCTGGCAAACATATTTTGGAAAGACCATCTCTCTACCAAAATAGAAAAATGAGCCAAGCAGATGTGGTGGAGCATGCTCATGTAGTCCCATCTACTCGGGAGGCTGAGGTGGGAGGATTGCTTAAGACCAGGAGTTCGAGGCTGCAGTGAGCCACCACTGCACTCCAGCCTGAGTGACAGAGCCAGACAATGTCTCAAAATAAACAAATAAATTAAAAAAAAATTGCCTATCCTTAACTCAGATTAAAGGGAACCAAGTTCAGTTATTTTTAAGAATGCGTGGTTTGGGAAAACTAAAATACATAGATTCCACTCAGTTTACAAAGTCACACATATTCAAATATAGTGTTTTCAAAAATTAGGAAAATAAAAAGCCCTCTTAAATCCTGGACTTTTTTGGTTTGAAAAATGGGAACCACCCATGTTGATCTTGCCTGATACCCCTTCAAGATGCTTTCAGTCAGGGAAACTGGATGAAGAACACATGAGGGCTTCCTGCACATTATGCTGCAACTTCTTATAAATCTCTGCTTTAAAACAGAAAAAGGTTTTTTTGTTGTTGTTCGTTTCTTTGTTTTTAAAGATGAGCTCAAGTCTGCTTTGCTCCTTCTTATTGCAGTGACTGTCTCTATCATTATTGCATGGTTCCTATAAGACATGGTTGTCTGAGGGCACCCACTAGCCAGTCAACAAATTTCATCACAAATAAAATTCCAAATTTTCTTTTGGATACAACACAAGCCGCTGTGGCTTCCATTGCTACAGGCTAACATTGACTTAGTGTTTCCCATTTACCAAGATTGTACCAGCTAATGTAAAGGGTTTGTGGTGGTGGATTCTTCCACATTTTACCCTCCAAAGATCTCAATGAGGACTTGCACAATTACTAATACATACAGCCTGGTTTTATCTTCACTTCCAGGTTTTCCCTTGCTTTTGTGTTTCACATCTCATTTCCTTTGTGTCCACATGTTGGATTTATGTCTGAAGCCATATTCAATGGACATGGGGACATGAGAGCATGCAAGTTAATCAACAGGTCAGCATCAGTATGAGCAATGGTTTGCAGTTGTAACAGGAAGCCCAGGAGTCCAGATTTCCAAGTCTATGGATATTAGCTCCACCACACATTTGCCATGTGACTTAAATCATCCAAACACAAACCACATTTCTCTAGGGGTGCTATCACTGGGAGCCAGCAAAGCTCGAAAATCCCAATTTGATATTTTCCATAAAGGGAAGTCATGATAAGGGGAAGTAAAATGATCTGGACCCTTGAATTCATAATTCCCATCTTATTTTGTGGGGTAATTTACAATAACCACATCTGTGTAGTAACGGGAAGGACCACAGTCTCAGGTTTCTGGTCACACCTCCAGCAATTGAATGGCTTGAGGGAAATGAAATCTAGACTTGGTGTCAGATATTTGTCTACCATGCCTTTTGGCAGAATTAATAACCCACAAGCTTTGGAGGATGACAATTTTTTCAATTATACAAACTGCTGTGCCCCTTAAAATATTCCTAAAAATTGTTTTCTACTTCATATCATTTCTGAAAAAGGAAATTGGCAAGATAGAGCAAGAATGCTAAAAAATGTTGGATGAGGCCAGGGGTGGTGGCTCATGCCTGTAACCCTAGCACTTTGAGAGGCCGAAGTGGGTGGATCACAAAGTCAAGTGATTGAGACCATCCTGGCCAACATGGTGAAAGACCATCTGTACTCAAAATACAAAAATTAGCTGAGAGTGGTGGTGCACACCTGTAGTCCCAGTTACACAGGAGGCTGAGGCAGGAGAATTGCTTGAACCCAGGAGGCAGAGGTTGCAGTGGGCTGAGATCGCACCACTGCACTCCAGCCTGGGTGACAGAGCAAGACCCCGTCCCCCCAAAAAAAAAAAAAAAAAAAAAATCGAATGCTTTACAGGTAATTCTGTTTCCGAGTTTTTATGCCTAGGGATAGAATCTCCAATGTGCAAAATTATTTGTGCACAAAAATCTACATAATTGAACAATATATAACAGCATAAAACTGGACCCAACAGATTCAAAGGTAGAAGTGTTTTGGTTACAGCAGAATGTATGATGAAACCTTGTGCAACTGTTTAAAATGATGATAAAAAGTGTATATATTACCCTGGTAAAACAAAAACATTTCTTATAATTCTGATAAACATTGAGTCTGTATCTTAGATCAGGCACTGTAATGGATTATCTCATTTAAATATTTATTATAGCCCTAATATCCTATTACAGCCGTTGTATTACACCCAAGAAAACTTAGGCAGAGAAGGGATAAGAATCCTATGTGAGGTCTCACAAGTATTTCCTGGGAGACGGAAGTCATAACTGACCCTAACAACTATATGATGACCCTCCAGTTAAGAGTACTTCTTCAGGCAATATGCACAATGCAAGAGTATCTTTTCAGGACATAAGCACGATGCAAAATTATTCATACTATTATCAATGGTGCAATATCTTAAAACCTAGATAGGTGGAAGCAACAATAAAAAAAAAAGCTCAATAGAAAAATATTAAACTAAATAATAATAATAACAAAACAAATAGACTATATCATCAGTGAGTTAGTTTGGCCAAAAGAATCCAGAAAATAAAAACCAGTTTCTGCCACCAATCAGCAGCACTTCTGTAATATCCCTTGGCATGTATATTTTTACATCCCCTTCTCTGCTTTTGGTCTATTTACATAATACATCTCAAAAAATTGCAGCATGATGGCAATATCAAAGACTTCATCAATACTCTGTAAAGAGGGTGGAGTTAAATTGGGCCATAAATGCAAATATGATTGCACTCGGGTGAAATTAAAACTCTACTATGCAGCTGAACCCTAAATGAATTCTCTCTGGCATTGATATTTTAATTTCTTCTCACTGCTGATGATAGATTTCCATGAATAAACAAACTTCCTTTCCTCATATATGGGGTCTTCTGTCTGCAAGATTCATGCAGGAACCTATTATTCCATTTCATGATAGTCCTATTCCAGTACTTTCTTTCTTTTTTCTTTTTTCTTTCTTTCTTTTTTTTTTCTTTTCTTTTTTTTTTGAAGCAGTCTAGCTCTTGTCGCTAGGCTGGAGTGTAGTGGCATGATCTTGGCTCACTGCAACCTCTGCCTCCCAGATTCAAGCGATTCTCCTGCCTCAGCCTCCTGAGTAGCTGGGATTACAGGCATCCACCAAAACACCCAGCTAATTTTTGTATTTTTAGTAGAGATAAAGTTTCACCATGTTGGTCAGGCTGGTCTTGAACTCCTGATCTCGTGATCCATGTTGGCCTCCCAAAGTGCTGGGATTAGAGGCGTGAGCCACCACACCCAGCCCCAGTACTTTCTTTGAGTTAAGTTGTTTAGTACTATTAGTCACTGCACTGTGACCATTGCTCCCAGTGGGAATGAATCAAGGCACTAAGAGAAAGCTTGGAGTAAATAACAAAGAACACACCATAGAAAGTCATTACTATGCACATTTCTAGACCAGTACTACCTCTAAATGAAAATTGGATACTGGATCCTCTTTTCTGAAAGTGGGCCAGTGGGATTTTATCTAAATAAGTTATGCAACAGTATCCTGGATGCCACTTGCTGTTTGTTTGTTGTTTGTTTCTGTAGAGAGATAGGGTCTTGCTCTGTTTCCCAGGCTGGAGTGCAGTGGCAGAATCATACCTCGCCACAGCCTGGAATTCCTAAGCAATAGCAACCTTCCTACCTCAGCTTCCTGAGTAGCTGGAACTACAAGCATGTGCCACCATGCCTCGCTAATTTTATTAATTTTTTTTAGAGATGGGATCTTGCTATGTTCGTCAGGCTGTTCATAAGCTCCTGGGCTCAAGCAATCCTCCTGCTCTGGCCTCCTAAAGCTCTGGAATTACAGGCATGAGTCACTGCCCCGGTACCAATGTCCTCTTTAATTGACCCAATCTTGACTCCTCAGAACTTTTCCATAGAGAGGAGCAAGATCCATTCATAACAAAGCCCCCTCTGTGGCTGTGGCTTAGGAATTTAAACAGCCAACAGGATAGAGAACTTCTTGAAATTTCAGGAGTGTTGACATTTTTAAATTGGAAGAACACGTAGCAGGTTGATTCCATGTCTTTGCTATTGTGAACAGTGCTGCAATGAACATACACATACATATATCTTGGTAATTGAATGATTTTTAAACCTTTGAGTATATACTCAGTGATGGGATTGCTAGATCATATGGTATTCTTGGTTCTAGATCTTTGAGGAATTGCCAAACTGTGTTTTCACAATGGTTAAACTAATTTACATTCCCACAAACAGTGTAAAAATGTTTCTAGTTTTCCATAACCTCTCCAATATCTATTGTTTCTTGACTTTTTAATAATCTCCATTCTGACTGGTGTGATTGGTCATTATTAAGGAGAGTCCCCTAGTCAATACATACTGTTATAAAGGTATGAGTGAATAAATACATGAATTAATGAAACCCAAAAGAGTTTATTATGTTTCCCTTCTGGTTTCAGTACATGGGCAGTGTCCGTGCTTGAGTTTGTCGTAATTTCATGAGCTGGGAAGTGCACAAGCCATATTGCTTTCAACGTTATTCCCAAAAGGTACAATGTCATCCTCTGACTTATCTTGACCTTTTCAGGTACATGCATATGCATGAGACCCTTGTCAATGTTCAATATTCTTTCAATTTGGATAGACATTCCTACATTGCTGCTTAATTAACTATACTTATCATTTTGTTATAGAGAATTTTCTTATAAATTATCTTACAGAGAATTTTCCAATAAATTATCTTATAGAGAATTTTCCAATTAGTAATGAGTATAATTATGGAATAATTTTAGGGCATCATAATAGTAAAAATTCTAAGCAGTCTCTGACTCATTATTGAAATTCAAAATCTCAAAGCACCATATACCAAGTGATGTATTGTACATAATGACTTTCTTATTCAATTTTTCTAATCTATTTTTTATCCCCTAGGCTTTTTTCTCAGTAATTGTCCAGAGCTTTTAATAAAAGAATACTAGTTATTGAATCTTCATGCATCTTTATTTTCAGATTCACATCTTGAAGTCTGCATAACTAGCAGCAGAGAACGTAAGAGAAAAATGTATGTGAATATGGTCTATGAAAATTATTCTAAGTTCTTACATGTCCTTCAGTTCATCCCACCAAAAAAGAAGACAAAAACCTTGGAAGGGATAAATAAATCTCCTCTCTTTTGTATAAGCACAGACTGTCTTTCCATATCAGGATTTGTTTATTTAATACCTGGGGATCCCATCAGTAATAGGATACAGACATACATAAACCCTATCATCTTCTTTGCAGAATCAAGATGCCATTCATGGGTCATGACCTTGTAGAAACTGTGCAAATGTGTGTTGAATCAGAAAGTCCAAATGACCACACCTGTACCAGGTCTATGTTTAGCTGTCTCTGAAATACAGAGCTGTCAGGCCATGAATCTTAGTAATTATTAGAGTTTCTGCAGGTTTCTTTTATGTTCAACCATAAATATTCGATACAAAATTCTTATTAAAGAACTATGGTCACACCATTGTTGCTGAAATCATTCCTTCCATCAAACCCAAGATCCAATGTTCTTATTTCCCAAATATGGTGCAGGCAGCATTGTGGTAAACACCACTGAATAGACTTGTTGTTCAGTATGTCTCAAAGACCTGAATTGGCTGTTCAGCCAAAGCTTAAATAAATACAACAATTAAGGAGGAGAGGATGCTGTTTGAACAACTCAGGTTCTGTCTAACACTTTCTACTCCTTTGAAGACAAAAGTACAATCCCTTAAAAAAATAACAAACACTACTTTTTAAACCTTAACACAGGCAGAGATTATGCAAGAATATGACCTAAAAGAAGAGATTAAAGTTGCATTTAGAAGATCATTGACGAGTGATCTTGAAGATACGTATCTCTGAATAGTAGTAAATTCTGAAAGCAGAATAAGTAGGAAGTGAAAAAGTTGTGGCAGTATGTGTGGACAAATTTTGAATGTTTGTCTGGCAATGAATATGTTAAAATTGGAAGCATACTGATGGATGACATTTGGCAAGTATGCTGAGAACCATAGAGAACTAATTCATCTGCAGATGTGCCATTCTTAGAAAGGTTGGCGATAAAGAAGAGAAAGGGGATGAATGATGGGGACCATTATGTGGATGAGATAGAATTTACAGAGCAGAGTGGGAGATTCTTATCTCAGATCCTATGCACCCCAGAAATGGCAGTGAAGAAAGGATGCAGGTATAGATCATTTTGCAGGAGATGCAAAACACCAACGAAGGTTATTCCTGATAATGACTGTTTCTCTGTGCATTAGAAAGAAAGACTGTGTGCTGAAAGTGAGGGGTAAAGCAGAGGACTTGAGACAAATTGGAGAATGTGGTAAAAGCCAGCATGAGAAATGGGAGAGGGAGTTTATCAGGCAGTAGCATCAGAATTGTGCACAACACTGTTAATTTTGGTGCTCAGAGAGCAGTAAAGACATGAATTCTCACCGGTGTACGTGCCCGGTGATAGTAACAGAGGGAGTATATGGTTCAATTGATCTGGGAGTAGAAGCTGGGTGAGACCAAGCTGATTTGAAGAAAAAAGAAGAGGGAAAGGAAATGGCTGTGGTATTTAGAATGCAATTGTCTGGATAGGAGAGGACAGTAACTAAAGCACCATTTATTAAACAGAAGAAAACATAGGCAATACCATTCAGGACATAGGCATGGGCAAGGACTTCATGTCTAAAACACCAAAAGCAATGGCAACAAAAGCCAAAATTGACAAATGGGATCTAATTAAACTAAAGAGCTTCTGTACAGCAAAATAAACTACCATCAGAGTGAACAGGCAACCTACAAAATGGGAGAAAATTTTTGCAACCTACTCATCTGACAAAGGGCTAATATCCAGAATCTACAATGAACTCAAACAAATTTACAAGAGAAAAACAAACAACACCATCAAAAAGTGGGCAAAGGACATGAACAGACACTTCTGAAAAGAAGACATTTATGCAGCCATAAGACACATGAAAAAATGCTCATCATCACTGGCCATCAGAGAAATGCAAATCAAAACCACAATGAGATACCATGTCACACGAGTTAGAATGGCAAATATTAAAAAGTCAGAAACAACAGGTGCTGGAGGGGCTATGGAGAAATAGGAACACTTTTACACTGTTGGTGGGACTGTAAACCAGTTCAACCATTGTGGTAGACAATGTAGCAATTCCTCAAGGATATACAACTAGAAATACCATTTGACCCGGACATCCCATTACTGGGTATATGCTCAAAGGATTATAAATCATGCTCCTATAAAACCACATGCACATATATGTTTATTGCAGCACTATTCACAATAGCAAAGACTTGGAACCAACCCAAATGTCCATCAATGATAGACAGATTAAGAAAATGTGGCACATATACACCACGGAATACTATGAAACCATAAAAACTGATGAGTTCATGTCCATTGTAGGGACATGGATGAAGCTGGAAACCATCATTCTCAGCAAATTATCTCAAGGACAAAAAACCAAACACCACATGTTCTCACTCATAGGTGGGAATTGAACAACGAGAACACATGGACACAGGAAGGGGAACATCACACACCAGGGCCTATAGTGGGGTGGGGGAGGGGGGAGGGATAGCATTAGGAGATATACCTAATGTAAATGATGAGTTAATGGGTGCAGCACACCAACATGGCACATGTATACATATGTAACAAACCTGCACTTTGCACACATGTACCCTAGAACTTAAAGTATAAAGAAAAAAAATCTGCCCATGAACCACAGAGATGGAGTGCATTAGTTTTTTCTCCTCCCTTTCCTTCCAGCAAAGATTTTTGCACAAAGGCATGAAGTTCAATTATAAAATGACTATTGATTAATAGCAATGGAGGATGACAGAAACCTAAGAGTTGAGCATAAAATAAGTGAAGTTAAATGGAAGGTATTCGGGGAAATGAGAACACGCCAAGGGGTGGATGGTACACAATTGTTGAAAGTTCGCTCACTACTCAGCTTCTTGCATTAAGAGATGACATGGTTGGCGGGATGTGGTGGCTCATGCCTGTCATCCCAACAATTTGGGAGGTCAAGGCAGGTGGATCACCTGAGGTTAGGAGTTCAAGACAATCCTGGCAAACATGGCAAAACTCTATCTCTACTAAAGATACAAAAATTAGCTGGGTGTGGTGGCAGGTGCCTGTAATCCCAGCTACTTGGGAGGCTGAGGCAGAAGGATGCTTGAACCTGGGAGGCGGAGGTTGCAGTGAGCCGAGATCATGTCACTGCACTATACCCTGGGTGACAGAGCAAGACTGTGTCTCACGAAAAAAAAAAAAAGAGACGGCATGGTCAAGTCAACTCCCAGGGAAATATTACAGGTGTCATTTCAGAGTGTGGAGCCATTCGTATTCAAATGGCTGGATCTGTGTGATCTGCATTTCAACTATACAAAATCTCACAGACTTATAAGAATGATTATATCAGATTGAAAATGGTCTCAGCAATTGCAGCTTACTGGAGTCTTGGGCTAGCTCCCCGGACATATTCGCTTAGCGCCTAGGTATTTTGTTTTTACTACATTGATTTGTGCTTGTTTGTTGGTACCATTGGAAATGGGGCTTTGGCTGAATTTTGTGTTTGTGTGTGCACATGTGTGTGTGTGCACTCCTAAACAAAGATAGTAAACTCCTGAAGAGGCAGTTTATGTTTCCCTTACATATATGCACACTGCTTAATTATTTTCTCACTTTTCTCATTTTAACTGTTTGGTGTATGTTGCTGACTAGCTAAATTCAGGTAGATTCTGTTTTCTGTTGGAAACATTGATCCCTGGTACTTTTGTTGAAAATGGTGGGGGGTTAGCACTTCCCTCAAAGAAACCATTTCAGTAAAAATTTCAAAGAACTCATTTGGGAGCTTAATTCCAACTGTAAGTTGTGCTATCAGCTTCACAAAAAAAACTGTTTCCATCGATGGTAGTTTGGTTATTAACCCAATAACTACTTCAACCCAAAGACCTGAAGGGCATATGAAGATGATTTCTGAACACTGGGCACCATCAGGAATATCCTGGAAATTTCTAGTTCAGCAACACAATTGAAACTATGTCGTGATGGTTGCAGTTGTGACCTCAAAAAGAATTCTTTGTTTTTTATATGTTGAAAGAAAAAAGGGAAGACAAGATGCCAATTCTGGTGTTCTTCATCATTGCTATAGATGGATTCCCTTAGGTAATTTGCTTGGCAATTACCTTTGCAAACTCTCTGGTTTTCAATGAAGAAATCACAGTAGCTGGAAATGGAGGGATATTTTGGCCCTAAGTCAAGTTTTCACAATTGCCTCTTCCAGTTCTGTGTTCTATGAATTTATTTAGTAAACACCCTAGTCATCAATACTTGAGCAATGAAAAATAACAGATATTTCTTTGAGAAGAAAGAGAAGAAAATGAAGTAAAATAGCAGGTAGCCACAATCCTTTTAGGTAAGGAGAATCTCTTGGAAGAGGCCTTGAGATCATTTTTCAAGATAAAATGTGCAATCTTTCATCTCACTTTGAGATGTCAGAAATATAACACTCATTATCAACCATGCTTAGGTGAATATTTCTTTTCACTTCTCACCTCAGAAATCCATGTATTTGTACAAATGATATTATAAGTACAAAAACCACAGGCAAGATATTTTTACAACAGGAGGAATTTAGCTGAGCACTTAAGCAGAAGAATAATTGGTGTTTTTGCAGCTTCACTGGAGGTTTCAGAAGTCAGAATTATGAGGCAGCTTCTTTTTTTTGTTTTGTTTTGACACTGATTTCTACTCTTTCACCCAGGCTGGAGTGAAGTGGTATGATCTTGGCTCACTGCAACCTCCGCCCCTTAGGTTCAAGTGATTCTCCTGCCTCAGCCTCCAGGGTAGCTGGAATTACAGGCATGCATTATCACGTCTGGCTAAGTTTTATATTTTTATCAGAGATGGTTTTGCCATGTTGGCTAGGCTGATCTTGAACTCCTGACCTCAGGTGATCCACCCACTCCAGCCTCCCAAAGTTTGAGGGTTACAGGTGTGAGCCAGCATGCCTTGGCTCACCTGTGCTTCTTATAACCAACCTCTGTCCTGAATCCTCCCTGGCCACTTTTTTCTCTCTCTCCCATCAGGAGTCCCAGTGGGATAATATACATTTCATCTTATCATTTCCTAATTCCCCCTCCTTCAATCCCTGGCCAGCAGGTGGTGCTTTTTTCTTCTTTTCAAATTGTTTCCCCAAGGTACCTCCCACGTGCTACACCCAGGGACTATAAATCCTCATTCATTCTGATGGAAGCATTTAAACCCATATCACTTCAAATTATCTCTGCTTTGGCCTCCGACAGCACTTTCTTCCTGGTTTCCTGAATTTCACTGGGTTGCTTCTTCTTGGTCTTGATCCATTTAATCATTCCTCCTTTTTCTGATCAACCAGGAGGTGACATCTCCAAAACTTCTGAGTTAGTCTTTGCACATACGTAGCCAATGCCGAATTTTCATAGGACAACTCACTGCACAGATCGTATGTCCTATGGAGGAGGCTTACTTTTACCTGATGGTAGGGGCTGTGAAAAGCCACTGAAATATTCTGTGCAAAGGTGGCCTGATCCAGGGAGTCTTTTTTAAAAGCCACACTGTGTCCAGAGTGGAGGATTTACTAAAAACTGAGTAGAGACAAGATAATGCAATTCGAAGAATACTTTCCTTAATGCAATTGAAGTAAAGGTGGCAGTAATGCTGTGGCAGTGAAGAGAGCAGTTTCTAGAAGAGAGTGATGTCAGGAAGGCAAAATCAAGGAGCCCTCAATGATGATTTGGATACAATAGATGGGAAGGAGGGAAGAATCTTTTCCTGGATTCTGCCTGGATGATGAGGGTGCCATTTACTGAGATAAGGAACTGAAGGAGAATCTAGGATGAAGAGAGAGAATATATTATTAAGCAATCAAGGTAATCTAATCACATGGTTGTTACTTGTGATTAGAATACAGGGGTCATGCATTTTATTTTCTCAAGAATATATGATTATCTCTTATATATGTATATATTAACATATATAAGTGAAATTAGTTGAATATATGCCTATAGATAAAAGCATTTATATACCCAAAGTTTGTAAGTGATATGGTTTGGCTGTATCCCCACCCAAATCTCATTTTTTTTTTTCTTAATGTCTAGACACTTATTACCTCTGGTATTAACTTTCTTGTTTTGCCACATTATTTCATGGAAGGTCACTTTATGCTATAAGCTGTAACATTTTTTACTTTATACTTATTTCTTTCCATAGGTTATCGGGGAATAGGTGGTGTTATCTGGGAACAGGTGGTGTTTGGTTACATTAGTAAGTTCTTTAGTGGTGATTCGTAAGATTTTGGTGCACGATCACCCAAAAGGTATACACCACACCCTATTTGTTGTCTTTTATCCCTCACTCCTTCACACCCTTTCACACTGAGTCCCCAAAATGTATGCTGTCATTGTTATGTTTTTGCATCCTCATGTCTTAGCTCACAGTATGAGTGAGAACATACCGCTTGGTTTTCCATTCCTGGGTTACATCCCTTAGAAAAACAGTTTCCAATCTCATCCAGGTTGCAACAAATGCTATTAATTCATTTCTTTTAATGGTTGAGTTTGTGCTTGTATTCCATCACAAAAATGTGCTATTATTCCATCATAAATATACCACAGTTTCTTTATCCACTCGATGATTGAATCGGCATTTGCTTTGATTCCATGTTTTTGCAATTGTGAATTGTGCTGCTATAAACATCCATGTGCAAATATCTTCTTTCACATATTGACTTATTTTCCTATGAGTAGATACCCAGTAGTGGGATTACTGGATCAAACAGTAGTTCTACTTTTCGTTATTTAAGGAATCTCCACACTGTTTTCCTTAGTGGCTGTACTAGATTACATTCCCGCCAGCAGTGTAGAAGTATTCCCTGATCACCACATCCATGTCAACATCTACAGTTTTTTGATTTCTTGATTATGGCCATTCTTACAGGGGTAAGGTGCTATTGCATTGTGGTTTTGATTTGCATTTCCCTGATCATTAGTGATGTTGAGCATTTTTTTCATGTGTTTGTTGGCCATTTGTATATCTTCTTTTGAGAATTGTCTATTCACATCCTTGGCCCACTTTTTGATGAGATTGTTCACTTTTTTTCTTGTTGATTTGTTTGAGTTCATTGTAAACTAATAAAGGATATTAGTCCTTTGTCAGATACATAGTTTGTGAAGATTTTTTCCCATTCTGTGGGTTGTCTGTTTACTCAGATGACTGTTCTTTTTGCCAAGCAAAAGCTCTTTAGTTTAATTATGTCCCAGCAATTTATCTTTGTATTGCATTTGCTTTTGGGTTCTTGGTCATAAAATCCCTCCCTAAACCAATGTCTAGAAGGATTTTTCCAATTTATCTTCTAGAATTTTTATAGTTTCCAGTCCACATCTCATTTTGAACTATATTTCTTATAATCCCTACATGTCATGGGAGGAACCAGTGGGAGATAAATGAATCATGGGGGTGGTTACCTCCATGCTGTTCTTATGATAGTGGGTGAGTTCACTTGAGAGCTGATGGTTTTAGAAAAGGCTTTTCGCCAACTCCATTCTGCATTTCTCTTGTCTGCTGCCATAAAAGAGGTGACTTTCCTCCTCCTTTGCCTTCTGCCATCATTGTGAGTTTGTTAAACCTCTTTTTATTTAGAAATTGCCCAGTCTCAGGTATGTCTTTATTAACAGCATGAGAACAGACTAATATGCTGTAAATAATTATAAATAAATTGGTGACATCTACTTATATACTATAACATATATAGTCATATATGTCATAGATTATAAATTATCACATTTTGTATTTACCACATATAAAATCATATGTATTACATTATAAAATCTTAGAAATTATGATTTTGAAATTATATAAATGATTACAATATAGTTTATAAAATATTATATAATATCTATTATATTTATTACAGCTGTATACATTATTTAGTGCTTTATATATTATAGACATATGAATTATATGTAGTGGATCCTCATTATATGAAGATTCTGCATTTACCTGTCTGCCTATTCACTAAAATGTACTTGTGACCACAGCATCAATGCCTGGGGTGTGTTCATAGTCATTTACAGACATGTGCATTGTGAGGAAAAATCTAAGTCACCCAACAAAACACATTGTCAGCTGGGGATGAACAAGGCCACACTGCATTCTTGATTCACTTCATCCTGTAAACAAGTGTCATTTTAGCTGTCAATTTCATATCGTGTTTTTGACATGTTTATGCTTTTTCTTGTTGGTTTTGTTATGAAAATGGCCCCAAACCACAGTGCTGGAGTGCCGTGTTGTGTCCCGAAGCAAAAGAAGTCTATGGTGTGTCTTATGGAAATAACATATGTATTAGAGAAGCTTCATTCAGGCATGAGTTCTAGTGATGTTGGCCATGAGTTCTACATGAAGGAAACAACAACATGTATGAAGTTAGGTTTCTCTATACAGAAACAAGTAGAAAACAACATCATCTATTCATCAGCTGACAAAAATGTTGTAACCATGGGGCGCAAACAACCTAACCAATGGTTCAACGTTCACTAATTCAGTGTTTTTGTTACCTTTGTAGAATATACTGTAATGATCATGAACAATGAAAGTCAACTGTAAATACAAATTACAGACATTTATATAATATAAATTAGTTCAACCAACAATCACTGAATGTCTGTATTTCAGATACCTTGTCAGGTACTAAGAAAATAGATTTAGCAAAATAATAATAATTATGTTTTCTTAACTCAGCATACTCATACTCTAGTAAAGTGATTTCCAAATTTTTTTAATGACTCCATACCTTGTATTTACAACACACTATCATAAATAATATCTTTCAATATTTCATCACACAGAGCTATTCTCATCTAAAATTTTGACTTGGAAAAGAATAGCTAACAGGATGGACGGTGATTGCATTCATGGAGAAATGAGTCAGAGGATGTAATGAGTACAGCATTTTCTTGAGTGTAAGATTCATATGGGACATCTGTGTAGGGAACTTCATCCTATAGCTCAGAAATGAAATCTGGGGTGATGTTACAGATTTTGTGTCATCATTGCACCAAAGTATCTGGGAGGAATGTGCTTAGTGAGAATATAAGGGTGATGATGACACGAGATAGAGGTATCTAGGTGGGATTAAAGGAGAAAAAATGAGTTAAGACTAAAGAGAGCTTTCCCAGAAGATAAAGATGTCCCAAAAACCAAAGGGGAACAGAACTTTTTATGAGAAGAAGTTAGGAATGTCACAGTCACAGAGATCAAAGTAAGAGAAGGATTGTAAAGCTCTTAGGGAATTTGCCAATGTGGAAGTTACTGTAACCTGAGAGAAAGAGGTTCCCCAGAATGTAGACTGCATATGGAAGGAAAAAAGTGGGAAAAAGAGTTTTGGAAAACAGTCTAGCAGTTTCTGAAAGCTTAAACATAGAGTTCCCACAGGACCCAGCAATTCCACTCCTAGGTCTATACTCAATAGAAATGAAAACATACCTATAAGAAAACATGTACATGGATGTTCATAGTAGCACTATTCATAGTAGCTTAAAAGTGAAAACATCCCAAATGTCCGTCAACTGATGAATGGATAAATAAAATGTGGTCTATACATACAATGGAACATTATTCAGTCATACAAATGCATGAATCACTAATAAATGCTGCAACATGAATGAACCTTCAAAACATTATGCTAAGTGAAAGTAGCCACATGTTGTATGATTCAATTTTTAAGAAACATAAGAGACAGAATGTAAATAATTTGTTGCTTACCATTAGGGAAAGGCAATGAATGCTAATAGGCAGAGGGTTGAATGAATGCTAATGGGCACAGGGTTTCTTTTGGGAATGCTGAAAATATTCGGGAAGTAGAGAGTGGGGATGGTTGCACAACTTTGTGAATAAAAGCCACTGAATTGCACACTTTATTAATGATATGGAATGTATTTTATATTTAAATAAAGCTGCCCACCTTTTTCCTCATGGGAGGAAGTGAACATTATTATGATTGAATTTGACTCTAAGTGGCTGACCATAAAGAGCAGAGGAGATGTCATAGCAGTAGCTAGATGAAGATGTGTAACAGATGAAGAGACAGATACTTTTAAAATAGAAAGGATTTAGTTTCCTGTGTGTGGGTTTTTCTTTCTTTTTTTTTTTTTTTTTTGAGACGGAGTCTTGCTCTGTCCCCCAGGCTGGAGTGCAGTGGTGTGATCTTGGCTCACTGCAAACTCTGCCTCCCAGGTTCATGCCATACTCCTGCCTCAGCCTCCTGAGTAGCTGGGACTGCAGGTGCCTGCCACCACGCCTGGCTAATTTTGTGTGTGTGTGTTTAGTAGAGATGGGGTTTCGCCATGTTAGCCAGGATGGTCTTGATCTCCTGAGCTAGTGATCCTGACCTGCCTCTGCCTCCTACACTGCTGGGACTACAGGTGTAAGCCACTGTGCCTGGCTTATTTGGTTGTTATTACTTTGGGATGAAATATATATAATTATATAATTGGGGGGATAATTAAGAAGATATGGCAAGAAAAACTGAGAAAAAAAAGGAAAAAATAAGATTTTAACAGCAGAGATAGTTATCCTAGACTATAGGAACAATACTTCATCCACGAGATCAGAAGGAAGGAGTTCAAGTGGGAAGACTTGTAGATCATGGGATACAGACAAGGTATAGGGAATAGCAAAACACGAAGTGTCCTCGCACCACGTAGATACTATGTTCCCCACAAAGTAGAGAATAGATTATCCTGAGAGCAGAGCAAAGACAGAGGAGGTGAGAATGCCTTGAGCAAAGTGATGAGGATTTAGTATTACTACCCCAAGGAACACAAAAGGGGATCATTGTGGACAAGATTGTTGATGGCATTGGGTTATATAAATTGGAAGCAGATAAAGCTGGATGATCCCAGTCCCCTACAAATACTGAGCAGTTAGTCTAAGAAGCTAATTGGTTCTCTTAGCCGTTAACATGGTCAACATATTTTCAGCCAGGGTCAAGAAATTTATGGGGTGTAGGAAACAGAAATGAGAGTTAAGGGAATCCATAGTGCTAGGGAGAAGAAAGCTGAAATGAAAAACTTCAGATGAAAAATGGAAGAAAATAAAGATGTTTTTCATGGGGAGTGGCAGGTTGAAACAAGTAGCAAGGCCGACTTGGACAGAGGAAACCATCAGGAACCAGATATACTGATAAAGCCAAAATTTATCAGCAACAGAGATAAACTATTCCCCCCACAGTCCAGAAGAAAAATCAAGGAGAAATGAGTGTGATAACTGTTTTCGCAAGAGGTGCAATGGGCTATATATTTTTCATTTTGATTTATGAATTTAAAAGTCTGACTGGGCACATGGCTTCCATTTGTAATCACAGCACTTTGGGAGGCCAAGATGGTGGATCACTTGAGGTCAGGAGTTTGAGACCAGCCTGTCCAACATGATGAAATCTGGTCTCTATGAAAAATGCAAAAATTAGCCAGGTGTGGTGGCACGCACCTGTAATCCCAGCTACTTAGAAGGCTGAGGCAGGAGAACTTGCTTGAACCTGGGAGACACAGGTTGCAGTAAGCTGAGAACACACCACTATACTCCAGCCTGGGTGACAGAGTGAGACTCCATCTGAAAAATAAAATGAAGTCTGAACAAGGTTATGCAGAAAATGGTAGACCCTTAAATTCAGACACATTCATTTGAATGCAAAGAAGAGAGAGATATCACTGGGCAGGAAAACAATGGAAGTTGATTTACATATGTTTCTTAATGCAAAAATTATGCATTTTAGGTTTCACTAAGCAATATGTCATTAAATGTTGGTAGGCAGGTCTTGTTTTGAACAGTAAGTTTGTGCTACCACCCTTTCTGCAAGTACTGTAAGTTCAACTCAGTATGATCGCTTTCCAGTGAGACCCAATGCTTCAGCATTTGATTTGCCTTAGTGACATGAGATGATATCAGTTCCCTCAAATGGACATCGTTTTGATGTGGATCATTAAGAGTTATTTTCTATGTTCTTGAGAGGGGATGCACTGAGAGATACATTTCCCATGAACTGTTCTGGAAAATAACTGTGTAAATTTAGAGAGGGTTGGGACAATATACTCACTTCTCAGAGAAATATCTGTCTTCACACACACAAAAAATCTCACTGTCAAGCTACTCTGGTTAATCGGTAATGAAACAAAACGAGGCTGAAGGCAGTGGTTCATGCCTGTAATCACAGCACTTTGGAAGGCTGAGACAGGAGAATCACTTGAGCCCAGGAGTTTGAGACCAGCCTGGATAACATAGTGTGACATAGTCTCTACAAAAAAAAAAAAAAAAATTTAATCAGCCAGACATGGTAGTATGCATCTATGGTCCCAGATACTTAGGAGACTGAAATGGGAGGATCTCTTAAACCACGGGAGTTGAGGCTGCAGTGAGCTGTGATGGCGTCACCACATGCCATCCTAGGCACAAAGTGATATCCTTCTCAAAACAAAGAAAGAAATGAAACTAAGCATTAAAAATAAGCGTATCCTTGGCTCAGTTAGCAACTAGAACAGACATTTTGCAAAGCATTCTTAATGTAAGTAAGGCAATATTAGATGATGGGTCATGTCATTACATGACAAAGACCTGACATGGATTTTCTACCATGTTTCTAGTCAATCCTAGTGCAGTAGATGGAGACATACAGACACAATTCTAGAGTAGTGTCCATCACCTGTAGTAAGGCAGAGCCCCCTCAGAACCAACTGGCTCTGTACAGACAAATCATGGGCAAGATGGCAGCCAAATCACTATAGTTGCTCTGGGCAATGTTGAAGAGACCTGCCCCATCAACGTGGGGGTGGCAATCAGAAAGACATGATGAAATACAGAATCTAGACATGTAGCACAGCCTTCCACCATAGTGATGAAATTGCTGCACATGTAGGATATGATCACTGGCTAAGTGCCTGGTTCCAAATACAAGCAGAGATTCCAGGTGGAGATATGAAACCACAAATAGCCCCTGGCCCTGCAAAAATGTTCACTCCTGCTAATCAGAGGACAGATTCTATGAAATGTCAGCCTGATTCTTGGCTGTGAGCTTCCCTACTTAAACAGTCTCTGGGCCGGGCGCGGTGGCTCACGCCTGTAATCCCAGCACTTTGGGAGGCCGAGGCGGGTGGATCATGAGGTCAGGAGATCGAGACCATCCTGGCTAACAAGGTGAAACCCCGTCTCTACTAAAAATACAAAAAATTAGCCGGGCGCGGTGGCGGGAGCCTGTAGTCCCAGCTACTCGGGAGGCTGAGGCAGGAGAATGGCGTGAACCCGGGAGGCGGAGCTTGCAGTGAGCCGAGATTGCGCCACTGCAGTCCGCAGTCTGGCCTGGGCGACAGAGCGAGACTCCGTCTCAAAAAAAAAAAAAAAAAAAAAAAAAAAAAAAAAAAAAAAAAAAAAAAAAAAACAGTCTCTGACAAATATGGCATTCCACATTATAAAAGGAAATTTTAGAAATACATATATCTTGTCATTTCATGGGAGCCTAAAGAGTCAGCTGTTCTCTTGTTTTCCTGGGTCATAATTTGGTTTCTGTGCAATCAGCCTAATTACATATTTCAGCGCCTTTAGGAACTGTAGTGGGAGTCCACACAAGTGGGACATTTTCCTTTATTTTTCATTGGTTTACTTGTTGATACTTTCTCTAGTCAAGTTTTTTGTGCTTCATCTGTTATGCCATGAATCTATAGAAAGTAGATTCTAACACCAAGCATCTTACAGTTGGTTCTCATGAAGAGTTCTCTGCAGAGAGCAGAGATTTTCAACTTTGACATTGGTGACATTTGGGCCCACATAATCTTTGGCTTATAAGGAGCTGTCCTGTGCATTGTAAGATGTTTAACAGCACCTTGACCTCTACCCACCAGATGCCAGTAGCACCTCTCCCCATGTAGTGCAAACCAAAAATGATTCCAGATATGGTCAGATGTCCAGATATGGTCAGAAGGCAAAAATCACCTTTGGTTGGGAAGCACTGGCATTGAGTACGTTGGCATTTAGTCTGTAGGTAATTTTCCCTGTTGCTTTCACGGTTTTATTCTAATCCTGTCCTATGCCTTAAGACACATTCCCCAACTCTAGGATAGCTGAATATGCAACATAGTTACATGAATTCTGTTGGCAAAAGTACTGGCCTTATTGTGTTTGTTTATAACGATGCCGCCAACAAGCTCTGAGGCATTATGGACGCTTCTCATTCGCCATGGCAACATTGAGCAGTGCTCGCTAACAGTCTGCAACAGTCTGCATGCACTTGATATTGACCATGGCACCCTAGTTGTCAGTTCAGAGGGAAGTGGCCAAAAGCACATTGCCGTGTTGACAGAACCTTCCCTCTTCTTCTCCTTGTGTTGCTGATGATTTTTCTTTATTGATATTATTTATTTAGGTCTTTTTCTTTAAAGTGAATTGCTGGAGGTTGGCAGATCCAACTGTGGGGCAACACCACATTTCTACAAAGTATTCAGGACCAGAGTCAAGACACTACCCATGTCAGCTAACTTGTATATATAAAGGAAGAGTGCTGACATTTGCTCAGTTGTCCCTCTCTTCTTGACTGGGAATGAATTTGTCCCCTCCTGTCTGTCAACCACGCTCTGAGTTGAGCACCAAGGTCTGATTTTTCTCTTAGCCCTAGAGACTCTGTCCAGCCTCAATCCACTGGAGTTTTATGGCCTGAA
The DNA here is from genome assembly GCF_000001405.40 of Homo sapiens. Classification (NCBI taxonomy): domain Eukaryota; kingdom Metazoa; phylum Chordata; class Mammalia; order Primates; family Hominidae; genus Homo; species Homo sapiens. The sequence continues at coordinate 15,238,824 of NC_000024.10, forward strand.
TATGATGTTGATGTGAAGAACAAACCTCAGCCGCTGGGCAAGGTAGATCTCACATTTCCAGATTGCCAAGAAGTTGGTGGAAGACATTGCTCCAGTTAAACTAGGCACTCTGCTCATATTTCTCTAGGTAATATTCATGGGAATCTATTTCTACCAATACAGAATGCATTCTATCTGCACTCGGTGGTAGTTTTGGTTTTAGGCAACGATGCTTTCTTGTTTATTCTTTTATCAATTAAATATCCAAAGTCAGGAAAGACAGACCCTTTTTGCAAAGCCACAGGTTTAAAATCAGTCCAAGGTTTCAAAATCTGGTAAGTTTTTCCCTTGAGGCAGGCACACGTCATGGACAAAAAGATACCTGTTTTCTTCTTAAACTTATTCTCCCTTATTTTTAACATGGAGATTTTTAAACCTGTGGGACATTTCGTTATAAAATTACCATCAAATTAATAAGTATCGCTACCACCCACACTTGTCGTATGGTAATGATTTAGGATTATTAGCAGATTAGACTTAAATACATTTTAATGGAAAAATAAGATTGAGGCTGAGCTTGATTCATATTGTAAGGTCATGGATTACATAATTCTTACTATGTGTAGATGAGAATAGCTGTAGTAAACCTAGGTCTCTACCACCACCTAGGTCTATGATCAAATGTAAGTTAGTTTTTGCTTTTTTTTTTCCTCCAGGACCCAGTTCCTTCATTTCAATATTGGACTACAGCCAGTTCTAACCCCCTATCATTGTTTAGATGATTCAATGAGATAGGGCATGTCAAGTGCCTAGGATGGCACATGGTATGGGATGGATTTGTATAAACCCTGTGGAATTAGCATTATTCCTGTAGGATCTTATTCCCTTTTCCTTCACAATCTCTCCCCTGCATGGCATGAAAGACAAGGGACTTACAGTCTGTAGAGGATCTACCCTGATGGTTTTCATGACAAAGAATGTGCAAAGTATCTAGCAGTTACCTGGCTCCACTAAGAATAGGGCCCTGGCATTCTTCCTCATTTACAACCTCTTTGACACTATATTCTGAGCCCTTTGTGAATACTTAGTCTATTTCCTTTATACATCCCACACCCCAGTGCTTAATGCTGACAGTGCTATTTCTTCTCTGGCTTGAAGCCCTATCCTCCTTCATTAATTATAGCTCATTCAGGGCCACCACAAGTGGTATGCTCACATAGGGCTGCAACCTTGTCATTTCTAGTATTTAAAACAGTGTCCTTTACAAAATGGGCATTCAGTGAAGAGCAGCCAGGAAAATCAATAGATACGGAATGTAAAAAAAAAAAAATCCTAATAGGATTTTTCTTGGGGAACTGGATTGAGATGCTAAATGGGTTTGGAATGAAAGCAAGCCACCCAACATAGAAGCTCTGTTGCCTTCTCTTCAGTGCTGTGGTGATGGTAGGTCGTCTTCACCAGAAGAGGAACAATTACATTACTGAGATTACCTGGGATATAAGGGAAGTCCTTGTATGACTTTTATGAGTCAAATGAGAGTATTTTCAAGAAAAGGCAAGCCATTTATTCTTCCTGCACCTGGCCAGGTGCGGTGGTTTACACCTGTAGTCCAGCCACAGGCATGGGAGTCTGAGATGCATGGATGGCTTTGAGGCCAGGAGTTCGAGACCAGAGTAAGCAGCATGGCAAAACCCCATCTCTGCAAAAAGTGCAAAAGTTAGCTGGGTGAAGTGGCATATGCCTGTAGTCCCACCTACTCCAGAGGCTGAGGGGGGAGGGTCGATTGAGTCAGAGAGATTGAAACTGCAGTGAGCTGAGATCACACCACTGCACTCCAGCCTGGGACACAGAGCGGATCTTATATCAAAAAATATATAAAATAAAATAAAGCCATTCTTCCTGCACCTATGATAAGAGAATCTTGACCCAATGGTCAAGGTATAGGATTTAATGTATGTTAAAGATAAACTTATTTTTAAATGTCTTCAGACTGGTTCAGTTTTCTTTTGAAAACATCATACTCACAACATTGAGGGATTACCTGATGCCCAAGATGTTAAAAATTAAATCAATCAGTGGCTTTGAAAGTTCACTTTTTACCTTCATTTGCATTATTATAATGAATATATTTCAACATTTTTTCTCCTGTTGGCTGAGAATAGAACTTCAAAAAATGTCATACATGACAAAGATTGTTGGGAGGGCGAGGAGAAAAGAGAATGAATGAGTGAGGAAATGAGTGAAGGATTTCTGAAAATAAATGACAAACATCTCTGAATGTAGTAAACAGATGACAGGCAGAAGAAATAAATTTCAAAATAAGAAAAATGAATCCTTAAAATAGCAGAAGAAAGAACTGGCTTGAGAATAGTTTTTTAAAGAAGAGTATGTTTTAATATAATGTTTCTTATTATAAAAATAATTCTTCTTGTAAAGCATTTAGCAAACATAGAAAAGCACACAGGTGGAGTCAAAATCATTCAGAGGCCACCCTGGAGAACACCACTGAAAAACAACTAGCAATTAATTAGAAATTTTAATAAAATGGCTAAATATAAAATAAATATAATAAAAACACTTTAATGCTTTTGGATATTTATTTCTAGTTCCCCTTATATTCCTTTATTTTTTTAAAATGAGGGCATACTCTAAAAATAATTTTAGGTTCTACTGTTTTTCATTCAATATTATATTGTGAGCATTTTCCTATGTAAAATAACATTTGAAAATATTATTTTAGTAGCTATGCCAGTATTAACAAACCACAGCCCATGGTCAAACACTGTCTCACTGCCCATGAGTAAGTATGGCTTTTACATGTTGAAGTTGCTTTTAAAAATAAAAATAAAAAATAATATTTTGGCCAGGCACAATGGCTTATCCCTATAATCCCAGCACTTTTGGAGGCTGAGATGGGTGGATCACTTGAGGACAGGATCCACTGGATCATTCGAGACCAGTCTGGCCAGCATGGCAAAACCCCATCTCTACTAAAAATAAGAAAATTAGCCAGGCTTGGTGATGTGTACCTGTGGTCCCCATTACTCAGGAGGTTAAGATGGGAGAATTGCTTGAACCTAGAAGATGGAGGTTGCAGTGAGCACAGATTGTACCTTGTCTTTAAAAAAAAACTTCATGACACCTTAAAATTATATGAAATTCAAATTTAAAGGAAATTTTATTAGAGCACAAACACACCTATTTATTTCTATATTATTGATTATTGCTGCTTTTGAGATGCAAGGGTAGAACTGAATAATTGTGAGAGAGAACATAGGTCCCTCAAAGCCTAAAATAGTCACTATTTAGTCTCTTACAGAAAGTATCCTAACCCCAGACTATGTAACAACATGACCTCTGTTTATATCAAAGCTTGGTTAAACGCTTCCCTATCATTGAGCACCATGGAGTTTTTGTTGTTTTTGCTGTTTTAAATAACATTGTTGTGAATGTTCTTGACTTAAATTATGGTTGACATCTGTGAATATTTTTCTAAGTAATTAATTATGGATCAATGGTCATGGACATTTTTATACCTCTGGATGTATTATCCTTTAGAAAGGCAGAATGGTGTGATACCATGTTTCAACAGCAAGAGTGTTTACAAGAAAGTGGGGTTCTGAACTGGACCATGATGTTTTCCTACGTAGAGACTTATGTTTTCAAACAACACACAACTAAACATTATTGGCTCATGTCTTTCTCTTTCTAGAATTCTTTCAACTCTTTATCATGGTATTGGGAGTTAGAAAATAAATCATATCTTGCTTGTCTCACCCATCGAAAGTGTAGCAAAATTTCCATCTTCATATCCAGCAGGGATTTTAACTCAGAAAATTATCCCTTGGCTTGTCTGACCTTCGGAGATTAATCAAACTAGGCAGACATCAGGAAATAGGATGGTAAAGGCAGAGAGATCCCTGCTAAATCGACATAGAATTAGATAAGCAGGGGGCAAGGCAGAGGACACCCCATTGTGGTCTTGGCAGCCCAGGTTATAAATAATTTAAATTTCGGTGCAAGGCAGCTGTTGAAATGGGATATCAGAAACAATATCAGGCCACCCTGGACATAATCATGGTCTCATGAATTTGCTGAGTGAAAATGGCTTATTGGCCATGTGGGTTTCTTCTGTCAGTTCCCCATCTTTCTACTGTGGGAGTTTATCATGTTGGCCTTGCTTTGTAAGATTTCTTTACATTTTAAGAATATAAACACTTGTCTACAAGTGCAATGTATGTAGAGTTTCTATGTATTTTCCATGGGTTTTTGATATGTATGGCTTGCATGTCAGAAACGTGGGTTAAACAAGGCTAGTTGGGCCCTTAAATCCAGGACTTCTCAAAGCCTTAAGTATGATACATTGAATGTGAATCAGCAGGTGACAAATTTAAATGTAACATTTATCAAAATCATTGACTATGGGCATGTTTGTTTACTAGGCATATTTCAGAATATTCCTGAATCTGTTTTGTAACTAAAATTTGGGCATCTGTTGTAGGAAGTAAGAAATCTACAAGGAACATATTTAAAAATACTGAATACACCCCTGAAAAACAACTAGCAATTAATTAGAAATTTTAATAAAATGGCTAAATATAAAATAAACATAATAAAAAAACAGTATTTCTATACACACAATGAAGCTAGTTTTAAAAGATTACCTAAAAGGAATCTATCCCAATAACAATTAAAACTGAAAATATGGGTAGGTTTGGTGGCTCACATCTGTAATCCCAGCACTTTGGGAGGCCTACATGGGAGGATCACTTGACCCCAGGAGTTCCACAACAGCCTGGGCAATATGGTGAAACTGCATCTCTACCAGAAAAAAAAAAAATTTATAAAAGTTGTCTCTGTGTGGTGGTGTGTGCCTGCAGTTCGAGCTGCTTGGGAGGCTGGGGTGGGAGAATAGCTTGAGCCCAGGATGCAAAGGTTCCAGTGAGCCAAGATCGCACCACTGCACTCCGGGCTGGATGACAGAGCCAGATCTTGTCTCAAAACAATAAAAATAAATAAAAATACCTAGAACTAACCTTAACAAGAAACATGTAAAACCTGTCTAGAAAATCTTAAAGCCTTAAACCGCTTAAAGCTGAGCAATATATATAATTAGGCTTACATAAACAGGAACAATAAATCATGTTGCAGGATTCAAACTATAAATATTTTAATTATCTCCATTTTTCATATTATCACATCAATTTCTATAATGACAATTAAAAACTTTAGTAAATGTTTTCAGGAACTTCTCAGATTTTCTTTCTAAAATTCATCTGAAATCATTAAGGTTCTCAATAAACCTTAAAAACATTAGTGAGAAATGACTGAGATGTGATAGAAACATATTTTACACAGAAGGATCACAGAAAGTCCACCCAGCCTTAGCGAGGAAGATACCAGACTCCCTTTTGGGGCATGTGATGTGAGCTGTAATTAACAATTAGGGATAAAACAACTGGCTAAATGCCTGAAAAAAAAGAGAAAGAGGGTGGAGTTTAGAAAGTACTCAAGGAGACGGTAGCTTAAAAATTGCCAATTTTGCCAAGAGACATAAGCCAACAGATGCAAGAAACTGAGTGAAGGCCAAACAAGGTAAATCTCAAGAAATCCATGCCAAGGCCCTTCTTAATTATACTTCTGAAAACAAAACACACAAAAAAATTTTGAAAGCAGCCACAGAAAGTAACATTTTACCTCTATGGAACAGATCATTCGAGTAATAAGAAAATAATTACCAGAATAGATGGAGGACAGATGGAAGTGGCAAGTATTTTTCAGATGCTGAAAAAAAGGAACTATCAACCCAGAACTTCATATCCTGTAAAAATATCCCTTAGGAATGAAAGGGAAATCAGGAAATTCTCCAATGAAGAAAATCTAACAGAATTTGTCAACAGCAGACCTACCCTAAAATAACTGGTTTAAAGAAGTTCTTTAAATAGAAGGAAATGATAACAGAATAAACCTTGGAGTGCCAGGAAGGAAAATCAATATGCAAAACTATGGATAAATAAATATGCTCTCCTTCTCATCTGGAATACTCTAAATTGTATTTGAGGGTTGAACCAAAAATTAGAACATTTCTTTGATATGGTTCTATGAATCTGCTGAAAAATACTTAAGATAATCATAAATGGGGGAAGGTAAAGGGAAGCAATGTTTTTGCGTTCACTAAAAGTGATAAAATGGTGACATCAGTAGACTGCAATAGTTATGAATATATCATATAGCACCTAGAAAACATACTAAGGAAGCTTATGCAAAGACATAAACTAAAACACTATAGATAAACCAAAATAGAAATAGTACTATTTTATAAAATTTTAGTACAATATGACAACCAAGATACTGTTGTTTCTGTAACCATGATGTAGAATATTTCCATCCACACAAAGATCTCTCATGTTGTCCTTTTAAAGCCATACTCACCTTCCTCCTGCCTTTCCCTCCTTAATTTTCAGCACCCAGTAATTTGTTCTCCAATTCTACAGTACTGCCATTTCAAGGACAATTATGTAAATGTGTACTAAAACACACAGGATTCATCTGTATTCTTTCTTACAACTACATGATTATAATTATATCAAAATAAAATGTTTAATTAAAATAAGAAAGAATAAAGCTATCAGCAACAACAGCAACCCAAAAAGGACCTTTAGTGAGATGAACAAATGTACCTGTCACATTCATTAAAATGGTTTATACCATTTTTTTTTCTTTTTTTGAGACGGAGTCTGTCTCTGTCTCCAGGCTGGAGTACAGTGGTGTGAACTCAGCTAACTGCAACCTCGGACTTCCTCATTTAAGCAATTCTCCTGACTTAGCCTCCAGAGTAGCTGGGATTACAGGCATGTCTCACCACACCCAGCTAATTTTTGTATTTTTAGTAGAGACAGGATTTCACCATGTTGGCCAGTAGGGTCTCAATCTCCTGACCACGTGATCCACCCACCTTGGCCTCCCAATGTGCTGGGATTACAAGTATGAGCCACCACACCCAGCATACCATTTTTTTTAAACTGTAAGAGGTAATGGCAATTTGATCAGTAATTTGAAAGATTTTTCTTAACTGTATTTTCCATATTTTGAAAGATGACATTCATAACTAGAAAAATTATACCCCAGTGCATTGAGTAGGCCCAGCCTTATAAGGCAGTGGAATTATTTATCTTAGCTAAGCTAGTGATACACCAAGAAACTGGTCAACAGTGATGTGCAATTGTCCACTGTTAACAAGTGGAGAGCCACCACCCTTATTGTTTGTAAAGCACCTGCCAGAGGAAGGGCTCATGCATGTTAGTGTTGCCATTTTTAATTTCCTGCTTTGTTACAGCAATAGTTCATTAATGAGGCTGTGCAACATCCTGAATGGAGACCTCAGAGGAGGAGAACTACTTTCTATTTTATCTTCCTCATTAGTCGCTGGTGAATGTGGAATACACAGCCATACATGGTCTCCCTTTGTTCTTAATGAAGACCTAGGCTGATCCCAATTCACCCTGCATAGCAGGTACCCTTTGCCCACGATGGGATATAGCAGCAGTCATTTCACACTTAGCCAGGAAACAAATGGACTTAGGAAGAGCTTCCACAATACAGGAGTATGTTAGAAATCAGTGAAGAAACATTCAAATTTGCTTAAAGCTCTCTTTCATAATGGAGTGAGCTCCTTGGAGAATGAGGAATGGGATACAAGTATTATTGGTTTAAGCCTTTAAGAAACTTTACATTGAGCCCCTCTCCAGGTTTCCATGACCATCTGCAACCATCTTTGTCAGCAATTAACCTGCATTTGTGCTTTAAAGCAAATTAATTTCAAACTCCATCAGTTCCTTGGTTCTCATCTCAATCTATTCCAAATCTGCCATGTCTCTGTGACTGCTGCACATATTGGAGTTCTGGGGTTTGCAAAGCCCTTCCAGCTCTTTCATTTCCCATTTGTGAATATTCCTCTTTGTGAATATCTCTTTCAGAGCATGTCTGCAACTCAAACTAGTAGTCATTTGTCTCTCACACATTAGACCATTCTAAAGGCAAGAACATTTTTCCTCATCTTTCTAGCCCTTATCTTGCCTTCCACATAATAGAATCTCAAAGAATTGGGTTGTAAAAGTTAAGAAAACTCAATAGTTACCTGTTGGCTTGTGTTTTTTTTTGTGTGTGTGACATCAAAAATGGATCTAGTATCATTCTTCTTCCGTATTAAACTCTCCTGATCATAAGATGTATGCTGAAATGAGCTGATATTACAGAATTACTCAACGCCAGAGATTCACAGACTTTTCTGCAAAGGCCCAGACATTTTAGTCCTTTCTGGTCTCTGTTGCAAACATTCATTTCTGCCATTGTTGCATGAAAGGAGCTGTAGACAATCTGTAAATGAATAGATGAAGTTGCATGTCAACGAAACTTTATTGATAAAACCAGTTGCTATAGGTTGAATTTGTCCCTCAGGTTGTAGTTTTCCAACCTCTCTAAACCCTTAACAGAAAGGTCTTGCACCATCCTGATGATGCAGAAACAAATGAAAGGTGGATGGAAACTACCCTGACCTTTGTTTTCTATTCAGGAAATTAAACCACAGGTGTTATTGTTTTTTTTAAAAAAAATGTTGTGCACAATGCCTTGTATCCTAACTACAGTGAACACCATTCCTCTTGCATTCATTTGCTTTTGTCTTCTCATTTATTACCACAATTTGTTTGTGAATCATTTGTCTTACTCAACAGTTAAATCTAGGGAAATAAGATTAACCAAATTCAGAAATGTGGGCTTGGGCTAAAAGTTCTTTTTTTTCCTATATTACAATGAAAGAAATTTTTCCTTGGTTTTCAAAAATTATTATGTTAATCAATTCATGTCTTTAGCAGGTGTGAAAGCTAAGGTTTAAGGGGCTATAAGCAGAGTCAGCATCTCATCTACAAACTCATATTAACAGATTGAGACACAGAACACAGAAAATCATTCTTCATCATCTCAATACTAAAACCATACTCATCTTTCACCTCTAAGGTCCCCTGTCCAAGAAGCAAACAAACAACAACAACAAAAAAAAACAAAGAAAGCTGTAGTGAGCTATGATCAGACCACTGCACTCCAGCCAAGGTGACACAGTGGGACCCCATCTCAAAGTAACAAACAAACAAAAAAGACAAGTCCATTGATCTGACTAGAAGGGCAGTAGTTGAAACTCTTTCCATAAGTTCGTAAGCTTTCTTTTTCATCTGGATAGTTTTCTTTAGTACAGTAGTTAAGTCATCTCAGAATGTATTTGAAAATCACATCTTAAAGTTTTTCTCAGACATTAGTTGAGAAAATGTAACCTGGAAAATTTCAATGGGAAAGTTCATAGTGTTTTGAGATGAGTGGAAAGTTGGGAATTTCTCAGGAACATGCTCCATGTTGGTTGTGCTATCTCGGTTTTTCAGGTTACCCTGACTCTGAGGATGAAACTTCAAAATCTTCTTGGTCTACAGTGAAAAAGAGCCATGCTGTCAGGGAACTCTGCCTCTTTTCCACATTTTCTCTTTTTTTGTGATGCAGGTTTCAATGAAATCCACTGATTCACACTCCATCTCTTTGGGTACTGAAATTTGGAGTCACTCTTAAAGTTTCACCAAATTCAAGATAATTTCTAACATTTAGTTGAGACTAGGTGGCCCTAGAAGATCCTGGAGCAGCATTTTCCACATTGTGCTTTGCAGATCACTAGAGACCCTCAGGGTCATGAAGTGGTCCTTCAAAAGGAGTTTCCTTTTTCAAATAGTTTGGGATGTGATTGCATAGCAAAGCAGACAATACTCAGTGCAGAGTTGCTGGGTCCAGGTTGGGGAGGAGACAGAACTCAACCCCAGAGGCAAAGTTTGGTCATGGGACCAAGTTGAGGCATAGCTAAAACAGGGCCAAGGCAGAAGCAGGTTTCCATCAGGCATGTCCACCAGTGTGCCATGTCAGTTACCATTGTCACAGCAACATCCAGGAGTTTCCACCCTTTTCCATGGCAATGTCCCAGTGACCCAAAATTTACTACCCCTTCCGTGAAATGTCTGCACAAACTGCCCTTTAATCTTCAGGAAATTAAAAGCAGCTATGAGCTAGGCACAATGGCTTACACCTGTAATCCTAGCACTTAAGGAGCTTAAGGTGTGCAGATCACTTGAGGTCAGGAGTTTGAGACCAGCCTGGGCAACATGGTGAAACCCTGTCTCTACTAAAAATACAAAAATTTGCTGGGTGTGGTGGCAGGCATCTGTAATTCCAGCTACTTGGGAGTCTAAGGCAGGAGAATCATTTGAACTGGGGAGGAGGAGTTTGCAGTTAGCTGAGATTGTGCCACTCACTCCAGCCTGGACCACAGGGTGAGACTCCATCTCAAAAAAAAAAAAAAAAAAAAAAAAAGTGGAGGGTATAAATGTAACACACTCTGGCTACGGGCTTATCCTATTCTGCAGGAAAAGTCACAAAGCTGTAACACAGCTGGAGCTGTAACATTGCCTCTTCAGTAAAGCTGTTTTCCTCCACCTGCGGCTTGTCCTTCAATTCTTCCCAGAGCAAAGCAAAGAACCCACAAGGAATAAGCCCTACTTTGTGGCTCTCCTGCCCTGCATCATGGGAACTTCTCAAAGATGCAGAGAGATCCTGAAAAATATGACCATGTTTAACTTTCTTCCAACCAATATCTCCTAAGCCACTGGAACAACACAAGCCATTTGTCTCAGGATGTTCAATAGTACCTCAGCAAGACCAGTGTTTCCTAAAACACGATAATGGAAAGGCTGCATAACCTCTCCAGTGCTTCTGAAGCTTTGATGCCTATGTCAATGCCTATGTCACGAGGATCTTATGAAAAGGTGGGTCTGAGTTAGGAAGTCTAGAGTGGGGCTGGAGAGTCTCTGCTTCTGACAAAATCCAAGGTGGGGTTGATGTAGCTAGTTCATGGACACAGAGTTAGTGAAGTGCTAAGAATCCACCCACTGAAATTGCTCTTTTGCTTCATTGAATCATACCAAGTAAACACACAATGTTGCTCAGCCTTTGTGGCTATTGTCTGAAATCCCACCAGGCCTGAGGCTTTAAGTCAAGCCCCAGCTTTCCAGCTGCACATTAGCATCATTTTGAAAGCTTTATAAAAAGCTGAATGACTGATGTCAAAATTATGATACTGAAATCTCTTGAGATTCTAGACATTTCAAAATATTGAGACAAAATGTACATAACATTCAATGAACTATTTTAGAGTGTATAATTAAATGGCTTCTAGTACTTTCACAATGTTGTGCAACCATTATCGCTTTTTTCTTACCCCCAAAAGGAAACCCAGTACCTGTTAGCAGTCATTCCTTATTCCCTGTTCCCATCCTCAGACCCCAGCAACCACTAATTTACTTCCTGTGTCTATGGCTTTTCTTATTCTGAATATTTCATATAAATAGAGTGATACAATATATGGTCTTTTGTGCCTAGCTTATTTCACTTAATCTAGCTGTTTCACTTAATCTGTATTGTAGCATATACCAGTAGTTTATTTCTGTTTATGGCTGGATACTATTAAACTCTATAGATACACCACATTTGTTTATCCACTACTCTGTTGATATACATTTGGTTGTTTCCAAATGTGATTATTGTGAAGAGTCCTGATATTAGTATTCAAACAACAGAAGCTGTTTGTCTTTACATGTCTTCGGACACCTGTTTTTAAAATTTAGGGGCATAGATAGATAGATAGATAATAGATGTGTGTGTGTACATATACATACACACATAAACACACACACACACACACACACATATTCATGGATGCCTGGGAGTGTAATTTCTGGTTCATATCGTACCATAGACTGAATGTCTCTGTCCTCCCAAAAGTCATACATACATTGAGATTTCAACCCCGAAGATAGAGCCATAAGAGGTGATTACGTCTTTGGGACGTGATCTAGGTGATGAGGGTGGAGGTGATGAGGGGTGATGAGGGAGCCCTTATGAATGGCATTAGTGTCCTTATGAAAAAGGCCCCAGAGAGCTCCCTCACCTCTTCCACCATGTGCCTTCTCCACCACACAGCGAGAAGACCCCATCTATGAACCAGGAAGCGGGTTCTCACCAGGCACTGGATCTGCTGGTGTCTTGATCTTTGAGCCTCCAGAGCTGTAAGATGGAAATGTCTATTGTTTATAAGCCACCCAGCCTATGGCATTTTGTTATGGCAGCCAGAGAGGACTAAGACGTACGGTAACTCCATTTTCACCTTACTGAGGAAATGACAAACCCTTTTTTCATGGTGACTGTGCCATTTTACATTCTCACTGGAGAATGTCACTGGACATTTATACCTTTTTAAAGGTTCCCCATTGAGTGCAATCAACAGCCATTGTGGACCACACTGCCCTGCAAGCAAGGACGACCTTGCTCACACACTGAAAACACATGTATTTAATTCAATGGGGTGCCTGAACCAATAGCATCAACATTACCTAGGAACTTGTTAGAAACACAGTTTCTAGGCCCAGCACAGTGGTTCACACTTGTAATCTAAGCACCTTGGAAGGCTGAGTTGGTCAGATTATTTGAGATCAGGAGTTTGAGAGCAGCCTGGTCAACATGACAAAAGCCTATCTCCAATAAAGATACAAAAATTAGCCAGGCATGGTGGGGAGCCTGTAGTCCCAGGCAGTTGGGAGGCTGAGGCAGGAGAATGGCTTGAACCTGGAGACATAGGTTGCAATGAGCTGAGATTGTGCCACTGCAATCCAGTCTAGCCAACAGAGCAAGACTCCTTCTCAAAACAAAACAAAACAACAACAACAATTTCTTGGTCCCCACCCTGAACTGACTGAATCAGAAACACTGGAGGCAGAGAGGGGTCACTAACTATTTTATCAAGCCCCCCTCCCACCAAGGAGATTCTATTAAGTTTGAGAACAGATGCTCAATCTATAATTTTATAATTTGCAATAGTTTCACTTCAGCCTTTATGACATGTGCTTTCTCACATCATATATTATTATTTGAAAACAAAATTTAACATCTACTTGTAATATTTTAATATAAAGCAAGCCCACTATGTACTTAATCATTATATTTGGGGCCATTTGATTTTTTCCATTTTTTATAAAATACAAATAATACTCAATGAATACTCTTGACAGTAAATATTTTCACACCTCTCTGAATATTTCCCTTAAATTCAGCATCATGATTACTAAATTATAGAGTTTACACATTTTTATCTTTATGGTGTTTTGGCCACTTCATTCAGCCTGAACTTTTCCTGTTGATGGAGAACTAATACTTCCATTCATCACAAACTAGGAAGGCAATAAGGGTTATTGGCTATTTTTATTTTATTGCAAATACTGCTGGATTACCAATTCATTCTCGTTTAATTTTCCTCTCAAGCCAGGAGAAAGAGATAATGTATATATTAATTATATACATTATATAATTATATACATTAATTATAGTCTCACTGGTTCCTTGCTACTTATGATGCTTTGCCCAGCTTTTTATTTCTAAGTCCTTGTTTCTTTACATACATCTAAACCATGACACTACCCTACCTACTTCATGGTATAGAAAATAATGATAGAACTTGTGCAGAAAGCCCTTTGTAACTGCTGAGCACAATATAACATGTGAGGTACTTTTATAACTATACTCAATGCTGTGAAAATTTCACACACAGAGGACCTCTGCAATGGAAAATCCTCATTTTCTTTGAGCCAAGACTTTCATCAGCCTGGCCTAAGCTGTATTCTGAATTCCTAAGGGATCTGCAGAAGCTTTAGTATTCACATACGCATATTTGGTGACTATATTAATACACTACCTAAATTTCTGGGATTTGATTCACTTTAGGTAGAATTTGTAAATAGTGTGTTTCTGGCTTATTTTTTATTTCTTCCTGCTTTTTTTTTTTTTAAAGTCATGTGCCAATTCCTTTGCATCCATCTTTATGGAGCTTGCTTCAGCTGCTTTTTGGGGAAGAGGCAGTAGAGAAACAGAAAAACAATCCAACAAACAAGCAGATAGATACAGATAGATAGATAGATACAATGTAAGATCTATTTGATACTTTCTCTTCCTTTCTGAACCTATATAGCATGGTGTATATTTAAATGGAAACTATAACACCTGCAAGAAAACAGGTAATGCTTTCCATTTTCACCAGTTGAGTGTAAAGAGCCTCAGATTTCTGTCTAAATTAGGACAATTGTAGACTTTGAGAGCTGTAAATGAACAGTAGTCTACTACAGTGCTTTAATAGCTTCGAAAGATACCTGTCCCCCACAACACACACCCATGCTACAAGTACTTTCTCTTCCAATAAGGATTCACTTTGAAAAGACTGTTTTGAGACATATAATGTTATAGGAGTTATTAAGAAATTATTTTAGGCATATAGAGAGGAAAAAGGGTCCTTGGGATGTTTTCATTTATTTTAAAGTAGCTCTAGAAAGTTTTTTTGTCTAGCAGGAAATCCCTGGCTGTTAGAGCCTGCAGGCAAACTTTGATATGCAAATGCTGACCATGAGACACTGGGTCCACCCAAGCATGATGATTCCCATGGTCCTTACCTTGCCCCAACATGTGCCTGGTAATAAGGCCTCTCTCACATATCCACAGGTGCATAGACCATCATGGTGCCATGCATTAGTATTTTAAAAAGCTAGGGTGGGAGGGACAGCTTTTTCTCTGGCTACATGAATGACATGTCTGGTCAAACCATATAAGCAGCCACATATCACTCCCCCACCACCAGCCCACAACACAGGGTTTCTTTTTGTTGGAATGCCCCCTCCCTCTGTCTCTGTATGGGGCAGCTGTTTTCTCCTTCCTTCCTTCTTTCTTGGCTATTAAACTTTTCATTCCTTAAAAACACTCCACATGTGTCCATGTTGTTAATCCTATCCACATGAGACCAAGAACATTGGTGTTTCTCCAGTCATTGGAGCCTGATCAATAAGAGAAGCTGTTGGTATGCCTTAATTAGGGCAAATGAGAAGAGGGCTGTGGAAACAACTTGACAGATTGCTCATCAGAGCAGAAAGAAGCTTCTATGTCTTTTCACAGTCACACTGTCCCATTTACATCCCTGAAATATTCTCTTTCCCCAAGAGTTGCTAAGCAGGCAATCCCAAAAGGGGAGACTTGGAAACACCGTCTATCTGGAAGAGGACCTACCCCACACTCTGGTAAAGAATAGGGTATCTATACATCCTCAATGAAGAAACTGAGCGGAAAAGCCAGGATGATGAGGCTTCCAAATTTATTTGCAACCTTAGGCCAAGCTCCCAAGGCCAGCTACCTAAGAACTGCCACTTTGCCCTCTTTGATTTCCAGGGAATTAATACACCCCAAGTTCAGTTGCATGTCACCTGCAGCCTGGGAGAAACATGGTGACTTGGGGCTCCCTGCAAGAGACATGATGTGTGATTCAGCCCCTTTTGATGCAGTGCTTAAGGAAATATCAGGGAGCAGAGAGTGAATAATCATTTGCATCCCGGGTGCCACAGGCAGCTTTCCAAGAGGGAGCCTGCAGTAGCCAAGGCTTCCAAGGAGGCCAGAGACCCCTGTTTAGTTTTGAGCTCAGCATGGGGAAAGAAAGAGAGATAGAGAGAGGAAGAGTGACCATTTCCAACAAAGTAGACAAATGAAGGGTTAAATAAAAACAGTGGTATCCATGGAAGAATTGGGAGAGCACACTGTCTGGAGCCTTTATTTTATGTTAATCACTCCTGTAGTTGCTACAGCCTCAGAAAGACACATTTCTTATGCAGACAGTGTTCGTTGTCAAAGGCTGATCAAGGATGCAGGAGTGTGGCCACAAAATGAATTAGCTCTGTGGGTACCAAATGGAAAAACCAGTTCAAACCAGAGCATGGCACACCAGCTCCAGTAAGGGAGGAGACCACCCCTTATATTATCTTCTGCCCAATTTGTGCCTCCAAAGAAAGGAGAAGTAAAAACTAAAAGGCACAAATAAATCCATAGGCAGACAGCCCAGCACCACACCCTAGGCCTGGGAGTTAAAGATCAACCCCTGACCTATTGGTTATGTTATATATAGATTTCAGAATTGTATGGAAAAGCACTCTGAAAATCCCTGTCCTGTTCTGTGCTGATTATCGGTGCATGCAGCCCCCAGTCACATATCCTCTGCTTGCTCAATCAATCACAAACCTCTCACAAAGAACCCCTTAGACTTATAAGCCCTTAAGAGGTATAGGAATTGCTCACTCAGGGAGCTTGGTTTTAGAGACATGAGTCTTGCCAATGCTTCCAGCTGAATAAAGCCCTTCCTTCTTTAACTTGGTGTCTGAGGGGTTTTGTCTGTAGCTCATGTTCCTAATTTCTTGGTTCCCTGACCAGGAAGCAAGGTGATTAACAAACAGTTGAGGAAGCCCCTTAGGCAGCTTAGGCCTTCCCTGTGGAGCATCCCCATGGGGGACTCCAACCAGCTTGAACAACACAGATACTGCGAATGCTCACAGGTAGGCAATTGCTCAAACTATAAAATTGTGTGTGTGCCCTCTTTACTTGCTTTTTGTTTTGTGGTGTGCATGTTGTGTGAGTGTGGTGTTTTGTCTCCAGGAAACAAAGGTCAGGCACAAAATAACCCCATCCCACAAGGAACTATGATGAAAAATGTCAAAAAGGGATTTAAGGGAGACTATGGAGTTACTATGATGCCAGGAAAACTTAGAACTTTGTGTGAGATAGACAGGCCAGCATTAGAAGTGGATTGGCCATAAGAAGGAAGCCTGGACTGGTCCCTTGTCTTGAGGATATGGCACAGGGTAATCTGTAAGCCAGGGCACCCAGATCAGTTCCCATATATAGATTCTTGGTTACAACTGGTTTTAGATCCCCCACAATTTTTAAGAGGATAGGCAGCAGCAGTACTAGTAGCAAAGGGACAGTTAGTTAAGGAAGGCTTTTGCTCCACCCACCAAGGGAAGTTGGTACCAAAAGTCCTGTCCAACCCAACAGCAGAAGAATCATGGCAGGAATTGGTACCAGCAGTGCCCCGTCCTTATCAAGAGGGAGGGCTTCACACTCCTGAACCCACAGCACCTCCATGTCCACCAGATATCCACACTCCTAGACCACCAAGAGTAGACAAAAGAGGAAGTGAAGCCATGGGAGAAACTCCTCCCTTGGCAGCTCACTTATGGCCCAAGGCTAGAATCCAAATGCCCCTGAGAGAGCAGCAATATATTTGGGTAGATGAGGAGAGACACATGGTGGAAAGGCATGCCTTTATGTATCAACCTTTCACCTCTGCTGACCTCAATTGGAAGAATAATACTCCTTCTTACACCAAAAAGTCTCAAGCTTTAATTGACTTGCTCCAAACTATTATATAGACTGACAATCCTACTTGGGCTGATTGCTACCAGCTGCTCAGCTGCCAGGAACAGACCCCCAATGGGACCCAATCAAGGGACCAAACATGGAAAGGCTAAGATGGTACCATGAGGCATTAATAGAAGATCAAAGAAGGGGTTTCAAAAGGCTACAAATGTAAATAAGGTCTCTGAGGTCATCCAAGGAAAAGAGGAGAGTCCAGCGCAATTCTATGAAAGACTGTGTGAGGCTTACCGTATGTACACTCCTTTTGATCTAGATAGCCCTGAAAATCAGCGCATGATTAACATGGCCTTAGCTAGTCAAAGTGCAGAAGATATCAGGAGAAAACTGCAGAAACAGGCTGGGTTTGCATGTATGAATACCTCGCAGTTACTGGAAATAGCCAATTAAGTGTTTCTGAATAGAGATTCAACAAGCCGCAGAGAAAGCTGTAAGGAAGACGAATGTCAGGCTAGGTGAAATGCTGACTTACTGGCTGTGGCCACTAGGGGAATTCCCCCAAAAGAAGAGGGAAAAGGGGGTTCTGGGAAGGATACCCAGTCTAATTGCCCACACTTGCAATGTAACCAATGTGACTATTGTAATGAAATAGAACATTGGAAAGATAAGTGTCCCCAAGTGAAGGAAAAGTAATGTGATTCAGAACAAAAGACCTCAGCTAAAGATGAGGGAGCTTTTTTCAATCTGGCTGAAGGGCTATTAGACTGAAGGAGACTGGGCTCAAGTGCCCCCCAGGATTACAAAGGGGGGCAAGGACATTAAGTTTTTGGTCAATAATGGCGCTGACCATTCAGTAGTGATCACCTTGGTTGTCCTCTTAACCAAGAAAACTGTTGTTATAATCAGAGCAACAGGAGTTTCCACTAAGCAGGCTTTCTGTCTACTGAGGACCTGCTCAGTGGGGGGACATGAAATAGTTCACCAGTTCTTGTACATACCTAACTGTCCCTTGTTTTGCTGGGAAGAGACTTGCTTAGCAAGCTGACATCCACCATCTCCTTTACAAAACAGCACTCTTTACAGCTAAAGTTACGAGGAACAGGAGTTAACATGGCCCTTAGGGTCCCCCTGGAAGAAGAATGGAGACTTTTTCTAACTGAGACAGGCCAAGAGATAAAACCAGCTCTAGTAAGTGATGGCCCCAAGTATGGGTGGAGGATAATCCTCTGGGAGTGGCAGTCAAACAACCCACCTTTCCCATAGAAGTTAAGCCCAGGGCCCAGTCAATTAGACAAAAGCAGTATCCACTTCTCAGAGAAGCTCTCAAAGGAATCCAGGTTCATCTCAGGCACTTGAAAGCCTATGGAATTATAGTTTCTTGCCAGTCTCCATGGTACACCCCGCTCCTGCCTGTACCTAAGCCAGGGACCAAGGACTTTCAGCTAGTACAGGACTTGTATTTGGTCAACCAAGCTACAGTGACTTTGCACTCAACAGTTCCTAACCCTTACACATTGTTAGGGCTGCTGCCAGCTGGGGACAGTTGGTTTACCTGTCTGGACTTAAAAGATGCCTTCTTTATCATCAGACTAGCTCCTGAGATTCTGAAGCTGTTTGCCTTTCAGTGGGAAGATCCAGAGTCAGGTATCACTACTCAGTGCACTTGGACCCAGCTTCCCCAAGGGTTCAAGAACTCCCCTACTATCTTTGACAGGGCTCTGGCTCGAGACCTGTAAAAGTTTCCTGCTAAAGACCAAGTCTGCATCTTGCTCCTGTACATGGATGACCTTCTGCTTGGACACTCCATGGCAGTTGGGTGTGCAAAAGGGACAGATGCCCTGCTTCAGCACCTGAAGGACTGTGGGTAAAAGTGTCCAAGAAGAAAGCTCAGATCTGCAGACAGCAGATGCTACCTGAGATTCACTGTTCAGAAAGGGGAGAACAACCTGAGGTCAGAAAGAAATCAGGTCATCTTCAGCTTGCCAGAACCTAAAACCAGAAGGCAAGTAAGGGAATTACTAGGCCTGTGGGGTTTTGCACATTATGGATTCCAAACTTTGCAGTACTAGCCAAGCCATTGTAGAGGGTTACAAAGGGGGATGACCGAGAGCCTCTATAAGCCCCTTTGAATGGGGGCCTCTACAACAGAAGACTTTTGTAAGTTAAAGGAAATACTTATGTTGGCCCCAGACCTAGGACTACCAGATTTGACAAAGCCCTTTACACTGTATGTGTCTGAAAGAGAAAAAATGGCAGTTGGAGTTTTAACCCAGATTGTTGGGCCCTGGGCAGGACCAGTGGCCTATCTCTCAAAACAACTAGATGGGATTTCCAAAGCCTGGTCCCTTTGTCTAAGGGCACTGGCAGCAATGGTCCTGTTAGAACAAGAAGCAGATAAACTAACCCTTGGGCAAAATCTGAATATAAAGGCCACCCATGCTGTGATAACTTTGATGAATACCAAAGGACATCATTGGCTAACAAATGCTAGATTAACCAAGTACCAGAGCTTACCATATGAAAATCCCTCATAAACATAGAAGTTTACAACACCCTAAATCCTGCCACCCTGCTCGCAGTAGCAGAGAGCCTGGTCAAGCATAACTGTATAGAGGTGTTGGACTCAGTTTATTCTAGCAGACCTGACCTTCAGAACCAGCCATGGGCATCAGTAGATGGGGAGTTACGTGGAAGGGAGCAGCTTCATCAACCCACAAGGAGAAAGATGTGCAGGATATGCAGTGGTAACTTTGGATGTTGTCATTGAAGCCAAACCATTGCCATGGGGCACTTCAGCCCAGAAGGCTGAGCTCATTGCTTTAACTCAGGCTCTAGAACTCAGTGAAGGTAAGAATGTAAACATCTACACTGACTCTCAATATGCCTTTCTAATCCTTCAAGTGCATGAAGCATTATATAAGGAAAAGGGTCTGTTAAACTCTGGGGGAAAGGACATAAAATATCAACAAGAAATTCTACAATTACTAGAGGCAGTGTGGAAAACTTAAGAAGGTGGCAGTCTTGCACTGCAGGGGATACCAGTAAGCCTCCATATCAGTGGCCTTAGGAAACTCTCGAGCTGATTCAGAAGCTCAAAAAGCAGCGTCTACCCCTTACCGGGCATTGGTAGCAGCTGGCCTACTCCCTCAAACACCTGACCTGGTACCTACCTATTCTAAGGAAGAAAAAGACTTCTTCCACGCAGGAGGGGGCCAAGTAATAAAAGAAGGATGGATCAGACTGCCAGATGGGTGTATAGCTGTGCCACAGTTGCTGGGAGCCACAGTCATACTGGCCATGCATGAAACCACTCATCTAGGTCAAGAGTCACTTGAAAAGTTGTTAGGCCAGTACTTCTACATCTCACACTTGCCAGCCTTTGCCAAAACAGTAGCACAACAGTGCATTACTTGCCAATAGCACTATGCGAGGCAAAGCCCCATGGTTCTGCCTGGCATATAAGCTTATGGAGCAGCTCCTTTTGAGGATCTTCAGGTGGATTTCACAGAAATGTCAGAATGTAGAGTTAACAAGTATTTGCTGGTTTATGTGTGTACTTACTCCCGGTGAGTGGAGGCTTATACAACATGAACTGAAAAGGCCTATGAGGTAACCTGTGTACTTCTCTGAGATCTTATTCCTAGGTTTGGACTGCCCTTATGAATCAGCTTAGATAATGGGCCAGCATTTGTGGCTGACTTAGTACAGAGGACAGCAAAGACATTAGGAACCACTTGGAAGCTACATGCCACCTACAAACCTCAGAGTTCTGGAAAGATGGAGCAAATGAATCGGACTATCAAAACTAATTTAGGGAAAGTATGACAGGAAATAGGATGAAAGTGGATATAGGCCCTTCCTATGGAGAGGTGACAGCTTGCTGGCAGCCCTCACAGCCCTTGCTTGCTCTTGGCACCTCCTCAGCCTTGGTGCCCACTCTGGCCATACTTGAGGATCCCTTCAGCCCACTGCTGCACTGTGGAAGCCCTTTCCTGGGCTGCCCAAGGCCAGAGCCGGTTCCCTCAGCTTATGGGGAACTGTGGAGGGAGAAGCATGGGCAGAAACTGGGGCTGCGAGTGACACTTGCAGGCCAGCATGAGTTCCAAGTGGCCGTGGGCTCTGCAGGCCTCACACTTGGAGCAGCCGCCCAGCCCGCAAGCCCCAGGCAGTGAGGGGCTTAGCACTGGGCCAGCAGCTGCTGTGCTCGACTTCTCACTGGGCATTACCTGCCTCCCCACAGGGCAGGGCTCAGGACCTGCAGCCTGCCATGCCTGAGCTTCTCCCTGCTATGGGCTCCTGCGCAGTCTGAGCCTCCCCAACAAACACCGCTCCCTGCTCCATGGTGCCCAGTCCCATTGAACACCCAAGGGCTGAGAAGTGTGGGCGCACAGTGTGAGACTGGCAGGCAGCTCCACCTCTGGCCCCGGTGTGGGATCCACTGTGTGAAGCCAGCTGGGCTCCTGAGTCTGGTGGGGACTTGGAGAATCTTTATGTCTAGCTAAGGGATTGTAAATACACCAATTGGCACTCTGTATCTAGCTCAAGGTTTGTAAACACACCAATCAGCACCTTGTGTCCAGCTCAGGGTTTGTGAATGCACCAATCAACACGCCGTATCTAGTTACTCTAGTGGGGAAATGGAGAACTTTTGTGTCTAGCTCGGATGGTAAATGCACCAATCAGCACCCTGTCAAAATGGACCAGTCAGCTGTCTGTAAAACAGACCAATTGGCTCTCTGTAAAATGGACCAATAAGCAGGATGTGGGTAGGGCCAGATAAGAGAATAAAAGCAGGCTGCCTGAGCCAGCAGTGGCAACCTGCTGGCTGGGGTCCCCTTCCACAATGTGGAAGCTTTGTTCTTTCGCTCTTTGCAATCAATCTTGCTGCTGCTCACTCTTTGTGTCCACATGACCTTTATGAGCTGTAACACTCACCGCAAAGGTCTGCAGCCTCACTCCTGAGCCAGCAAGACCAGGAACACACCATAAGGAAGAAACTCTGAATACATCCAAACCTCAGAAGGAACAAACTCTGGACATGCCGTCTTTAAGAACTCTAACACTCACCACAACGGTCTGCAGCTTCATGCTTGAAGTCAGTGAGACCAAGAACTTACCAATTCCAGACACACTTTGGCAACCACGAAGGGACCATCACCTATTGCCAAGGGGTGAGACTATATCTGAGCAGTGAGACCATCACCTATCACTGAAAGGCATGACTGTCACTTATCACCAAGCAGTGAGTACCATTGGACCCCTTTCGCTTGCTATTCTGTCCTATTTTTCCTTAGAATTTGGGGGCTAAATACCGGGCATCTGTATCCAGTTAAAAGTGATTAGCATGGCCACCAGACTAAAGACATGGGTGTCAGGCTTTCTGGGAAAGTGGTTTCCTAGAACCAGCTTCCGCTTTTCCTGTACTTCTGGGTTGAGCTGAGAGTCGACAGAAAGGGAAGCCATGCAGCTCCGGGGTCCAAACAACAAGTTCGTTGACCCTGCAGCCATGAGCAGAACTCTCAAAGGCATGTCACCCAAGCGAGACTTGACCATCTATCCTATCTATCCTAACCCTTGCCTCCTGGGTCCTAATGCCTGCCAGGCAAACTTCCTCTTGCCTCTCTTCTCTGAGGTTAGTCTCACTTCTAAAAATTGCTACCTGTGTCTTGTGTTTTCTAGTTTCCCCTATAAGAATGATTTCCAGTATAAACTCCAGGACTCTGTTACCTTTTTAGGCACTTGGGCTCACCAATCATAAAGACATAATTTTTGCCCAAAGCCCCATCATAGTGGGGACTACCTGGAATTTTAGGATCCCTCCTCAGACTAACAGGCCTAACAAAAGCTACTCCTGAACCTAGGATATGGGGAGCCTCAGAAATTGTATCCTTCCTATTCATATAAGTGAGGCAAAAGGTGTCACTCTTCCAACCCTGGAGATCCCTTCCCTCCCTCAGGGTACGGCCCTCCACTTCATTTTTGGGGCATAACACCTGTATAGGACACGGTTAAAGTCCCAATGTCAACAGGAGAATGCTTAGGACTCTAACAGTTTTTTGAGAATGCATTGGTAAGGGCCACTGAATCCAATTTATCTCAGTCACTCCTCCTTGTGGTCTAGGAGAACAGGCAAAGGTGCAGGTTTTCCAGAATCCATTGGTAAGAGCCACTAAATCCGACCTTTCTCAGTCCTCCATGTGGTCTGGGAGGAAAACTAGTGTTTCTGCTGCTGCGTCAGTGAGCGCAACTATTATGATCAGCAGGGTCCAGGGGCCGTTGTGGGTTCCTGAGCAGGGGGAGAAACAAAACAAACCAAAACTACAGGCGGTTTTGTCTTTCAGATGGGAAACAGGTATCAACAGGCTCACCCTTGAAATGCATTCTAAGCCATTGGGACCAATTTAACCCACAAACCCTGAAAAAGTGGTGGCTCATTTTTTTCTGCACTACGACTTGGCCCCAATATTCTCTCTGATGGGGAAAAATGGCCACCTTAGGGAAGTATAAATTACAATAGTATCCTGCAGCTTGACCTTTTCTGTAAGAGGAAAGGCAAATGGAGTGAAATACCTTATGTCCAAACTTTCTTTTCATTAAGGGAGAATACACAACTATGCAAAGCTTATAATTTACATCCCACAGGAGGACCTCTCAGCTTACCCTCATATTCTAGCCTCCCTATAGCTTCCTTTTCTATAAATGACAATCCTCCTCTAATCTCCCCTGCCCAGAAGGAAATAAGCAAAGAAATCTCCAAAGGACCACAAAAACACCCGGGCTGTTGGTTATGTCCCCTTCAATCTGTAGGGGGAGGGGAATTTGGCCCAACCCCGGTACATGTCCCCTTCTCCCTCTCTGACTTAAAACAGATCAAGGCAGACCTCGGGGAAGTTTTCAGATGATCCTGATAGGTACATAGATGTCCTACAGGGTCTAGGGCAAACCTTCAACCTTGCTTGGAGAGATGTCATGCTACTGTTAGATCAAACCTTGGCCTTTAATGAAAAAAATGTGGCTTTAGTTGCAGCCTGAGAGCTTGGAGATACCTGGTATCTTAGTCAAGGAAATAATAGAATGACAGCTGAAGAAAAGGACAAATTCCCTACCAGTCAGCAAGCCATCCCCAGTATGGATCCCCACTGGGACCTTAACTCAGATCATGGGAACTGGATTCATAAACTTCTGTTGACCTATGTTCTAGAAGGACAAAGGAGAATTAGAAAAAGCCCATAAATTAGTCAATGATGTCCACCATAACTCAGGGAAAGGAAGAAAATGCTTCCTTCCTCAAGCGGCTATGAGAGGCCCTAAGAAAATATACTCTCCTGTCACCCGAATCACTGGAGGGTCAATTGATTCTAAAACATATGTTTATTACCCAATCAGCCACAGATATCAGAAGAAAGCTCCAAAAGAAAGTCCTGGACCATGAACAAAATCTAGAGGCATTATTAAACCTGGCAACCTCGGTGTTCTATAATAGGGACCAAGAGGAACAGGACCAAAAGGAAAAGTGAGATCAGAGAAAGGCCGCAGCATGGCCCTAAGACAAACAAACCTTGGTGGTTCAGAGAGGACAGAAAATGGAGCAGGCCAATCACCCAGTAGGATTTGTTATCAGTATGGTTTACTAGGACACTTTTAAAAGAAAGTCCAATGAGAAACAAGCTGCCCCCTCCTCCATGTCCACTATGCTGAGGCAATCACTGGAAGGTGCACTGCCCCAGAGGATGAAGTTTCCCTGGGTCAGAAGCCCCCAACCAGATGATCCAACAACAGGACTGAGGGTGCCTGGGGCAAGCACCAACTCATGTCATCACCCTCACTGAGCCCCGGGTATGTTTAACTATTGAGGGCCAGGAAATTGACTTCCTCCTGGACACTGGTGCAGCCTTCTCCGTGGTAATCTCCTGTCCTGGACGACTGTCCTCAAGGTCCGTTACCATCTGGGGAGTCCTGGGACAGCCTGTAACCAGGTATTTCTCCCACCTCCTCAGTTGTAATTGGGAGACTGATCTTTTCACATGCCTGTCTTGTTATGCCTGAAAGTCTGACACCCTTATGAGGGAGGGACATATTAGCCAAGGCTGGAGCTATTATCTACATGAATATGGGGACAAGTTACCCATTTGTTGCCCCCTACTTGAGGAGGGAATCAACCCTGAAGTCTGGGCATTGGAAGGACAATTTGGAAGGGCAAAAAATGCCCACCCAGTCCAAATCAGGTTAAAAGATCCTATCACTTTTCCTTATAAAAGGCAATATCCCTTAAGGCCTGAAGCTCATAAAGGATTACCGAATATTGTTAAAACTTTGAAAGCTCAAGTCTTAGTAAAGAAATGCAGCAGTCCCTGCAACAACCCAATTCTGGGAGTACAATAACCGAACGGTTAGTGGAGACTAGTGCAAGATCTTAGACTCATGAATGAGGCAGTAATTCCTCTATATCCAGTTGTACCAAACCCCTATACCCTGCTCTCTCAAATACCAGAAGAAGCAAAATGGTTCACGGTTCTGGACCTCAAGGTGGCCTTCTTCTGTATTTCCCTGCACTCTTACTCCCAGTTTTTCTTTGCCTTTGAGGATCCCACAGACCACACATCCCAACTTACATGGACGGTCTTGCCCCAAAGGTTTAGGGATAGATCTCACCTCTTTGGTCAGGCACTGGCCCAAAATCTAGGCCACTTCTCAAGTCCAGGCATTTTGGCCCTTCAATATGTGGATGATTTACTGTTGGCTACCAGTTCAGAAGCCTCATGCCAGCAGGCTGCTCTCGATCTCTTGAACTTTCTAGCTAATCAAGGGTACAAGGTGTCTAGGTTGAAGGCCCAGGTTTCCCTACAGCAGGTCAAATATCTAGGCCTAATAGCCAGAGAGACCAGGGCCTTCAGCAAGAAATGAATGCAGCCTATACTGGCTTACCCTTTCCCTAAGACATTAAAACAGTTGCGGGTGTTCCTGGAATTACCGGCTTTTGCTGACTATGGATCCCCGGATGCAGGGAGATATCCATGCCCCTCTACACTCTAATCAAGGAAACCCAGAAGGCAAATACTCATCTAGTAGAATGGGAACCAGAGGCAGAAACAGCCTTCAAAACCTTAAAGCAGGCCCTAGTACAAGCTCTAGTTTTAAGCCTTCCCACAGGACAAAACTTCTCTTTATACATCACAGAGAGAGCTGGGATAGCTCCTGGAGTCCTTACTCAGACTCAGGGGACAACCCTACAACCAGTGGCATACCTAAGTAAGGAAATTGATGTAGTGGCAAAAGGCTGGCCTCACTGTTTAAGGGCAGTTGCAGCAGTGGCTGTGTTAGTGTCAGAGGCTATTCAAAATAATACAAGGAAAGGATCTCACTGTCTGGACTACTCATGATGTAAATGGCATGCTAGGTGCCAAAAGAAGTTTATGGCTATCAGACAACCGCCTACTTAGATACCAAGTGCTACTCTTTGACGGACTGGTGCTTCAAATATGCACATTGATGGCCCTCATCCCTGCCACTTTTCTCCCAGAGGATGGGAAGCCAATCGAGCATGACTGCCAACAAATTGTAGTCCAGACTTATGCTGCCCAAGATGATCTCTTAGAAGTCCCCTTAACTAATCCTGAGCTTAACCTATATACCGATGGAAGTTCATCTGTGGAAAATGGGATATGAGGGGCAGGTTACACCATAGTTAGTGATGTAACCATACTTGAAAGTAAGCCTCTTCCCCCAGGAACCAGTGCCCAGTTAAGAGAACTAGTGGCACCTACCCGAGACTTAGAACTGGAAAAGAAAAAAAGAATAAATGTGTATACAGATTGCAAGTATGCTCATCTAATCCTACATGCCCATGCTGCAATATGGAAAGAGAGGGAGTTCCTAGCCTCTGGGGGAACCCCCATTAAATACCCCAAGGAAATTATGGAGTTATTGCATGCCATACAAAAACCCTAGGAGGTGGGAGTCTTATACTGCAAAAGCCATGCAAATGGGAAGGAGAGGGGAGAACAGCAACATTAGCAGCTGGCAGAGGTAGGGAAAAACCAGTAAGAAGGAAAGAGAGAAAGAGAAAGTCAGAGACAGAGAGAGGAAGAAACAGAGAAGAAGAGACAGAGAGACAGAAAGTAAAGTAAGGAAAGAGAGGAAGAAACTAAAGGGGAGTCAGAGAGAAAGAGAGAGACAAAGATGGAGTCAGAGAGAAAGAGAGGCAGATACAGAAAGTTGGAGAGTCAGAAAGAGAGGAGGAATCAAAGAAGAAGTCAAAGAGAAAGAAAGAGAGATGGAAGTAGTAAAGAGGAAAACAGTGGACCCTATTCCTTTAAAAGCCAGGGTAAAGTTCTGTCTACTCAGCCAGGGCATATTCTGCTCATGTGGATCTTCAACCCATATCTGCCACTCAAGGCAGTTTGCAAGAAATAACGAAATCCATTTTTAATTTACAGTCCCAAATAGACTCGTTGGCAGTAGTGACTCTCCAAAACTGCTGAGGCCTAGAGCTCTTCACTGCTGAGAAAGGAGGACTGTGCACATTCTTAGGGGAAGAGTGTTGTTTTCACACTAACCAGTTGGGGATAGTACAAGATGTGGCCCGGTATTTACAGGAAAAGGCTTCTGAAATCAGATAATGCCTTTCAAACTCTTATACCAACCTCTGGAGCTGGGCAACGTGGCTTCTCCCCTTTCTAGTTCCTGTGGCAGCCATCTTGCTGTTACTTGCCTTTGGACCCTTTATTTTTAACCTTGTCAAATTTGTTTCCTCTAGAATAGAGGTCATCAAGTTACAGATGTTCTTACAAATGGAACCCCAAATGAATTCAACTAGCAACTTCTACTGAGGAACCCCGTACCAACCCACTGGCACTTTTACTGGCCTAGAGAGTTCCCCTGTGGAGGACACTACAACTGCAGGGCCCCTTGTTTGCCCCTATCCAGCAGGAAGCAGCTAGAGCAGTCATTGGCCAAATTCTCAATAGCAGTTGGGGTGTCCTGTTTAGAGGGGGGGATTGAGAGGTGACAGCATGCTAGCAGCCCTCACAGCCCTCACTCACTCTCAGCACCTCCTCAGCCTTGGAACTCACTCTGGCCATGCTTGAGGAGCCCTTCAGCCCATGGCTGCACTGTGGGAGCCCCTTCCTGGACTGGCTGAGGCCAGAGCCGGTTCCCTCAGCTTATGGGGAACTGTGGAGGGAGAAGCATGGGCAGAAACTGGGGCTGCGAGTGGCACTTGCAGGTCAGCATGAGTTCCAAGTGGCTGTGGGCTCTGCAGGCCTCACACTTGGAGCAGCCGCCCGGCCCGCAAGCCCCAGCCAGTGAGGGGCTTAGCACTGGGCCAGCAGCTGCTGTGCTCGAATTCTCACCGGGCCATAGCTGCCTCCCCATGGGGCAGGGCTTGGAACCTGCAGCCCACCATGTCTGTGTCTCTCCCACCACTGTGGGCTTCTGCATGGCCCAAGCCTCCCCGATGAGCACTACTCTCTGCTCCACAGTGCCCAGTCCCATTGAACACCCAAGGGCTGAGGAGTGTGGGCGCACAGCTTGGGACAGGAAGGCAGCTCCATCTGTGGCCCTGGTGTGGGATCCACTGGGCTCCTGAGTCTGGTGGGGACTTGGAGAATCTTTATGTATAGCTAAGGGATTGTAAATACACCAATTGGCACTCTGTACCTAGCTCAAGGTTTGTAAACACATCAATCAGCATCCTGTGTCTAACTCAGCATTTGTGAATGCACCAATCGACACTCTGTATTTAGCTACTCTAGTGGGG
The DNA here is from genome assembly GCF_000001405.40 of Homo sapiens. Taxonomy (NCBI): domain Eukaryota; kingdom Metazoa; phylum Chordata; class Mammalia; order Primates; family Hominidae; genus Homo; species Homo sapiens. The sequence continues at coordinate 15,267,877 of NC_000024.10, forward strand.
ACGTGGAGAACTTTTGTGTCTAGCTCAGGGATTGTAAACACACCAACCAACACCCTGTCAAAATGAACCAATTAGCTCTCTGTAAAACAGACCAGTCGGCTCTCTGTAAAATGGACCAATCAGCAGGATGTGAGTGGGGCTGGATAAAAGAATAAAACAGGCTGCCTGGGCCAGCAGTGGCAATCCACTGGAGTCCCCTTCCACACTGTGGAAGCTTTGTTCTTTCATTCTTTGCAATAAATATTGCTACTGCTCACTCTTTGGGTCCACACTGCCTTTATGAGCTGTAACACTCACTGCAAAGGTCTGCAGCTTCACTCCTGAGCCAGCAAGACAAGGAACCCACCAGAAGGAAGAAACTCTGAACACACCCGAACTCAGAAAGAAAAAACTCCGACACGCCACCTTTAAGAACTGTAACACTCACCGTGAGGGTCCATGGCTTCATTCTTGAAGTCAGTGAGACCAAGAACCCAACAATTCCGGACACAGTATGGTATTGCTTAAAATAAGACACACCCCTTCTAAGAAAACAGGATAATGCCCTTATGAAATACTGTATCATAGGCCTCCTCCTATACTATGGGGAATTCCAGGCAGTCCCTGAGAGTTAGGTGGAATTGAATTACAGCGACAGCCACAGGCTTTGGGGAAAATTACACAGACAATCTCAACTTGGGCAAATGAGAGGTGTCCCATCAGCTTATTCTCTCCAGTTCACCCTTTCTCTCCAAGTGATCACATGTGGATCAAGGACTGGAACGCAGCCCCTTTGCGGCCATGGTGGAAAGGACCTCAGACCATCATCCTGACCACCCCCACGGCTGCAAAGATAGAAGGAATCCCAGCATGGATCCACCACAGCTGTGTGAAACCTGCAGCCAATGAAACCTGGGAGGCAAAACCGAGCCCAGACAACCCCTGCAAAGTGACTCTGAGGAGGACGACAAGCCCTGTTCCAGTCACACCCAGAAGCTGACTGGTCTACGCATGGCTGAAGCATGAGGAGGATCATCATGGGACTCATTTTCCTTATAATTTGGACTTGTTTAGTAAAAACTTCCACTGATTTTCCCCACTTGGAGGACTGCTCTCACTGTATACATCAGGTTACTGAGGTAGGGTGACAAGTTAAAAAAATCTTTCTGTTCTAAAGCTTTTATGAATGCCTAGGAAGTTTAAAAGGAACATGTTTATATAATGACACTCAGTACAAGGTATGTAGCCCAGGAAATGACCAGGCAGACATGGGTTATGAACCCTCTGAACCTCTCATGGCCACAGTTTTTGAAATAAGATTAAGGACTGAAGATTGATGGGGACTCATAAATGATTCAAGTAAAGTATTAGCCAGAACAGAAGAAAAAGGAGTGCCCAAATGCATAATCTTGAAATTTCATGCCAGTGCTGTAATTAATAGCAATAAGTTAGGAAGGGGATGTGGCTCTTTTGAGCTACTGCCAATAAAAACAGGTGAACTCCTGGGCTTCCCTGTCTATACTTCCTGTGAGAAGAGAAGCATAGCTATAGGAAATTGAAAAGATGATGAATGGCCCCCTGAGAGAATCATACAATATAATGAGCCTACTACTTGGCATGGGATGGCTTGTGGGGATACCGGACCCGGTTTTACATGATCAACCAAATCATATGGTTACAAGCTATCTTAGAAATAATCACTAATAAAACTGACAGAGCCTTGACTATTCTGGCCCAGCAAGAAACTCAGATGAGAAATGCTATCAATCAAAATAGATTGGCTCTTGACTACTTGCCAGCAGCTGAAGGAGGCATCTGTGGGAAATTTAACTTTACTAATTGCTGTCTACACATTGATGATCAAGGGCAAGTAGTCGAAGACATAGTCAGAGAAATAACAAAACTGGCACATGTGCCCTTGCAAGTGGGGCATGGATTTGATCCTGGGGCCATGTTTGGAAAATGGTTCCTAGTGCTAGGAGGATTTAAAACTCTTATAATAAAGAGTTATCATAGTAATAGGAACCTGCTTACGGCTCCTTTGTTTGCTACCTGTACTTCTTCAAATGATAAAAAGCTTCATCACTATCTTAGTTCACCAAAATGCATCAGCACAAGTGTACTATAAGAATCACTATCAGTCTATCTTGCAAGAAGTCATGAGTAGTGAGGATGAAAGTGAGAACTCCCACTAATGAGTGAGGGTCTCAAAGGTGGGGAATAAGGGAGGAGACCACCCCTCATATTGTCTTATGCCCAATTTCAGCCTCCAAAGAAAGAAGTAAAAACTAAAAGGCAGAAATGAAATCCAAAGGCAGACAACCCAGAGCTACACCCTCAGCCCAGTAGTTAAAGATTGACCCCCAACCTAACCATTTATGTTCTCTATAGATTTCAGATATTGTATGGAAAGGCACTGTGAAAATTCCTGTCCTGTTCTGTTCCATTCTCATTACTGGTGCATGCAGCCCCCAGTCACGTACCCCCTACTCGCTCAATGGATCACGACCCTCTCACGTGGACCCCTTAGAGTTGTAAGCGCTTAAGAGGACAGGAATTGCTCACTCAGAGAGCTCGGTTTTTAAGATGTGAGTCTTGCTGATGCTCCCAGCAGAAAAAAAGCCCTTCCTTCTTTAACTTGGTGTCTGAGAGGTTTTGTCTGCAACTCGTCCTCCTACACCAGGAGGATTAAAATATACTAGTCAAGGTGTACTGGCTCATGCCTTTAATCCCAGTACTTTGGGAGGACCAGGAATGAGGATCTCTTGAGCCTAGGAGTTCAAGACCAGCATGGACGATATAGTGAGATCCAGCCTTTACAAAATAAAATAAAATTAGCTGGGTGTGGTGGCATGCCTATAGTCTCAGCTTCTTGGGAGGCTGAAGCAGAAGATCACTTGAGCCCACGAGTTTGGGGCTTCAGTGAGCTACACTCTACTGTATAATCCACTGTACTCTATCCTGGGCAAAAGAGAGAGACCCTGTCTCAAAAAATTAAAAAATAAAACAAAGTCAAGGGAGAGAAAACTCTTGATCTTTAAGTTGTATAGCATGTTCTTATATTTGTATTGACCACGCTGTTAAAAAGAAAATAGATAGGCACATTCTTCTCTTTAAAACCTCAAAAATATTAGGCTTATTCAGAGAAGAAAAGAAAAAAATACTTTGTGTGTATATATACATGGGAACATACATATTATTGATCAGCATCACATTATATGCATGAATATATATGTGTGTGTGTGTATATGTTTGTATGTGTATACACACACAAAGGATTGTGTGTATGCCTTTGTGCATATATATATATACACACACATCAAAATCTAGATTATCTATTTAAACTTTTAAAAGTCCATCAAACCACACCATGTCTATACTACATAAGATATAATCTAGACTCATAAACTTCTTACACCACAGAGTGTTTAAGTGTATACATGTATATTTAGATACAGATATAAAAGTTTCAGTAGTCCAGGCACTGTTTCACTAAAAATGGCTGCATGGATTCTCACCAAACAAAGAAGGCAGGGATAGGCTTGTCCAATACAGGCTTCATGGCTTGCATGGAGTACACAGACAGACAATCGTTCCTCAAAACAGCCAAAAAGTTGATTTGCAACTTAGTTGCTTTGCACCTGAGTGAGTCCTCATCCTAGGCTTTAAGGTGGGAAGTAGCAGGACCTCATGGGAGAACAAAGGTGAATGACTTCCCCAATTATCTCATCTCTGGATGGGAGGCTGGCTGGATAAACATATACACATGCATGCACACATCATCACTACTAAGAATAACAACTGCTCAGTCACAGTGGCTCACACCTGTAATCCCAGCAGTTTGGGAGGCTGAGGTGGGCAGATCACCTGAGGTCAGGAGTTCAAGACCAGCCCTGGCCAACATGGTGAAACTGCCTCTCTACTAAAAATATAGATATTAGCCAGGCATTGTGGTGGGCACCTGTAATTTCAGCTACTTAGAGATTGAGGCAGGAGAATTGATTGAAGCCAGGAGATGGAGGTTGCAGCAAGCCAAGATTTTGCCACTGCACTCCAGCCTGGGTGACAGATCAAGACTCTACCTCAAAATAAATAAAATGATAAGATGAGATGTGATGAGATGAGATGAGATGAGATGAGATGAGATGAGATGACATGAGATGAGATATGGTAAGATGAGATAAGATGCACATCTACAGTTTCTGGCAATAGGAAAACCGTCTCTCCCTTCTCAGAAGCCAAAGTCAGAGTTATTTATTCTTGAGCAAAGGTTGAATCATGTTTCCCCAGTAGCCTTACAAAATGGTATCTTCCAAGCATATGCAGTCACAGAATGTCATGCTGTGGTACATAGGTGGCCAGGATTGTGCACAGAGGTCTCCTATTGCATTAGATGAAGGTGAAAAGTCAGCCAGATGATTTAAAGCCTATGTGAAGTCAGCAAATTCAGAGAAATATATACATGGGTCCAAGACCTTTTGGTGAGATAGAAAACAATGAGGAGGGGAAAGATAATGTGTACATTCCTGAGACCAACAGAGTGAGGTTGGCCAAGCACATGGTTGGAGTTACAGCAAGGCAACAGAGGATCCCACTGAAGCTGAAATGTATATATCCCCGACTCAAGTTCCCAGGCAGCAGAATGCCCTCACCAATCCATGCTAATTCCATTTTTTTATTGAGACGGGGTTCAGGACACACTTCCCCAAAATAGGGAAACTTGGCATTTGGGAAAATAGAAGAAGCCGGCCATAGCTACCTGGAAAAACTTCCCCTGCCCCTCCTCAAAAGTTGCCTGAAGTGAGCCATAAAACCTGGTTGACTTTCCTCTGAAAGGAGGTCATGAGTCATTCCAAGGGGTCCACCCTATACCCAGAATAAGGAAATGTCCTCTCTGAAGACACAGGGGGGACAAGAAGAATCTGAACAAACAGGCCTTGCTACATTTCCTCCTGGTTTATTCCTATTAGAGCCCATCACCTTTTGTCCAATTATACTTCTACACAACTGTTACCTCTTATCAAGCCTAAGCATTAAAATGGACAGTTTCCCCTGTTTCTTTGAGGCTTCGTTTCAGAAGGTTCTAATGTCATGTAAAACTTAGATTAAATAGATCTATCTGATTTTTTATCGCTGATCTGATTTTTGCTATAACTGTCTCAGCCATGAACCTTGCAATGGGTGAAAAGTCTTTTCTCTCTTACACATGTGGATGTGAATATAGGACTTAGAATTGCACCTGGTTAATTTAGCATTGCCAGTGGTAACAGTCTGGAGAGAAAGTTGAGGGGCAGAGGCCATTTGACAGGAAAGAAACTGTCTTAGTCTGTTCATGCTGCTGTAGCCCTCACTCTGGACAGGGTAGTTTATAAACAGTAGAAATTTATTGCTCACAATTTTGGAGGGTAGAAGATTAAGATTAAGTAGCCAGCAGACTTGGTGTCTGGTGAGGGCTGCTCTCTGCTCCCTGAATGGTGCCTTGTAGTTGTGTCCTCCAGAGAGGACAGCCTATTAGGTTGGTGCAAAATTAATTACAGTTTCTATTATTGAAAGTAGTGGTGGCCAGGCACTGTGGCTCACGCCTAAAATCCCAGCACTTTGGGAGGCCGAGGTGGGTGGATCATGAGGTCAGGAATTTGAGACCACTCTGGTTAACATAGTGAAACCCCATCTCTAATAAAAATACAAAAAAAAAAAAAAATAGCCGGGTGTGGTGGCAGGCGCCTGTAGTCCCAGCTACTCAAGAGGCTGAGGCAAGAGAATGGCGTGAACCCAGGAGGCAGAGCTTGCAGTGGGCCGAGATCGCGCCACTACACTCCAGCCTGGGCGACAGAGCGAGAGTGAGATTCCGTCTCAAAAAAAAAAAAGAAAAAGAAAGTAGTGACAAAAACCGCAATTATTTTGCACCAACATAGTATGTCCTCACATTGCAGACTGGGTTGAAAGGGAGAAAAGGGATAAGCTTGCTCTCTCAAGACCTAAAATGAGGGTACTAATCCCCTCCACGAGGATGAAGCTCACATGACCTAATCACCTCCTAAAAGCCCCCATCTCTTAACATTATTGCTTAACAGTGTCACTAATTGGGAATTAACTGAATGCTAATTGGGAATTAAGTTCCAATATGAATCTTGGAAAGACACAAAGACTCAAACCACAGCAGGAGTCACAAATGCATTCAAGGTACACATAAAAGGACTAGAGTCTGAATGACATGATACTTCTTTCAATCAACCTTTGTCAAGCAAAGCTGAGCAATACAGAATGTAGTTTCATGTCCTTGTCACTTTGCCTGCATCCCTGCTTGGAAGGACCACCATCTGCAGTACAGGCAGCTTGCTGCTTGGATGCCCACTCCCAAAGCTCTTAACCCCAGCCATGGCTAATGCCGGTTCAGACTGAGGCAACAAAGGATGATAAAGATTGTTATGAGGAATAGAAAACAAGTTCATAGGGAAGGATAGGGTGAGGACAGTCTTAAACCCTGGAAACCTCAGAAGTATTTAAGAAAGGACTTGAAATTGGCTGGACCTTAAATATATCATTTGTTGTAATGGGAACCCACTGTGTATGTACTTTCTCTCCTCCTGATTTCCTATTACCTATTATCCTCTCTACCCTCATCTCTCTCCCACCACCAGTGAACTTGGGGCTATCAGTGAAAAAGACTATGGAATACTTAAGTTATTCACTAACACCAGCAAAAACCTAGCTGTTAGAGGAAATGTTTCTTCCTCAATAAAAGGTGGCTTAAAAAGCATATTTAGGCCAGGCGCTGAGGCTCACACCTGCAATCCCAGCACTTTGGGAGGCTGAGATGGGCAGATTAGTTGAGTTCAAGACCAGCCTGGCAAACATAGTGAAACCCCCTCTCTACTGAAAATACAAAAATTAGCTGGGTGTGGTAGTGGATACCTATGATCCCAGCTACTTGGGAGGCTGAGGCAGAAAAATCTCTTGAACCTGGGAGGCAGAGGTTGTAGTAAGCCAAGATTATCCCACTTCACTCCAGCCTGAGCAAAACGGGGACACTCTGCCTAAAAAAAAAAAAAAATTGTATTCATATAGAATTCATAATACAGTCCTGTGTTGCTTAACGATGGTGACACATACTAAGAAATGGTCATTAGGATACAAACCTAGATGTGATAAACTACAATACACCTAGGTTATGTGGGATTAGTCTTTTTCTCCTAGGCTACAAGCCTGTACAGTATGTTACTGTACTGAATACTGTAAGCAATTGTAACACAATAGTATTTATGTATATAAACATATCTAAACATAGAACAGGTACAGTAAACATATGGTAAGAAAGATAAAAAATGGTTCCCCTATATAGGGCATTTACTGTGAATGGAACTCACAGACCTGGAAGTTGTTCTGGATGAGTTGGTGAGTAATGAGTGAATGTGAAGGCCTAGGACACTACTATACACTACTACAGACATTATAAACACTGTACACTGAGTTTACATCTAATTTATTAAAAGTGTTTGTCTTTATGTATACATACATATGTTTATATATATATACATGTGTGTGTGTGTGTGTGTGTGTATATATATATATATATATATATAATTTTTTGAGACTAAGTCTCACTCTTTTGCCCAGGCTGGAGTGCAGTTGCACAATTCTGGCTCACTGTAAACTCCATGTCCTAGGTTCAAGTGATTGTCCTTCCTCAGCCTCCTGGGTAACTGAAATTATAGGCTTGAGCCACCATGCCCAGCTAATTTTTGTGTTTTTAGTATAGATGGGGTTTCACTATGTTGGCCAGGCTGGTCTCAAATGGCTGACCTCAGATGATCCACCACCTCGGCCTCCCAAAATGCTGGGGTTACACTCATGAGCCACCATGCCCAGACTCTTTCTTTAATAATAAAATAACCTTTTCAATTTTTTTTAGTTTGTTTTTTTTTTAGCTTTTTGACTGTCAGAAAAACATAGCTTAAAACACAATCACATCATTCAGATGTATGAAAATACTTTCTTTATATCTTTATTTTGTAAGTATTTCGTATCTTTAATTTTTTTTTACTTTTTAAACTTATTTCTTAAAAAAAGATAAAATACAAACACATAACTTTGTCTAGGCCTACAAAGTGTTGGGATTGTCACCAGGTGACAGAGATTTGTCAGCTCCATTATAATCTTAGGGTATTTTCATTGCATATGTGGTCTGCCACTGATAGAATATCATGATATGGCTTGTGACTGTAATTGTATTTCACTTTGCTCTTTAGTTGGTGTTTTATGTAGAGAACTGTGAATTTTCTGAAATTCCATCCTAGTTTCAGGCTAACAAGTCAGCCTGCTGGAGCTTCACAGATGGTGGCAGAAGACACAAATTCTCTGGGACAGAGACAAAGGACAGTTTCTACATGCAATAATAGCAGTAGACATAGTAGCCATGTTTGTGCTGGTTTCCTGAACTGCAGTCCTCCTACCATCCTGGGGGCTGTGTAAAGGGCTGCATGATGCCTGCCTACAGTGGATTGCATTACAGGAGATGAACCCTGTGCTTAGGGACCTGACCTGAATACTTATCATGACCAGTAAGCCTACATGGCTTCTCCTCCAGGAGGAAATGTTCATTGAACTGGTGAATAAGGAAACCTACCATTTGGCTTAAAGTAAGACACCATATCTATCTTCCAAGGCTTTTACATAAACACACATGCTTGAAAAGGATGTGCACAATACAGGCTGTCAGCACCTCTGGTTGTGATACAGGCAGAAACGCAAGAGATACAGGAAAAATTGCTTCCTTATATCTTCTCTATTGGACCCCTTGAATAAATAAGAAAATGACTTAACAGTATAACCAACTGAGCCTGTACCATGTCAAAAGCTGTGATATGATTCTCAGTCATCTCAGAGAACAGGGTGAGAAACTCCTCATGGGTGACTCTACTTCCTTGAAATTAGGCCTGAACTACACAAATCAGCAGATTTCACTAAGGAGTTAGAGCTTTCCAGTGTGATCCCAAAACAAAATTGATCCTTGGGACAACTTAGCAGCTTTCCACTGTGAGTCATCTTTGCCACCTGAATTGTGAAGTTAACTGCAACTGTAACCTCTCTGAAAAGAAGTGAAGTGCAGTAATTCAAAACCATTAGCAACCCCAAACCTATATTTTGTTCACTGCCCAAGTGTCTGTTTTCTGGACCATAAGAAGGCCCCAAGTGGATGGTCATGATTGACTATGCATATCAAATGTGACACTAGAGATGCACAAAGGATGGCAATTGAAAATAGTTTGCTTTAATTGGGTTCTGTGCACATGAGTACAAGTCTTTAAGAGCTAGTGATTTCCAGGAAGCCTCTATATTATGACCAATTATTTATGGCTGAAGTTATTACTTAAAGGAAATCAAATTATGGGTGAGAAGGTATACATAAAAGGAAAGATAAAAGTTTCCTGGCCAGTAATGTAAACACAAACATCTTAAAGTGTTTCTTCCATTGAATACTTACACAAAATTATTATCACGACATCTCTACTGATGGCCTAGAGAATTTGGTAAAGAATTCATTTTTTTGGAGCAGTTTACACTTGTATAGCACTTACTATTTATCTACTTATTTATTTTTATTTATACTTTAAGTTCTGGGGTACATGTGCTGAATTCATTTTGAAACAAATTATGTTTTTTAGTTCATGTCTGCTAGAATCACTGTACAGTCGAATTCTTTCTAGATTATATACTCATATGCATGTATATTTTTATGTATATGTAATCTAAAATAAAATAAGACAGAAACAGAAAGAGTGAGACAGACAGAGAGAGATAAGAAGAGAGATGAGTATGTTCATAAATAGGAGAAGACATATCACTTGATCATTTTTTAATATTATTTACCTCATCTGAGTTTTAAGAACAAAATAGAGCACTTATAAATGGATGAGATGGGGCCAGAAAACAAAAAGTACATATGTATGCAGATTGCTGGAAATTTTCACCATTGTTGTAGTCTCTGTTGAGGACATCCCAGATAGTAGGATTTCTGAGTCGTCTGACAGAAATAATTTGAACTCTACTGGTTTAGAGAAATAATTTTCAACCTAAGTGAGGAGTTAATAATAGAAGAGAAAAAAATAAATTTATTAAATTTAAATTTAAATTTATAAAAATTATATATAAAATTTATTATATATACCATATATAATTATATATATTTATATATAATTTATATATATTTAGAAATTTAGATATATTTTATTTTTATTATTTAAATTACATTAAAATATATATTTAAATTATATTAAATTATATACTTAATATAATTTAAATATATATTTTATATAAATTATATATAATTTATATACATTATAAAAAGAACTGTGCTGGAAAAAAGAAATTGATAAATTAAGAGGCTGCTGTTAGGGTACATGTGTAACTATGATCAAAATAGGACACTGAACTGCTCAAACTGATGATAGTATCAAGTTATGGAAGAAAACCATCAGGCCATATGGAACTGAAAATTTGAATAAAAATTATCTGTCTTTTGCACCAGAGCAAGAACTGAGAGTATCAGCTATAATCCTTATGGTATTATTGCCTTATTGCCTCCTTATAGTAGCTGGCCCTAAAATGCCCTCATAAAGTCCTTGACTCTTGTTGTACATATCCTCATATAGCCCTCTCCTACATTGTATCAGGGTTGGTTTATTGGACCAATAAAACGTTATTGTTTGTGTAGTAATGGTGTATGACTCCCATAGCTAGATCACAAAATAGATTATGGTTTCTGTCTTGCTCTGTCTCGGAACATTCATCCTGAAGACAGCTGGCAGCTACCTTGTAAGGATACTCAAACAGCTCTATGGAAAAAGCTGCATGGCGAGGAACTGACGTTTTCTTCCAACAGACAGTGAGAAACTGAGACCTCCAGCTAACAGCAATATAAGTGAGCCATCTTACAAGTGATTCCTTCTGCCCCAGTCAAGCCTTCAAATGACATCAGTTCCAGATGACAACGTTCACTGCAACTCATAAGATCCCTGATCCAGAAATACCAAGTTCAGCCAATCCAGGATTGCTGAGTCACAGAAAATGTGAGAAAAGAAATGTGTGTTGTTGTAAGCCATTGCATTTTGAGTTGCTTTGTTCCATGGCATTAGATAACTAATACAATCCCCAATGTCATCTTTCACATTGGGAACAAGATAAAATTATGATGATGATAGCTGAGGTGAAAATGATTTGGTACAAAAATTTCAACATTGTTTGACATTGATATCAATTAAATTGGTATCGATAATATTGTTCTGACTACTTTAATAACTAATTAAACTATTTTAGTACTTTAATAATTATATATAGAAAACTCAACAGTCAGAACAATCTGATTCTTCCAAATATTATAGCCAATCTGTTATGTATTAGTCTGTTTTCACACTGCTAATAAAGACATAGCCCAGATTGGGTAATTTATAAAGGAAAGAGGTTTAATGGACTCACAGTTCCTCATGGCTGGGGAGGCCTCACTGTCATGGAGGAAAGCAAAGGAGAAGCAAAAACACATCTCACATGGCAACAGGAAAGAGAGGTTGTGCAGGGGAACTCCTGTTTTTAAAACCATCAGATCTCATGAGTCTTATTCACTACCCTGAGAAGAGTAAGTGAAACACTTCCCCCATGACTCAATTATCACCACTTGGACCCACACTTGAAATGTGCAGACTATTAAAATTAAAAGTGAGATTTGGGTGGGGACAACAAAGCCATATCATGTTACAATGCACTATCTTTTCCAAATGAATGTAATGCAGTATGAAATATTTTTATCCTTTCTTCATTCTCAGATGCTCATGTTTGCATTTGGGAAAAAAGCAGAAGAAAGTTAATTAAGTGTGGAAATGATGGCCCTCAGATATTAAAGTATATTTTAAAGCTATTCTAATAAAAACAGTTTGGTTCTGTCTCATGAGTATGATACAAATATATGATACATAACTCTTTATAATGAAGCAGAGAAAATTAGAAATAACTTCTGTCCACCAAAAGAATAATGGCTAAATAAATTATGGTATATCCTTTCAATCAAATATCTTCCAATCATTTAAAAGAATCACCTCAGTCTAATTGTTGACCAATCTCAAACTGATTTATTATTTTTTTTTAAAGAAAACAGGGTCTCACTGTCTATTAATTGATTGATTGATTGACACAAGTCTCTCGCTGTCCCCAGCCTGGTGTGTAATGGTACAATCATAGCTCACTGCAGCCTCAAACCCCTGAGGCTCAAGAAATCCTCCCACGTCAGCCTCCGAAGTAGCTGGAACTGAAGGTTCACACCAACATGCCCCGCTAATTTTTCATTTTTTGTAGAGACAGGCTCTTGCCATGCTGCCCCGACTGCCCTGGAACATCTTGCCTCAAGCAATCCTCCCAAATCAACCCTCCAAAGCATTGGGATTATAGGCATGAGCAACCATACATACCCCAAGTGATCTCTTTATGTGACTAAAATAAGATGCAAAACAGATGAGATATGATATGTAGTTAACTGCTAAACTTTAACCTTGACCTTTTAAAATGAGTTCTTAAGTGCACAATGATGTTGTAAAATTTGTTTTTTACTATGGCATTTCATTCTAATTTACCTGAAGGATTTAGAGGAAGTGCAGACCCATGACTCACTTATGTAGCTGTTAGAAGGAAGTCTCAGTTTTTCACTGAATCAAACTTCCCCTTGCTAAACTTGCAAAAAAATACAAAAAGAAAGGTATTTTAAGACTAAATCTCAATATTTAAAACATGATTTGGAGGGCTTTTAGAAAGTCTTTATTTGTATATATTCAAACATATTACCAGACTAAAAGATCAATAGCATTTTCAGTGAGCAATTCAGGCCTGGGATAAGCAAAACAAGACTACATATTTTTTTTAAAAACTTCATGGGAAGAAAGAAATAAAAGTTGAATATACATTGGTAAAAAACAAAATCTTGACACTGCTGTATCAAAGTTCCAAATTGGTCTTTCACACTGTGATCCACAAATTGCATCTAGGCCATCCTGTTAGTATGACTTTGGTAACCAACCCAGTATAAAATTCTTTGTTCTTTTAGTTAGTTTCTCAAGAAAGATAAAATTAGTATCTATTTTAGATAGTACAGTAACAGAAGACTAGATTTTATTTGTTGAAGTCTCCAAAATTTTAACAGATGTGAGCTACTTAACTAACGTTGCATCAGTGATAAATAGAATACAGTGGGAAAAAATGTGTTTTACACAAATCACAGATGCAGAAATTGGTCTGGTAATTGAAATAGCCAGTGAATGGATTATATTTTCCTCTTTCAGATTCCAGTCCACATGGAAACTTTGAAATAGTCCTCCCCAGCATCGACTTTCAAGATATTAAATAACGAATTTCAAATTTTAATACTTATCTCCCTCATGTGACAAAATTTGCCATAATCTGTATCCCCTGGTATGTTTATCTAACAGAAGAAAACTCTCCATTCTCATTAGATGACAAAAAAGGAAGAAAATGGCACCCACCACCAATAGTTCTTAATATTAGTTCTTTAGGACAGCAATTAGTTATTATGCCTAAAATGTGGCTATTGTCTCTAGATAGAAACCCAAAGTGTTTTTGCCTCTGATTGGCCCCTGCAAACTCTTTTAAAATCCACTTATTTTGTTCTCTACAGTGTTTTGGTTCTCACCAGCACTCCCACTTCCAACCACTTAAACTTGATTTTCCACTGTCAGGTGAAAGATGCTCAGAAAACATTGCATTAATTTCAGTGGATACTAAATTTTATCTAATTCAGCAAGCTGGCCTCTGTTAATTAGGCCTCCCAGCGTAAGTGATGGCAAACATCTCCTCTCACTGTCACTGATCTTTACTCACAACTCAAGCCATTCTAGTGGTCAATTTCTTGGGCTTCTAGGTAAGAAAGAGGTCCTGTTCTTAACAACCTAGACTTGCCTAAAATTGCAATTTGCTCTAGCCTTGCCTGCCAAGTCCACCAGCTGCATACAAATAGCATGTCTCCCTCTCTTCCTCTCCATCTTTGCTAACTGCAAGAACTGCCTGAGGGGGGAAGATGCTCCCTGCCATCACATCAAATGCCACTGGTGCCTTTCAGCTTTGAGCCTGATGGATGGAGGAATCAGTCTGCTGACAGAGCCTGCAAAGATTTGCTGTTTGATTCCAGGGACACAAGCCTCTTTTGGTGAAGCCCCAAGAGAATTAAGTACATGGAGCTTAATTTAATGTAATACTGCTCTTCAGCTACTTAAAAAGAAAAAGAAAAGCATATTAGAAGCCCACACAACTTTGTTTCCTTCTGGTTGGCCTCAAAGGGCCTTCCACCCAATAACTTTAGGGCTGGGTACCACCTGTGTCATGGGTTTAAAAATCTGCACACCTCTGTTTTGTGGCAGGCCCGATTTTCTCCTGGAAGACGGGTAAGTCATCACAGCTGACATTTCGGTATAGAAAACAATGCAGAGAAACACCCTTCTATACTAAATGAAATACAGTGTTGCCCTGACATTTACAGACAGGCGAGCAAAGAGTAGTGTTTGGAAAAGTGGAGGAGGTAAGGGGAGAAAAGGCCAATGCTAACAGGGTGGAATGTGTCATTGTTCATTTAAATTGCTTTTATTTTTCAAAACAAAATATAACCAGACAGGGGTGAGTTCCCCCACTGCCCATCCACCTCTGGCCACTCCCAACACACACCTTCCATTTGCCTAAGTGCATTACAATAGATGATTTTCTTTTTAAGGTCTAGCTTGTATTCCTGTGGCCGCCAGAATTATGAATCTTGCCAAAGGGACTCTTTTCTAAAAAGAAGAAACCCCAGTCAGAATAATTCCGCATTGTTGGTTAACATGTGTCTCTTTGTAATTAATTTTAAATATGCAAAAGCCCTTTTCTGTGCACTCCTAGCTAAGGTAAGCCCTGTTAGTAGGTGACAATGTGTGCCTCCATGGTGAATTTGGCTTCAAAGAGAGCAATGAGCCAAGATGTGTTTCATGCCTGTCAGAGAGCATGACATAAAAGGAAACAAATACAAGAGTAAATGGAAAGTTTTATGGTGAGTGAAGGCAACACTGAGTGTTACTAATGCAGTGTTATTTTTTCCTTCTCCTGAGCTCTTATGATGAGCAAAAGATTAGAAATGAGTTCTTCCACCAGGATGATTCTTATGTGTGTATATTTACTCCAATAGTAAGATTTATCACTGTAACAGTAGGAATTACCCTTTGCTTCACAAGTTTCGTCTTACATAGCTCCATTGCTTCCACTATCTGACGTGAGCCTTACAACAATCATACAAAGAACGTAAATTATCCTATTCCCATTTTACAGGAGGAAAACTGAGACTTGAAGAGGATGGACAAATAGCCATACCCTCCTATGACCATGAAGAGGGAGGAAGGGAGGAATGAGCCCCAACTTGAGAGCGGACCCTTGAACCTCATTGTGCCTTAACTTCCTCCTATGTAACATGAGTATCATAATGCTGGTCAATGGGAGAGATACAATCATCCCCATTTTACAGACAGGAAAACTGAGCTACGGAGCATTTAAGAAAATTGCTGTTGTAAGTGGTGCAGTATATGTACTTTGGCTGTAGCCTCTAAGCTCTTATCATCCATAGTGCAGTCCATGAGAGTAGATCCTAGGAGAGGTAACAGATGAGGGGTTAAAGTCTGTGGGAAAATGGTAACATAACTAGAGTTGGAGGGCTGGGTGCAGTGGCGGTGGCTCATGCCTGTAATCCCAGCACTCTGGGAAATTGAGGTGGGTGAGCCCAGGAGGTGGAGACCAGCTTGGCCAACAGGGCAAAAACCCATCTCTATTAAACAAAGAAAAATTATCTGGGCATGGTGAAGCATGCCTGTAATCCCAGCTACTCGGGAAGCTGAGACAGTACAATTGGTTGAACCTGAGAGGTAGAGTTTGCAATGAGCCAAGATTACACTACTGCACTCCAGCCTGAGTGACAGGGTAAGACTCTGTCTCAAAAATAAAGAAAATAAATGAATAAAATAATAAAATAAAATAAAATCCAGAGCTGGAGAGCCCCAAGCAGGAGCCATGACTGCATCAGAGGCCACAATGAGACCTTTGTAATTTTTCCTTCAGTCGATGGAAACCCATGCAACATTCTTGATGCTAATCAATCAGGATCTACCTTTGTAACCATATGTAACCATCATAGCACAGCAATGATAATCAGACAATCAATGAGGAAAGCTACATTGGAAGAGGAGACAGGTCAATAAGATACTTATGTCCTATTGCGATGGAAGTGCTTAAGAAATCTTTCAAGAAAACAAGTGGAAAATATGGACTAAGACAAAACTGAGATAAAATACATTCTTCTGCATTGGCCTATAAATGCATCACCCCTCCAATCCCACCACCAATTCTAAAACATGCCCTTTGCATGTAAGCTAGTTTTGTCATGAAAAGAAAGATAGTTTAGTGATTGCAGGAGGAAAGAGTGTACTTTTTTTTTTTAAGAAGAAAAAAAGTCTGTCTTACAGGAATTCAATCTTGTCTCAAATTTGTCTCTTACAAATGTGGTAATTCCCACAATTTTGATAAGCGATTTAATATCCCTGAGTTTGACACATTTCTTCTGCAGTGAAGAAAATGGCACAATCCTATTTTACACCACTGATGAATTGACAACACTGAAAGAAAAATGGGCCAAGGTGTGTGAAACTCATGGATTAGCAGTCTGCGTCAATCAGTTCTCCAGTTAACTGCACACCCCTTCATGTCACTTTGTACAGGGATAGCATCAAGTGATATTTTAATTATAGTTGGAATAATTTTATTCCTAGACCAACATATGGTAATTAATTTGGGGTGGTGGGAATGTTTTCATTAGTCCAATACTAACATTTATATTTTTTCATTAATTGTTTTGATGTTAAATGCAGTACATGTGGTATGTAGAAACTTAAAAAAGCATGGTATTGTTTGAGGTAATGGGATCTCAAAGGCTGCAAATTAATGGCATATCAGAGAAAAGAGCATAAAGCAATTCTGTGAGTAGAGAGAAATGCAGACACGCAGGCACCAGGCACATGCATGTATCTACACCCTCGCTGGAAATTAACTGAAGAATCCTGGTCATCCAATGCTGCCTGCAGAACCATAACCCTTTTGATTCCTGTTTCTGCTCTGGTTGACATCCTCAGGAAGGACTTTGAAAGCTTCTAGTAAAGTGAGCCATTTATTTGGAGATTATTTTATTATTTTAATACTTTACACCTTTCCGGATCATCCTACAACAACATCTTCAATCCAAAAGTGGGGGACCTTTTGAGAGTATTCTAGGTCAAATTTATTATTTTTATTTATTAATTTGTTTACTGAGACACTTGGTTCTCTGTCACTTAGGCTGGTGTGCAATGACATTATCACAGATCACTGTAGTATTGACCACCCTGGCTCAAGCAATCCTCCCACCTTAGCATCCCAAGTAGCTGGGACTACAGGTGGAAAAACCACACCCAGCTAATTTTTTTTTTTTTTTTAGTTTTTGTAGAGACAGGGTCTCACCAGATTGCCCAGGCTGGTCTTGAACTCCTGAGCTCAAGCAATCTTCCTGCCTTAGCCTTCCAAAGTTCTGGGATTACAGGTGTGAGCTACCATGCATGGCCTAGGTAAGATTTTGTGATGAGTTTTAGGTTGGAAGAAGAACACTTAGAGAGAAAAGTGTGTAAAGACTGACTTCCAGGAAGCATGTGTGCTGAATCTATGGCCCTGTATTTTCTGAGAGAGAACACACAGAGCCTTTACATTGGAGCAATGCATCCTGACAGGAGACAAGTCCAGGAATTATGGTTGGCAATGATTAAGACTGAAGCATAAAAGAGCCCACACTAGATAGGCAGTAAAATGTAGAAATCCGGAATTCCCGAGAAATATCAATATAGAATTCCATTAGCACCCAGAAGGTAAGAAGGTCATAGAATGCAACCAGGAAACAAAGGCAGGAGTGAGATCTGCAAACTCCACTACTTACTGGACAGGTGGAGAAAGAAGAGCAGAAAAGGAGCCTTCTGCAAGGTTATCTATTAGAACTTTGTATTTTTCTCCTTCATCTATGTAAAGAACTTTTGTACAGCGATGTTTACAAAATGTGTTCAGTTAAGAGCCATTAAAGAAGGTTGCTGTTGTTTTTTGACTGTTTGCTTTTTGGGTTGCTTTTATTCCTTTGCTGTCTTTGTCTTTGCTCACAGAGGCAATTTCATAAACATTTAACAGTCCACAGGCAGAGTAATCTGATATCTATGGACCTGCACAGTTGTCTTACCCTGCATTGGCTCTTTGTAATTTGTTTCTCAGGTATTAGGTAGCTGCAGCATAATTGAACTACTGCCAACATTTTACTCTCTTTCCCTCATAACAAAGTACTGACCTAATAATTTAGGTAATAATTGCTGACTGGATTATTTCCGAGTCCAAATTTAGCTTTCCCCCCTCATATAATTCATGGCCTGTTTCAGAGTTTCTCTACTTCTGTTTGCAAGAGTAACTGTATCCCTGCCTCTCCAGGTGTTGCAATGGAAACAGATGTTTGGACATCAGTGAGTTTTTAGCATGTGTGATATTGGTAGAGAAGGCATGGTGTGCAAGGACCTGATTTGCTGTTGGAGGGTGACAATGGAGACAGCAGATAATGTCTGTTTTCAGGACAGCTGAAGCAAGTCAGCCCCATCCTGAAGGAATGCCAGCTGTAGGCCCAAAGATCAAAGGTGTCTCCCAAGGCCACCTGTCACTAGACTGTGATCAGCATTTGCCTTCATCTCTATATATGAGGACAGAGATTTAGAATGATAATCCAGTTGGCTGAAATTTCTATTTTCCATATGCAGATAGATGGAAATACATGCATATCTATTCACTTTCCACATGCAGATAGATGGAAATACATGCATATCTATTATAGATAGAAGGGAGAATTTGTTAATGAGTACAGACAAGAGAAAGTGGTTAAATTTGACTGTGGGAAATATGTTCATGGAGCGAATATCCAAAATGGCAGTACAAGTTCCACTTAGGGAAAGGAAGTCTGAAAAAATATCTAATGACAAAAGAAGGGCAGCATTTAAATGAGGAGCAGTACCTAGCAGATAATATGGTTTTAGAGTCAGAGAAACCTCGCTTCCAACATACCCATTGTTTATTAGTAGCATGACCAAATCTCTGGGTCCCAGCCCCTCATATTAAAAAAAAAAATGATAAGCGTTATATAAGGTGACCTATATCTAAGTTCCTAAAGGCATGCACGGCACATGATTCACATACAGAATACTTAGGTCATTCCTCGGAAAACATTTCAACAACTTGTATCTTTGCTTTTACATCTTAATATCCATGTACCCATCATTAACTATAAAACATTTTTCAAATCTTGGCAAAACTTTAAGCTTTGCCTCTACTAGAAACCTATAAACATTTCATAAATATGAAGTTAGAGCCTGCAGGAATGTAAATTTTATTCTGTGGTTATAATGCGTGCTTCCAGCAAATGACCCTTTATATGCATAAAGCTGTAGCATGTTTATGGTCTGATTTTGATGCCTGGATAGGAAATATAAAGCCACCCTTTGCTTGACACAATTCCCCTCCCATTTCTCTTCTTCTGGAATTACCATAGTCAGAATAAGGGAGAATAGTAATGACTACAGTGGTTCCCAAGCAGGTTTATGTTCATTATTTTAGTTAAGTATGACAATGATTCTCCTGGCTTATCAAAATTCGTGAAGTTATCAGCACACAGTGAAAGAAAGATCTTAAAATGTAGTTGTAATCTTATCCACCCTCGTGATAAACATAAGATTTAAGTAGTGAGCCCACAGTATGTTTAAATTGCCTTACATTTTTGAGTACCCATGTCCAAGGACAAAAAGATGAACAAGAAATAGTCCCTATTTTCAAAGAAGAAATGGTTGCTTTGTAGGGATATACCTGGAAGCAAATCAGTGAAAAGAACTAACCTTCCCAGGGGCAGTGGCATGAGAACAAGGTCCTTGTATGTTGAGTAGAAAATCTGTTCACTGGCTTGACATGTGTGTTTGGGGATAAGGACATGAAGAGAATTGAAGGCACAGATTTGCACATGATCCCACAGCATGTGGCCAAGCCCAACCAAAATGCTGGTTGGCTGTTCCTTCCCCACTCCAAAGCTGAATTATTTATTTATTTATTTATTTATTTATTTATATTTAGTTAGCCAGGACCTTGGCATGTCTTCAAGTTGCCACCAAAAAATGTCCCTTCTTAGTAAAGAAGAGAGACCAGAGGGATGCCACCTCATAGTTCTTTCATTCATACATCCCAGGCATTCTCAACATGGTCACCATCAATAAGCTTTTTAAAAAATTTAAGATATGGGGTCTTTCTCTGGCACCCACGCTGGAGTACAGTGGTGCGATCACAGCTCACTACAGCCTCCAACTCCTATGCTCAAGGAATCCACCCACCTCAGTCACCCCAGTAGCTGGAACTATAGGCATGTACAATCATGACTGACTAATTTATTGTTTATTGTTTTTGTTTTTGTTTTTGTAACAGTGGGGTCTCCCTTTGTTGCCCAGGCTGATGTGGAATTCCTGAACTCAAGTAATCTTCCTGCCTCAGCCTCCCAAGTGTAGTGTCAAAGTGTTGGGATTACAGGCCTGAGCCACAGGAAAAAGCCCAATATCTTTTTTGAAATATAGCAAATGAATGCCTTCTTTATATCTTGAAAAGAAATTCATGTATCATAGAATCTATCATAGTTATAATTTGAAAATAAGTCAAGATAATATACTAACCATAATATAAAATATAAAACCAAGGAAGGTAGTTCTGATAAAATAACATGTATTCCAATAGGTAACTGATCAGGCACAGTTGCACAAGAAGACATCATGAGCCTCACATACATATACCTCCTTAGGATGCATAAGCCATAGTTTAAGAGGAGGTCAGAGCCTGAGCAACACAGCAAGTCACAATCTCTACAAAAATAAAAAATAGCCAGGTGTGTGTGTGGTGACACACACCTGTGGTCCCAGCTACTTGGGATGCTGAGGTAGGAAGATCACGTAAGCCAAGAAGTTCCAGGCTGTGGTTAGCCATGATGGTACCACAGCACTCCAACCTGGGCAACAAAGATGCTGTCTCAAAAACGAAAATAAAAATACAAAAGGAGATAAGAAAATGTTTCTAAAAGAAAATGAAGGACATAAAAAATCAGGATGCAGATGGCACTAGAATAACAACTAGCATTAAGATGAGGACCAACAAACAAGATTTTGTTGACAGTAGTAAAAGAAAAAAGTAATGATTGCAAATAAAGTAGGGATAACATGCTAAGCTAAATTGCACACTGTCCAAGGAGAGAAAGCATAATATTTCCACACATGAGCTTGGATTGTTCTTATTTATAACTGTAGTGTCAGAGGTACTTCCTGGGCTATGACATGAAACAGGCTGTAACAAACAATCACAGAAAACATAGCCCAATTCGGAAACTTCACCATGTGTTATGATGTCTCCAATATGGTGAGTGGAGTGCATTTCACTGACATGATTTTCCAAAGCAGGGCTCAACATTTGGAAAAATTCTAAACAAAACAATGTACAATGTTACCTCAGTTTTTGCAAATCTCAGACTCTGTATGAAAAAAATACTATATTTTAAAAGTATAGGGTAATAAAAATGGCCCTATGAATTTCAAAAATGCTCCATATAGGGCAACACCATCTCCATTCAGAATTATTATAAGTCCTGGAAGTCAATGATAAGATTAGCTCCTGATTGAACTGAGAAACTACTGCCCTCTGAGGGAATGAGCAGTCAGGGAGCATGTAGAAGGAAGGCAGAAAGAAGGAAAATGAAATATGACA
Organism: Homo sapiens; assembly: GCF_000001405.40. Lineage (NCBI taxonomy): Eukaryota > Metazoa > Chordata > Mammalia > Primates > Hominidae > Homo > Homo sapiens. The sequence goes on from NC_000024.10 coordinate 15,289,756, forward strand.
GCTACCAGGTGAAGCTCAAGAATTAGATATTGAGCCCAAACTCGGAGAGTTATTGACCTACTATTGCTGTGCCCAATTCTGCCCATTATAGCCCCAGGTCTTTTCCACCACCCACATGGAGAGCAGATTTTTAGATAACACTCATCATTCCTCATTGGTCACATGATCGCTTTTTGCCAACAGGCTGCATGTAATTTATGCCTTGCTAGGGCAGCAGGACCGAGCCAAACATGGAGAAAAGAATCATGCACCCAAAGACATTCCTTTATCCTGAAGCATAGCCTAGCAACACTAAGAACCCCTTACTGCTCTTACTCATAGTGAAAAAGTCAGGTTGATTCTCAAAAATAGGAGTGTATACAGGCTTAACCTACAAATGATTCAGGTAGCATTAATACATTTGCACTGAGGAAGTTCTTATTTCCTTCCATGCCTTTCACATGTGGGGAGGACTGACTGATCTTGTGAATAGAGGTAGAATGATAGGCAAACAGGTGTGTTCACCCACCAGTGCCATTTTCTATGGGCATTATTTTTAATTTTAATTTTTTTTTGAAACAGAGTCTCACTCTATCACCAGGCTGGAATGTAGTGGTGCGATCTTGGCTCACCACAATCTCGGTCTCCTGGGTTTAAACAATTTTCCTGCTTCAGCCTTCCTAGTGTCTGGGACTACAGGCACTTGCCTCCATGCCCAGGTGATTTTTATATTTTTAGTAGACATGGGGTTTCACCATGTTGCCCAGGCTGGTCTCAAACTCCTGACCTCAAATGATCTACCTGCCTTGGCCTCCGAAAATGCTGAGATTACAGGCATGAGTCACCGCACCTGGCCTTATTTTTTTTTCTTCTTCTTTTTTTCTTTCTTTTTTTTTTTTTTAATAGAGACAAGATCTCACCATATTGCCAAGGCTGTTCTCTAACTCCTGAGCTCAAAGGATCCTCCCTCCCAAAGTGCTGAGATTACAGGAGTGAGCCACCACTCCCAGCCTTTTATTTTTATCTGTTAACACTTGCAGCTCATTCTTGTGAGAGGGAGGTGGTCCTAATTCAAATAATCCATCTCCATTTTAAGTGCAAATATATGCTGGGCCCCAAAGGGGCTGCCATAACGTGCAATTCAGATGTAGAAAGAAAGAAGGGACTGGCTCCCAGGAAAAGAGGTCATTCAGAGAAAAAGAGAAAATAGAAGGTGCCAGGGGATGTAAGAAAGAATGGTGACTAAGGCAGCATGAGACATCAACACTGAGATGCTTCAAGAAGGTTGGAACAAAATCAGGAGCAAAACAGCATGGTAGCCCTGCAATCTCACCATAGCATCTTCTCAATAGAAGGATTTGCATCTCCAGATGAGTATCAAGGCTTTAAATTACAGTGAGAAAGGTGTGCACAGATCCACGGTTTTCAGACTCAAAGAACAAGGAAGGTGAGATGTCTCAGCAAACACTGCAAAGAGCTGGGGAGTGATGCCACACAGGTAACTCGGCAAAACTCATCGTGCAAGGATGATGAATAGGACTTTTGACAATTCTGTCAAACTTTTTAAATCTTAAGTGACTTGAAATTTCCAGTAATCTTTTCTTTAAAACAAGTGGAATTGCACTTTTCCATTGTTATGCAAATTACTTTCTCCCAGACATCTATTTACCTGTTACTAGGATTCGCAGGTAATTTCTCCATGCCTTGTGCAGTGGAGGTGGGAAGGATATAAAGTTTATAAATGATGTCTTCAATAAGAAAGTTTAAAGAGCTATTACTCAAAGAAACTATTATAATGTAATACTTTATGTATAAGAGACCTTAACTTTTCCTTACATTAGGGAAATAGAGAAGTATGATAGGGTTTCAAGTTCTGCCATCAGGTTTTGTTAACAATCGAAAAAACAATACACTGTGTTTTTCCCTACCCCAAGATCCAGCAACTTCAAATTTTAAAGATAACTCAATAAACAAAAATGGAGTATCTTTGCTTTTTAAAGAACTGATCTCAGCTTTAAAAAACAAATAAGGGCGGCATGTGATGGCTTATGCCTGTAATCCCAGCATTTTGGGAGGCCAAAATGTGAGGATCACTTAAGCTCAGGAATTCGAGACCAGCCTGGGTCACATAGCAAGACCCAGGCTCTACAAAAATAAATAAATAAATAAGTAAATAAATAAATAAATAGCTTGTTATGATGACAAATGCCTGTGGTCCCAGCACTTCAGGAGGCTTAGGTAGGAGGTTCACTTGAGCCCAGAAGGTCAAGGCTGCAGTGAGCTATACTGCACTAATACATTCCAGCCTGGGTAACAGGGAGACAAGACAAGGAAAAAAGGAAGAAAAGAAGGAAGGGAAGGAAGGAGGGAGGGAGGGAGGGAGGGAAGGAGGGAGGGAGGGGATAGGAAAGAAAGAAGGAAAGAAAGGGAAGGAATGAATGAAGGAAGGAAAAGGAGAGAGGGAAGGATGAAAGAAAAGAAAGAAAAAGAGAGGAGGGAGAAAGGGAAGAAGGGAGAGAGGAAGTAAAGAGAAGGAAGGAAAGAAGGAGAGAAACTTGGTTCTTAGAATCTGCTGAGAGGCTTAAACATAAACACAAATAAACTTAAACACAAACAATATAAGGGGATATCTAAGAGAAAAAGATTCAACTATGGCCTTTTTTAAATCCTGAAGGGCTTTGTAACTCTTCCGAAAACTTCATTATAAACAGCTCAAGGCCCTCTTGGTTAATGCTTAAAAAAACAAACAGTTTTCAGTATCCTCCCAAAGAAGGGTCTCCTGCAACCCATCCAATAGTCAGTCCAACAAAATGTTTAAGATGAGAAAAATCCTCTTACTCTTTCATTTCCAGCTGTAGGGCATAGCAAGAAATTGGAAAATAGAAAAATGGAATCTGGTGACACTTGAGACTAATGCCCCAATCTCCTGCTTCTGGTCTTTCCAGCGGCCAGTCCACATCCTCTCAGCATCCTTATTCAACTATCACTCTTGTATTGCTGTAGTAGGTCACAGGTCAGACTATGGGGGTGGCTTTTCGGTTTGGGTGTGTCTTTTGATGTGTATTCTGCAGATTCAGCCCAGTGTGACTGTCAGGAGACTCGTGATTTACCAATTCTCATGGATTGGCCAAGTCATATTGAAAATTGGGTTAACTCAAAGATGCGAGTGGCCAGCCCTATGCTACACTTTGTATTGTTTCCAAGGGAGTTCACATGAAGGAGTCAGAAGGAGTCACATCTGGGCTTCAGGGTCATCAAAGGGAGGAGTTTTTGAAAAGCATTGGCTCATCCTTAGCTGTCATTACAGGTAAAATTCGAGAGGTGAGGCAGCACCACGGACAGCTCCGAGATACCCATTCTCCCAACGCGGTTCCCTCTCCTCTTGAACCTGGGTTCTCATTCTGGTTGGTCCAGACACCTAGGACTTAACATAACAACTTGAGAACATCAGCCCATATTGCCACTTTGTGCCACGTGGCACCAGGTTACTTTTTTTTATTGCATGTTCCGATGACTTTCTCATTAGTAAACTATTCTGGCACCCAGTTCAACATACTATCTGAAACCATACAAATATTTTTCTTCTCTCTCTTACAATGAAATGCGAGCCATCTTTTCATGCAAGACTCATTTTTCTAGTTTTTCTGGAAAAAACTCTCAGTTTTTCAGAAAATTCTTTCAACTACTACCCACCCCCACCTCCCAAATCGCCACGACTGCCACCAACTATATCATATACTGAGGTGAGGTACAGTGGGTCAGGAGCAGTGGGGGTTTTGATTATTTTCATGGTTGCTTCAAATTTGTTTTAATGTTAATAATAAAAGGTCTACCTCTCAACTAACCAATGGGCAAATAAACCCCTCTAAATTCCAGAAGAAACAATAAAATATTTGATGGCCTGTGGGGGGAAGCATTAAACAAAAAATGACAAAGCTGGGAAAAGAAAATGTGGGGTTTTTTTGCTATAAGCCTTTTTAAAATGAGATCTGACTTTTAAAATTATTTTTGTGTAATTTTTCAGATAAAATTAAGTACAACATTCTGCTTCCTAATCGTTTGAGAACAAAAGCTAAAGGGATCTTTTGAAATGTGATTATGTTACTCCTCTTTTTAAAAATTTTCAGCACAACTAAAAACACCCTTAAAATAAAGATGCTGCTCTAGAGCTTACTGGTGTTTCAATTTCTCCTCATCTCTTCTTTCTCTCCTGGAGTTGAGATTAGGGACCTCTTTACCTATTTCCATAGCAGTTTGGACTTCTCCTTTCAAGTCAGAATGTTTCTGTGTCTCCTTTAAACTCCAGGTTCCCTGGACATAGACACTTTTCCTTGTTGCTATTGATGATTGTTTCAGGGACAACACCATGGCTGCATGTTTATTAAATTAATGAACAGACATTTCTTCTTTCCTTTCCCTGAGCAATTCTTAGGGAAAAAAACTCAGATTGTAAAAAAGCCACCTCAATGATAACTTACTGAAAATGAAAAAGAAAATGAAACAAATCTAACCTGTCCATTTAGCAAAGTGATGAACATAACATGCCCCAAATATGCCTCATTCTTCTCTGGAAAAAAAGATTCTCATTCCAGCTCTTCTCCCAGTCCACTTTGTTGTAAACAAGGGAAAAATACATAAAAAGGTACTTCTATGGGAAAAAACTGCAAACAACAGACGTTAACTACATCAGTCACAGTCATTTAAACTGAAAAGCCAAAATTAAAAGGTGGGTTATTTCCATTTTTTTTTCCCAGTCCAGCAAGTTTCAAAGATCAGTCCTTGAATTTGATTTATCAAAGAGAGATAAAGAATTTGTTAAAGAACAACAACAAAAGAAAAAAAAGCAATTCAGGGCCTCGTGGCTAACTTCCTAAATCAGAATCTCTAAGGGTGTGACCTAGAAATGAGCAATCTCTAACATTTCCTCATGGAATTCTGATATATGTCCAGGTGTGAGAAACTAGAATACAGCCCACTCTCCATAAAAAATGTGGATAGACTTGTGGCATTCCTGAGAGGCAGTCATTTGGTCTCTGCTTGAAATCCTCTAATTAAGAACTCACTGTTTGCACAGAAGTGTATTCTATTTTCAGAAACCTCAAATCGTTGAAATATACTTACTACTTTAAATGAACTATATGAAATCCTCCCATAACTTTTACTCATTGTCACTTATTTACTCTTGGAGAATCAATAGAACAAATCTAAACCTTCCTTGCCATTTAAACCCATTTATGTATACAAGTGTGTATGTATATATACATAATATAGTGTGCATATATACATATATATTATAAAGCCCCATATATATGGGGCTTTATAATATATAGTATTATTATAGTGACCACATTATACATATAATGTAGATAATACACATATTTTTGTTATATATGTGTATATATGTTATATGTATATTGTTTGTTATATAGTTATATATATATTTTTTGTTATATATAGTATATTATAGTATATATAATATATACTGTACACATATAATGTAGATACTACACATATTTTTGAGATAGTATATATCAACTCTATATAGTACACTATGTATAGTATATGCATACATATATACTATATATACACACTATACATTTTGCATATATATACATATATGCTTCATACATAGTATAAGGAGTGTATCCATGTATAGTATATGCATATATGTACTATACTATACATATATGTTTATATATACATATAGTAATATACTGTGGATATACTCTAGATAGTATATGTAAAGTATGTATATTATACTATACATATGTAGTGTACTTATGCCATATATACTATATATAGTGTATATATATACTATATTATACAACTATACTGTACTATAGTGTATACACACATATATACTATATGCATAAAGTATACACTCTATACATATATAGTATACAATATAGTATACTATATTCTGTATTTGTACAACTATACTATACTACAGTATATACACACATATATACGATATGTATGGAATACGTACTCTATACATATATAGTATTATAGTTTATATACGCTATACAATCTCTGTGTATGTATACTATATATGTACTTATACTATACTAGACATACTATATGTATATAGTTTATACACACTACATATAATATGTAGTATCTAAACACTATATGTAACATATACTATATAAACACTATATCTACTATATAGTATATTCTATGTATATGTATATATTGATATAGGGTCTCACTCTATTTCCCAAGCTGGAGTGCAGTGGTGCGATCACAGCTCACTGCAGTTTCTACCTCCTGGACTCAAGCGATCCTCTTGCCTCAGCCTCCTGAGTAGCTGGGAGTACATTAGGCCCAAATAATTTTATTTTTTGTAGAGTCACGGTCTCCCTGTGTTTCCCATGCTAGTTTCAAACTCCTGGCCTGAAGTGATCCTTTTGTCTTGGTCTCTTAAAGTTCTGGGATTACAGGTACCAGCCAGCATGCCCTACCTTAAGCCCTTTACGTATTTGAAAAGAGCTACCATGTTGTATTAATTATCTGTTATTACCTGTAACCTCTCCTTCCTGGGCCCAAGAGATTCTTCTGCCTCAGTCTCCCTGAGTAACTGGGATTACAGAAGTGCACCATCATACCTGGCTAATGTTTGTTTTTTAAGTAGAGACGGGGTTTCATCATGTTGCCCAGGCTGGTCTCAAACTCTTGACCTCAGATGATCTGCCCACTTCAGCCTCCCAAATTGCTGGGATTACAGGTGTGAGGAACTGCACCAGCCTTTTTGAGGTCCATCCATGTTGTATCACATATCAGTACTTCCTTCCTTTTTATGACTGAACAATGTTACATCCCCTTCAATTTTTAATCTTCTATCATGTATATATCAAATAAAGACCACTCGACTTTCACATGCAGTTTTTTGTTTGTTACACTCTGGCTCACAGACTACTTTTATCCCAGAGCAATTGTGATGCATACACACTTTAAAGAAATTAAGACTCCAACTTTCAAAACATTCTGAATCAGAAAAAAAGCAAAAAAAAAAAAATCTGCTAGAAATGTGGAACTACTTATTAACAATCACCTCAGATTACAAAGATTGGTCTGTGTAATTTTTTACAATTTGAAAATTTAAATCTAGTTTTTCAATCCAGTGCTAAGCCTTTTATGTATAGAGCTGATCCTTTAACACTGCAGAGCTTAGGGGCAACAACTCCCTGTTTAGTCAAAAATTTAAGTATAACTTTTATCTCTCCAAAAGCTTAACCACTAACAGCCTACTATTGATGAGAAGCTTTACTGATAATATAAATGATGAATTAACATATATTTCATGTATTGTATGGTTATATACTGTATTATTGCAATGAAATAATCTAGGGAAAATAAAATGTTATTAAGAAAGTCATAAGAAAGAGAAACTGTATTTACTATTCATTTGGTGGAAGTGGATCATCATAAATGTCTTCCTCCTTGTTCTCATATTGAAGAGGCTGAAGAGGAGGAGGAAAAGGAGGTGTTAGTCTTGCTGTCACAGGGGAGCAGAGGTGGAAGGAAGTCTATTGATAAGTAGTTCCTCAAACTCTTTGTTCAATAAAGTTAAAAGTTAAAGAAAGGTAAAGAAGACAAACAAATGTGCAGTATCTATTTCAAGTTCAACTCTCTAGTTTGCAAGAGTAAAACTGACACCTTGATATAATTTCATGAGACTTAGTTTTTTAAATGAATTGTAGTACACTCTTGAACAATGAGTTTAAGCTATGAGGATCTCCTTATCAGTGGATTTCCTTCCACCTCTGCACCCCTGCAACAGTAAGACTAACCCCTCCTCTTCCTCCTCCTCTTCAGCCTCCTTAAAGTGAGAACCAGGAGGATGAACACCTTATGATGATCCACTTCCACTTAATGAATAGTAAATGTATTTTCTCCTCCTTCTGACTTTCTTGACAACATTTGTTTTTCTCTAGCTTACTTCATTACTATAATGCAGCGTATAATGCATATAATTTATAAATCCCATATTTTAATTGACCATTTATCTTATCAGTAAGGCTTCTGGTCAGCAGTAGGCTGTTACTAGTTTAAGTTTTTAAGGAACCAAATTTATACTTGAATTTTTGACTACACAGAGGTTGATGTCCCTAACCTCTGCAATTTGCTGAGTTTCACTCGATGCCCTCATAGAGCTGGTAGCCTTCCCTTCCCTGTGATAGATGTTTATCCATGCTATGTCCTACAAGCCCCCAATCCCCATTAGATACTGAGTCTTTAGTTTGACTTACCCATCTATATTCAATGCAAACATCACTCTGAGAGGCCACAACACTTTTGACCAGTATTTTTAAAAATGCAGTGAGGGGAACAGTTGTTTTGAAAGACACTAACAGATACTTGGATTGGGGATAGGGGAGGAGGTATTGTGATCCAATGAGTCTAAAAAATTCTGAATTAAACAAACTTCAACTTTAATCTTTACTGCCAAGATTTTCTGATTTTCACATCTTCAGTACACTAATGCTCTAGGTTAGGGGTGGATATTAGAATATTTCTTGGTTTTATTTGGTCTCAGAAACCTTTCTTCAACAACCTTCTCCCAGGGCTAAGTTTCCTCAGTGCAAGTGCTCTCAGTCCTTGTCAGATATTTATATCTTCGAATGAAAAATATATCTACCAGCAAATGTGGCTAGCATTTGTGGTGTGAGCTAAAGAGAACTGAGCTCAGAAAGGGACATGCAGACATTAACAAGGCTTCCAGGAAGCCTGCAGCTTTAAGACCAGAGGAAGTGAAGATAAACTTGTCTACTTTCTAATATTGCAACATCTTTTCTCCTACATGCACGTGGACTCTCCAGGAATTACCAATGTCGTGGATGTGCAATAGGAAAAAGAAAGCTGCTATGTTGAAAGAAGGGTTGGAGGTAAACTGGACACTAAGGAAAGCAAAGATCACCTGGTGACCACCAAGCAGGTGACCATCCAGAGACAAAATCTCCTAATCAGAGGGATTTAGAAGTAATTAGATGCCCTATTATCTACAATCAACATCTGATTGCAGGTTTCTTTTCAACTTACAATTTATAAATAACTAGAATTTCTACACATTTCTGGAATGCATGCACACCAAAATTTCTTCCACAACCCTTGCTGACATTAAGGCAGCAAAATGTCTATAAATGCAATCATTTATTATGCAAAATACCAGCTCCTGCTTTAAGGTCCATAACTTCTCCTAACCACTTTCCAATGCAGCAGCTCTGACATCTTGTGTGTCAGGCACCTCTCCGTCTGTGATGATTAATTTATTTCATGTGTCAACTTGACAGGTCCAGGGTGCCCTAATAATTGATTAAATGTTATTTTGGGTGTAAACATGTGAGTGTGTTTCAGGATGAGATTAACATTTGAATCAGAGGCTGAGGAAAGCAGATAGCCCTCCCTGCTGTGGGTAGCCCTCATCTAGTCCATTGATTTCCTGTCTGATTTCTGCCACTTTGACTTAAGTAAGCCAGTTAAGAAGGCAGATGTTCTAGCATTCATATGTAAATTGAAATTAAACTGAAATGTGTTTATACCTTGTATTAAACAGTTTTAAAATAACCATGGCTAGTTAGATGGTTTTGATCTGGCTGCTATTATGAATTACAGATATACCAAATGAAAGAATGTGCGTATTCCCTACTAATGTGTTTAGAACAAAAGCAAGAGGTTAAAATCTGAGGAAATTTAGTGAAAATTGATTTATTTGTTTAAAAAGCAAACAAAACAACACCACCACACTACCAAGAGCATTTATCCTGGAGCATGGGAAATACTTTTAAGCAGAGAGAATGAAGAATAAAAGTGTTCTCCCAAAGGAATATGAACCATAGAATAATCAGAATATAATGTGACAAACTGGGGAACCTGATGGAAGCCAATATTTGGAGGAGCACACGAGGGGTTGATAAAGTTGTACTCATAGAATTTTTTCTGAGTAGAGGGAGAGAACCATGGAAATTGAGATATTTAAATACACTTGTTGACCATGATTTAAACTACAGGGATTTATTTATTATTATTAGGATTTGGAGACAGAGTTTTACTCTCATCCAGGCTGGAGTACAGTGACATCATCAGAGCTCATAGCAGCCTCCACCTCCCAGGCTCAAGTGATCCTCCCACCTCAGCCTCCCAAGTAGCTCAAACTACACGCATATGCCACCACACCTGGATAATATTTTAATTTTTTGTAGAGACAGGTTCTTGCTATGTTGTCCAGGGTGCTTTTGAACACTTGGCCTCAAGCAATCCTCCTACCTAGGCTTCCTAAAGTGCTGGGATTACAGCTGTGAGCAACTCACTGTGCCAGCAAATGACAGGGATTTAGAAATGAGATGTAAATATGCCTCTTGGCCCTCTACGCCCTCCTACATATCTTTGGCTACCATATATTGAACACTCACCCTGTGCCAGCCTTTATTACAGGTTATTACTCATTGAGATTGTAAATAACTTGTCCAGTCTTTGTCCTGGGTTCCCACCAAAGAACTTCTAAAATCCTTGGGATTTCCTGAGAGAAGGGGGTCTTTCTTATGCTAATGAGGTGACTCAGGGTGCACTGAAGTTAATAGCAATAGGATGGGGGCTGATCACAAGAAAGACCAACCATGTGATTGGGGGGTTGGGGGGATTTTCATCTGCCTGACCTCTGGGGATGGCAGACAGCAGATGAAAGTCAACAACGCGGCTAATACTTAATTGATCATGCTTACCAAACCAAACATGGATAAGAACTCTGGACACTGAAGCTCAGTAGAGCTTCCTGGCTGGTGAATACCTTGACATGCTGGGAGAAGGAAGTACCCTGATTCCATGGAGAGAGGGCACTAAAGCTCTAAATTCACTCCTGGATCTTGCATATATGTACACCTTTTTTTTTTTCTTGTCTCTTTTATTATTATTTTTTTATACAGGGCCTCTCTCCACCATCCAGGCTGGAGTGCAGTGGCACAATGATGGCTCACTGCAGTCTTGAACCCCTGGGCTCAAGCCATCCTCCCACCTCAGCCACTTGCATAGCTGGGACCACAGTTACACACACCATCATGCCCCGCTTATTTTGTTTGTTTGTTTTGTGTGATGAGGCACCCTATGTTGCCAAGGCTGGTCTCAAACTCTTGGCCTCAAGCAATTCTCTCACCTTAGCTTTCCAAAGTGCCAGGATTACAGATGTAAGCCCCTGCACCCAGCTTATGTGTATCTTTTACAATAAAACTGTAATGGTTAAGTATAGTGATTCCTAAGTTTAGTGGATTCTAGTGAATTACAAAACTTGAGGGGTTCACAGGAATGCCTGAATTTATAGTAAGTTGGTACAAAGTGCAGGTGGCCTGGAGACCAACAGAGTGTGGCTGGTGTCCGTAATATGAGAAGTCTTCTTGAGGATTAAACTCTTTAACTTGCGGTGTCTGAACTAACTCTGGACGATTAGAGCCAAAGCTGAATGGCAGTACACCCAGATGTAGTTGCAACAGAATTATACCTGATAGGGTTTCACTCATTTTGAATTTTAGCTCCTATAATTTCCACATGCCAGTGGAGGTAACTGAATCACGGAGGCAGGTCTTTCCTAGGCTATTTTCATGATAGTGAATAAGTCTCACAAGATCGGATGATTTTAGGAAGGGCAGTTCCCCTGCACACACTCTCTTGCCTGCATCCATGCAGCATGTGACTTTGCTCCTCCTTTGCCTTCTGCCATGATTGTGAGGCCTTCCCAGCCAAGCAGAACTGTGAGTCCATTAAACTGTTTCTTTATAAATTACTTTCCTTTATAAATTACCCAGCCTTGTGTATATCTTTCTTAGCAGTGTGAGAACAGACTAATATAACACCCCAGTGAACGTATACTCCCATTACCATTGGAGGTGAAACTGCCTTTGCAAAATTATGACAGAGGAGAAAACTGACATAGTTAACTCCATCTTGCTTCTAAACTCCAAGTTACCTTGGTGATTCCTGGACGTAGGTCAAGCTAACTTTAGGAGAAATTTAGTTTGCGGTTTGACATTAAAGCAGGTATGATTCCTCAAAATTTTAACCTGCCTTCCCCAAAGCTAAACCACCTTTGAAAGGCCACAAAAATAGAATTATGGCAAGGACTTGAACTCTGCTAAGATGTAGGCGTAGATTCTATAATTCTTTACTGCTCAGGGATCATGTGGCCAGAGGTCACAAGACATGTGACCTTTGCAACTGCTCCCATAGAAAACATCACTATTGTAGAAGCTAAGATTCTTTTTTTCAGAGTTGTTTTTCAGACGGACCCCAGCAGAACTCATGACTCATGACTTAGCTGGTCCTGTGGCCCCACCCAGAGGTGGATTCAGTGCATGAGGACCGTTTTCCATACCCCTGTGATTTCACCCCCTGCCAATCAGCAGCACCCATTTCCTAATCCCCTGCCTGCCAAATTGTCCATAAAAATATTATCCTCCAAGGGACACAATTGAGTGATAACTCTGTTTCTCCCTCATAGGTCAGCCTCACATCAATTAAACTCTCTCTGTACTGCAATACTGTATTTCAGCGAATTGATTTTTGCCTGTGCAGTGGACAGGAAGAATTCATGATGCAATTATAGATAGATGTTATAAATCCCGTTTTGCAGATGCAGAAACTGAAGCACAGAATAAATAATAACCTCAATGTCAGAGAGTAGATGAGCCAGGCTTCAGACCCATGCAGCTCCATTTCAAGCCCATATCCTATCATTATTATTATTATTATTATTATTATTATTATTATTGATAGAGAGTCTTTCCATGTTGCTCAGGCTAGTCTCAAACTCCTGAGCTGACATGATCCTTCCTCCTCAGCCTCCAAAAAACCTGGGGTAACAAGTGCGAGCCATTGTGCCTGACCCCTACTTTTTCTCCTTATTACTTTTGTTTTAATTTTTTTTTCAAGGACAGGGTCTCACTATGTTGCCCAGGTTCATCTAAAACTCCTGATCTCACGCCATCCTGCTGTCTTGGCCTCCCAAAGCACTAGGATTAAAAGTTTGGGCTGGGCGCAGTGGCTCACACCTGTGGTCCCTGCACTTTGGGAGGCCGAGGTGGGTGGATTATGAGGTCACGAGATCAAGACTATCCTGGCTAACATGGTGAAACCCCATGTCTACTAAAAATATAAAATATTAGCTGGGCGTGGTGGCAGGCACTTGTAGTACCAGCTACTCCGGAGGCTGAGGCAGGAGAATGGCAGGAACCTGGGAGGTGGGGCTTGCAGTGAGCAGGGATTGAGCCACAGCACTCCAGCCTGGGTGACAGAGTAGGACTGTCTCAAAAAAAAAAAAAAAAAAGATTGAGCCACTGTTCCCCCAAGCCCATGTTCTTAAAACTCTCATATTCTGCCTCCTAATGAAATGCTTACATGTTATCCACATTCAAGGAAGATATATTAATGACATATCATGATTTTAATTATAATCGAAGGGTTGAAAATGTTCAATCCTTAGAACAGAGATAAGTAAACAAAAACACACATGACACTGTAATAAAAGAAATAGATACAACCACAGGTTTATCTTTATTGCTGTAAATCTAAGTAATTTTTCTGGTATTTTATAGAGGAAGAAATATAGCTGTGATGAACCCCGGAGCAGTATTTGCACATGCAGATATTTTCCAACATAATAAAAGCTTTGGAAATCCTATCTATATTGACTTTAGAAGGATCTGATGAAAGTTTCATCAAGTAATACCCTCTACTTCTCTTCCAGCTCCTGCATAATTTATTTCTCTGTGGAGGAGCCAGTCTTTTGATCTGCCCCCAGGAGGTTTAGGCATTGAAGTCCCCAAGGCTATCCGTGGGTGCAATGACTAGAGTCTCTGATATACTTCCATTACATAAAAAGCAAGATGCATGCCCCAAAGTTTAAACACTGCAAGATGAGGAGACTTTCTAAAGAATATATTAAAGGGGTTTTCAACTGTGTATGGGACTCATGTTTCTCCCCATCACCTTTCCCCTAATGCTTTCTAAAGAAATTCCATCACATGACACTGCAATGCTTAATATGTCATAATTCCATGTTAATGTTATGCAATATTAAAAAAATTGTGATATTTGAAATGTGCACATAGCACAACTTGAGAAAATATGTCAGTTTTAAAATTCTGCCAACATCAACTTGAAAATCTTGCTGTAGACTGCTCTTACAGATAAATTAGTCGAAGTTCTTCCACAAGTCAACCCTGAGACCAGGAGTTGCGTGTAGTGGCCTTATTTATGCAGTAGCTTATGCAAGAGCTTATCCAAGAAGCTGACTGGGGAAGTGGGGAGTGAGAGTTAGAGAAGAAGTAAAGGTAATGTGTTAATAAGTGGGGGCTTAGTCACTTTCACCCCTGGGAAGGAAGACGTAGTCTTGGAAACACACCCCCACCCCAGGGAAGGAGGCATTTGATTTCTGACTCCCTTCTCCAGTGTCTGAGGGCTGTCTCAGGGGTTTTGACCCATGTTCAGCTGAGTAAGCTCCCTAAGGACAAAGCCAGCCCTGAGCTGAGAAGAAGGAAGCCAAACATGCTTGAGTGAGAGGTTGTGAGCTTGCTGTGGACCCTCTAGCGCATCTGCTGGTGAACTGAAAATGGCCAAGGGAATGTGGGTGGAGCATCCAGGTACCTTCCACAGATGGAGCTTAGTTGACTGTGCTGAAAGAGCCCTCCTTTTTTTATTTTTTATTTTTTTTGACACAGTGTTTCACTCTGTTACTCCGGCTGGAGTATGCAATGGTGAAATTTCAGCTCACTGCAGCCTGCATCTCCCAAATTCAATCAATTTTCCTGACTCAGCCTCCTGAGTAGCTGAAATTACAGGTGTACCCCAACACTCCTAGCTAATGTTTGTATTTTTAGTAGAGATGGGGTTTCACCATGTTGGTCAGGATGGTCTCAAATTTGACCTCATGATTCTCCCACCTTGGCCTCCCAAAGTGCTGGGATTACAGGCGTGAGCCACCATGCCCAGCCTAGAGGCCTCCTTTTTAAGAACTCAGAATGACAAGCAAAATTCCGTCGTTTTTAAGGGCACTTATGGAGCACCGTTCAGACTGGAAAGACCACAGATCTATGGCCCCGAGCCTTCTCTACTCAAAATAAGAAGGCTGTAAAGGACAGGCATCAGGTCTTCTGTGCTGGTGATATGTCTCATACTGAGAAAGCACTCAATCCTTTTGTTAAATGAAGGCATGAGTCGATGAATACCACTGTCTCCTACACATTCAGTTCAGATGAATAATATAATGGATCATTTGCCAATTCCCAAAGATGTTCATTTTACATTCAGAAGTCTGAAAGAAGAAATAAATGCTTTTTTTCCAACAACTTTTTCTTATGTCACTTTATAGCACATCAGATGATTCATTAAAGTGAAAATTTTAAAAAGAACCACTGAAAGGGATGGGTTTTTTTCCCACAGTGTCTTTATATTTTCTTAATTCCATTTGAATAACTCACTGTAAGTTCTCTACAGGAAGAGAATCACATATCAGAATTTCCCAAAAGTTAACTTGAAGAGTGTATAGGTATGAAGCACAGCCATTCCAATATTTTAGACACTATGGTGTGATTTCCAGATGGTCCTTTCCATGATTACATCTACAGTTTGAAATGTCAAAACTATGGCCTACATTGCCAATGTTGGCTGATTATTTATTTGCAAAGGGTGGTGGATGGGATATGGTCACTTAAAATATTAACTAAAGACTAGCACCATCCAACAGAAACATAACACAAGCCACAAACAGGAGCCATGAAAATAATTTTAAATTTTCTCATAATCTCATTTTAAAAAGTAAAATGAATAAGTGAAGCTAAATTCAATAACATATTTTATATAAGCCATTATACCCAAAATATGATCATTTCAGTATGTAAATAATTTTATTATGATTATTATTTTAAAGAAAGAGTCTGTTATGTTGCCCTGGTTGGAGTGCAGTGGCATTCACAGTCATGACCAACGCACACTATAGCCTGTAATTCCTGGCCTCAGGTGATTATTTTGCCTCCACTTCCCACACAACCAGGAATATAGGCACGTGCCACAGTGCCTGGCTATATGTCAATAATGTTTTAGAAATTATTGGAATATTTTACATTCTCTTTCTTGTACTAAATTATTGAAATCTGGTGTATGTTTTGCATATAGAGTACATCTCAATTTGGACTGTTGTCCAAAAGACGACCAGAATGGTTAAATAGAAGGACAGCTTTACTGGTGATATCAGTTTGGAAATCAGGGAGGATACGCTCCCATGTGGACCAAATGTGCTCTGTCTTCAAGGACAGAAGGGGCAGGTTAGGTTTTATGCCTCACAGGTTCTGTATTACACAGTGGAGTTACACATATTCAGCAGGTTTGGAGGGAAAGCTATACATATTTATGATGGGGGTGAGTGCATGTGCAATGAGTAAACACATACATAATATATATCTCATGTTCACTTTGGGGCGTGGTTTCACATTAAAATGAGCTAGAACTTGGCTCCTCACATGAAGAGGTGAATTATAGGACGCAAATCCAATTTGCTCACAGCTTCTATAGACTAGCTGAAACTGGTATAAGGTCTACGATTGCTTATCAGAAAAGAATGTTTATAAGGGTGGTCCTCCATCCAATCAGTTACACTTGTCTGGGTTGTAAACCAGAATTGGGAGAGGTTTGATAGATCCTCTTGTTAGGGAGTTTAGCAAGGATATGGTTCTGCAACCACAGGGATTTAGGAAGTTGTCATTCCAGCCTAGACCTAAACCCTTGACCAGTAGGTAAGTTTTGTCTCCTCAATCCTGGGGTCCATCTTAGTTGACAGAGTGGGGTCTATTCTGGTCTCTCAGATCCCAGGACTCACAGTGTTCTAAGTGCCCATACCCACATGCAGTGAGTGGCCACCATATTGGATCATTCAAGTCGAGTTTATCTTGTTGGGGACCTTAGTGGCAGGTAGAGTTGAAATTAGTGAATAGGGTTCAAAATAGAGAAGCGAATATCTTCCATAGATGGTTCATCCAATGGAGATTCCTTTTGTTAATATGCTACATCCTTCCTGCTCATAATGTAATACCGGAGTTCTCTGTTGGTATCCATGTTTGTGGCTGACTGTTCTGTGGCAGAAAAACTATGATTTGGAACATTCCAAAGAAGTGAACTTAGATGAAGTTAAAAGGATAAGAAAGGAGGCTTTGAGTGTAGAAGAAACTTTATTTGTTGGGAGAATGAAGAGTTGGTCTAGGCCCAGCCCCACTTTTTGGAACCGCACAATGTGACACTTGCCAAGACATGTTTCTATTTTCCACTCACTACATCTTTGGTCTTTGTTCCCCTAATCAAACTAGGAATCAATACTGGTTTCCTTTGCCTACCTGCAATGCATTATCACTAATTTAGTGCCACATTTATCATCCCACAGTTTTGAAGGGCAGAAGTCCTAAATGAATTTCACTGGGTTAAAACTAGTGTCAGTAAACACATTTATTCTGGAGGATCTGTGGGGGAATCTATTCCCTGCCTTTTTACAGCTTCTAGACCTAACCTGAATTCCTTGTGTCCTGGCCTTCTTCTATCTTTGAAGCCAGCAAAAGTTAGCCAAGAATTTCTCAAATCACATCATTTGATTCTTCTATTTCTCTCTTCCTCATTTAAAGAATCTCTGCAATTCCACTGGGCCCACCCAGATAATCCAGTTAATCTCCCTAATTTAAGGTCAACTGATTAAAAACCTTAACTTCATCTCAACTTGAATTACCTTTGTCACGTAAGGTAACATATTCAAATATCCTGGGAATTAAGATGTAGATATTTAGGAATAGAGGTCTTAATTTTTTTTTTTTTTTTTTTTTTTTTGCCAATCTCAGGCTTCATTGTCAATGCTGTTGTGTTTGCTGAAGCCATATGTTCTGAAACCAAATGCACAACGAAAGTAATAAATGTCTGCCTCCAGAGTATAGGTATATTTTAATTTTTTGTCAACTATTCATAACATTTATTTCTCATTCTTATTATAGTTTACACCTATTGCCTGGACCAAAGTGATTACTGTATGTCTTAAATATTTTTTAGTTTTAAAATAAGTGGCTGATTTTCTGTATAAGACAACTATCTATATAAAATCATCTCAACCTTCCCATCAAAAATAGCTTTTAACATATCTTTCTAAATTCTCCCTCATTCAGAGACTTGAAACTGTTGCATTAGAGCACAGAATGATTTTTCCCATAAGACATATGGAAGAAGCGATGCTAAGAAATATTATAACACTTTTAGTCATTTGGTAAATGTGTCAGTTTCGGGTACAGAACTACATACTAAACAGTAGATGTTCTTACTCTTAGCAACATCTCTGGAGCTTCCACATTTAGAAGAGTACATTGCTTCTTAAAATTATGTGCACAACTCATTGAATTTTAAATGAGTGTACCTTATTTTAAACAAAAGAAAATAACTAATTGCCATTTGATGGAGCACTCCCTCAGATGCCTATATCAGGACAGATATGCAAAAAAAAGTGGAACAAATTTACACAAACCTCGTAAGTCAAAATATATGTACATCTAAGCATACTGAGTTGATTAAGATAAGAAAACACACTTTTTTTTCTTGAGGGTTTAGAGGTAAATTTATAGCTCACTGTAAAATAGAACATCAAATCTGCTATCAAAACAAGTACTCACAGCAACAGAAATGTAAGTTTGTTTTTCTATTTTTAAATTAAAAAAAAAATATTTAAGAGACATTTTCTCTCTGTTGCCCAGGCTGGAGTACAGTGGCACCACCATAGTTCATTGCAGCCTCAAACCCATGATCTCAGGCAATCCTCTCACTTTAGCTTCCTAAGTAGCTGGGGCTCAGGCATGTGGCACCATGCAGGACTGATTTTTTTATTTTTGCAGAGATGAGGTCTTGCTATGTTGCTCAAGATAGTCTTGAACTCCTGGCCTCCAACAATCCTCCTGTCTCAGCCTCCCAAAGTCCTGGGATTACAGCATGAACCACCGTGCCCAGGTCAAAGTTTTTTGTGTGTGGGTGTGTTTTTTTTTACTTATGTTTTTATTGTTTATATTATACCACAGAATAAAAGACAGTATATGACTGTTAATTTTTTTAAATTAATACATAGAAAAGTCCATTTAAATATTCCTAAAATTTGCTTTTTGTTTTGTTGTATTTGAGATGAAGCCTCGTTCTGTCACCCAAACTGGAGTGCAGTGGCATGATGGGCTTGGCTCTCTGCAACCTCTGCCTCCCAGTTTCAAGCAAATCTCTTGCCTTAGCCTCCTGAGTAGCTGGGACTACTGTTGTGTGCCATCACGCCTAGCTAATTTTTTGTATTTTTAGTATAGACGGGGTTTCACCATGTTAGCCAGGATGGTCTCAGTCTCCTGATCTTGTGATCTGCCTGTCTTGGCCTCCCAAAGTGCTGTGATTATAGGCATGAGCCACTGCCATGGCCCAAAACTGGTTTTTTAATGCAGTGTTTGCTACAAGGAGTGCACCCTTGTCACAGGAGCAAAAGTGTGTTTTTAAATATCAAATAAAGAGAATTCATTCCACTCACTTGTATTTACTTAGCTCCAGGGCCTCCTCATATAACGCGTGAACGCATGTTGACCTGCCAGGGTAAGAGAGAGGGGGATCAATTTGTGATTTGCCTGAGTAAGATTGTGCTTCCTTGTGACTCCTAAGGACTGCATTTTTAGCGCTGCCTCCACCTGCATATGAAGTTTACTCGTGCAAAGATGAAGATGAGAGAAGATCCACTCTCAGGGGAAGGGCACGTCAAATTCAGTCAATTCTTTTGACAACTGTGTGTGAGAACTAAAACAAAGTAGCTCACTTTGAGATCTGAGGCACAGCAATTAACAAGATAGATGAGATTCCCAGCTCAGTGGGACTCACATTATGGTGGAGAAAAATAAAATGTCATGGAAACTCACACAGAGCAGGATATCACCCATCTTGCTCTGGGAATGAAAACTTCAGCTGGAACTGGAGTGAGGAAAAGAAGTCCATCAGGCCCCAGAGGGTGGGCGTAGGGTCACATTGAGAGGGATGGTTTCAGTTGGAAGAAGGCTCCATACTCATAATGTGTTCAGATTATTTTCATTGTTCTCCAGAAGGCACAAGTAGTATTCCAAAATACCTGCTTATACTGAATATTCCCACCAAGTTTTCCATTTTCCAATTGCTGAGAGCCATAAGAAGTCTTCTGTAAATAAGATCTAGGTCATCTAAGTCAATCTACTAAATTTTCCCCTGAGAACACATTGACCCCTACCTTTCAAAGTTATTGTCAAAGCTGCTGTATCTTTGTTGTTTTATGTTCAACAACAAATGCTTGTTTATTAAATGTCTTCTTTAAGCTGGATAATGCTCCAGGCATGGCAGATTCAACACTAAGCAAGGAATGCAACACCCTCACCTTCTTGGGGGTTACAGAGAAGCCAGGGTGATGGTGGTGGTGGCAGTGGTGGTGGTGATGGTAATGATAATGGTGATGATTGTAGTGATAACAGTGGTGATGGTGATGGTGGTGGTAGTGATGATGGTGGTGATGTTGGTGATGGTTTGATGGTGATGGTGACGATGCTGATGATGGTGATAATTGTGGATGGTGATGATGATAGTGGTAGTGGTGATGGTGTTGGTGATGATGGTGGCAATGGTGCTGTTGATGGATGCTGATGATGATGGTGATAATGGTGGTTGGTCATGGTGATGGTGGTGATGGTGCTGAAGGTGGAGGTGGTGGTGTTTATGGTAGTGACAATGGTGGTTGTCTTAGTCCATTTTGTGTTGCTATTACTGAATACCACAGACTGGTTAATTTACAATAAACAGTAATGCGTTTGGCTCATGGTTCTGGAGACTAGAAATTCCAACAGCATGACACCAGTATGTGGTGAGGAACTTTGTGCAGTACAATTCAATGATGGAGGGCAAAAGGGAAAGAGGGTTGAGCTTGCTTTTATAACAAAGCCACTCTCAGCATAACTAACCAACTCTCATTATAATGACATTACTCCATTTATAAGGACAACATGACCTAATCACCTCTTCTTAGGCCTACCTCCCAGTACAATCCCATTGAATGTACTGTGATTTGTTTTCAGCACATGACCTTTGGGGGACACATTCAAACCATAGCACTAGTGATGTCAGTGAGGTTGGTAGTGTTGGTGGTAGATGGTGAAAGTGGAGGTGGCAGTGGTGTTTTGGAGTTGGGCAACAACATTGCACATTAGTGTATAAGAAAAATAACAGCAGTATATACTAAACAGAAAGTGGAAAATATAAAATGTAATGCAGTGGACCTGGGCTGCTACTTCAAATGAATGGCCAAGAAAGACCTCTTAAACATAGTGACATTTAAGCCAAGATCTCAAAGATGAGTGGCCTCACCAAGGGAATCCTGTGCTCCATATCCATGATTAAGATTATGTTGTACAGGTCTAAATGTTCAAGAATGTTAGTAATAGAGCATAAGCTCCTATAAAGTTTATGGTCAAAATATGAATGAGCTGGTTCTCCTGACAACTTTTTCCATCACACCACTAAACTCTATACAAGATAAAGGATTCAAATTAGTATTTAACACTTATTTTAAAGTCCACTTTGTGTCTCTCTACTCAATCATCTTTTCTTAGTTTTCTAGAAAGTTTTTCTGTTCCTATGAGCTTGGTGTAAGTAGAAAGCCTACTTCGTTTATTCTGGCATCTTATATTATTGAGAATATCTCTGCAAAATTGCATGTCATCTGTATAAAATAGTCTTTTTCTGGCCACTTCCTAACTATTAATTTAGCTGCCTTTGTGTGTTTTTAAATGAGGAACAAGCCGCCTAGTCTTCAGCTATGAAATGGAAAAATTACAGGGTAAGCAAATCAGTCACTCTTACCTTTTAGCCTTTGTCTTAATCCTCATTCACCTTTCCAATCTACTTTCAACTTGACACTGCTAATTTCCTGGCAAAGTATTAATTCCAAACCTAGAGAAGAAAAATTGCTAAAGCTTCACTGCAGTAGTGACTGTTGGTGCCCTGTTCATGTTCATTCTGCCATTTTATCCTTCAGGACACCTGTTGCCCATTTGAGAAGAATACTGCCTGCTAGCAGCTCAGAGCTGCACCATCTGCTCTCAGCCAAGTGAAAATACCTGAGAGTTTACATTTCTCCCCAGAACATCCTAAAGCCTATGACTGACATGAGATTGTTTCACTGATCTATTGATACATAGCAAACCAACCCATACCTAGTGGAATAAAACAACTACCATTTTCTTTGCTTATAAATTGAGTGGGTTGGTGATTTGGACTGGGCATATTGGGCAGAATCTGTCCTGATCCATGATGTATATACAGCCTCAACGGGGAAGACTCCAATAAGTGGGAGTGACCTGAAAAATTGGAAACTGGAATTATCTAGAGATTTATTTCCTCGCTTTCTTGTGCTTGGGCTAGCAAGACTCAAAATCTGGGCTCAGATGGGGCTGTTGAGAACACCTGCACATTGCTTCTCCATGTAGTTTGAGGTCCTTACAGCATGGCAGCCTCTAATTACCTGGATTTATACTGTGGTGAGTTGAAATTCCAGCAGTGAGTATGTCAGCAAACAAGGGAGAGCCCCTTTGGCCTTTTACGATCCAGCCTCAAAAGTCACATGGTATCCAGTAAGCACATGCAAGATCCTCAACATCACTAATCACTAGGGAAATACAAATCAAAACCACAAAGAGATTTCCTTTGCATCAATTAGCATGACTAGTATTAAAAAAATTACCCAGAAAGTAACAAGTGCTGCTGAAAAAGTGGAAAAATTAGAAAGCTTGTACTATTTGGAGAGTGTAAAATGGTGCAGCCATATGGAAAACCATTGAAATTCCTCTAAAAATTAAAAATAGGATTATGATATAAGCTATCAATTCTACTTTTAGATATATACTCCAAAGAACTGAAATCAGGGTATCAAAAACATAGTTGTCCATTCATGTTCATAGCAGCACTTTTTACAATGGCCAAAAGGGGGAAGCAACCCAGGCGTCCACCAATGGAAAAACAAATAAACAAAATTTTCCCTACCCATACAGTAGAGTATTATTCAGCCTTAAAAGAAAAGGAGATTCTGACACATGCTACAACATGTATGTACTAGGAGGACATTATACTTAGTGAAATAAGCTAGTCGCAAACGACAAGTTATTTAATGAATACAGTGTCTAATTTTGCAAGGTGTACAGAGTTCTGGAGATGGGAGGTGATGGTCACTGTATGACAACACAAACTTAACGCTATTGACCTGTTGATATGGTTTTCCTTGTCCCCACCTAAATCTCATCTTGAATTTCCACATGTTATTCAAGGAACCCAGTGGGAGGTATTTGAATTATGAGGGCAGATATTTCCCATGTTGTTCTTATGATAGTGAATAAGTCTCACAAGATCTGATGGTTTTATAAGGGGAGTTCCCCTGCACAAGCGCTTTTCTCTTTGCCTACCATCATTCATGTAAGATGTGACCTGCTCCTCCTTGCTTTCCACCATGATTGTGAGGTCTCCCCAACCACATGGAACTGTGAGTCAATTAAATCTTTCTTTTATAAATTGCCCAGGCTCAGGTATGTGTTTATCAGCAGCATGAAAGTGGACTAATACAACTGTACATTTAAAAACGGTGAAGATGGTAACTTTTATGTCACATGTGTTTTACAACAACTAAAACTTATTTTAAAGTGTCTTGTCATGTCCCTGTCACCATATTCTATTGTTGGAAGCAATCACTCTTCTGGCAATATTCAAGGGCAGGGGATGCAAACCCTGTCTCTTCATGAGAAGAGTGTCATAAATTTGCTGGGGTAGATGTTGGTTTTTTAGAGACAGAATCTTTCTCTGTTGCCCAGGCTGGAGTGCACAGGTGCAGTCATAGCTGTCTGCAACCTTAAGTTCCTGGGCTCAAGTGACTCTTGCCTCAGCCTCCCAGCTAGTTGGGATTATAGGCAGGCACTACCACACTTGGTTACTTGTTTTATTTTTATAGTATCTAAGCAGTTGGCAGGTGTGTGAGGTGGAATGTTCCACATGCATGCATTTATCCATCCTTACTCTATTAAGCCAACTGAGTGGATATTTCCTTGCTTTGCCACCAGCTCATAGGAATGAGATTATAAAGGAGCTCTCTTGACCTTTCCACCATGTTAAAATACACCAAGAAGTCACCATCCGTGAACCAGAAAGTGGGGCTGCACCAGTCACTGTATTTGCCAAAGCTTAATCTTGAAATTTCCAGTCTCCAGAATTTTGAGCAATAAATTTATGCATAGGAATGGTGGGTCATTGAACCTCATGCTCTGTGATTTTTGCAGGTGTTCACTGCAAGCCATGCCTGGTTAAACTACTGTGCCTTTTCTTTTCTTTTCTTTTCTTTTCTTTTCTTTTCTTTTCTTTTCTTTTCTTTTCTTTCTTTTTAAAACTTTTTACTTCAGTAGAATTTTGGGGGGAATGGGTGGTGTTTGGTTACATGAACAAGTTCTTTAGTGGTGATTTCTGAGATTTTGGTGCACCATCACTGAAGTAGTATACATTTTACCCAATATGTAGTCTTTTATCCCTCACCATCCTGCCACCCTTCCCTTGAGTTCCCAAAGTCCCCAAAAGTTTATTGTGTCATTCCTATGCTTTTGCATCCTCAGAGGTTAGCTCCTACTTATGAGTGAGAACATATAAGACTTCGTTTTTCATTCTAGGTGAAGTGAGTTGCTTCACTTAGAATAACAGTCTCTAATTCCACCCAGGCTCCTACCAATGCCATTATTTAATTCCTTTTTATGGTTGAGTAGTATGCCATTGCAACAAAAGCCAAAATTGACAAAAGGGATCTAATCAAACTAAAGAACTTCTGCACAGCAAAAGAAAGTATTATCAGAGTTAACAGGCAACGTAGAGAATGGGAGAAAATGTTTGCAATCTACCCATCTGACAAAGTTCTAGTATCCAGAATGTACAAGGAACTTAAAATCAATAACCCCATCAAAAAGTGGGCAAAGAATATGAACAGACACTTCTCAGGAGAAGACATTTTTGAAGAAAAGCTCATCATCATTAGAGAAATACAAATCAAAACCACAATGAGATACCACCTCACGCCAGTTACAATGACGACCATTAAAAAGTCAAGAAACAACAGATGCTGGAGAGGATGTAGAGAAATAGGAATGCTTTTACACTGTTCATGGGAGTGTAAATTAGTTCAACCATTGTGGAAGACACTGTGGAGATTCCTCAAGGATCTAGAAACAGAAATATCATTTGACCCAGCAATTCCATTACTGAGTGTATACCCAAAGCATTATAAATCATTCTATTATAATGACACATGCACATTTATGTTTCTTGCAGCACTGTTCACAGTAGAAAAGACTTGGAAACAATCCAAATGCCCATCCATGATAGGCTGGATAAAGAAAATGAGGCACTTATACACCATGGAATACTATGGTATCTATCCCTGGAGGCTTGATTTGGCAGGTTATGAGTGGGAACCAGGAATCTCTCTAGATGAATCTGATGAGATGATGGATTTGGAAAAATAAAGGTCTGTATTATTCCAAGATGGTATGAAAGCTTCTATACTCCACTGGGGACATGGGGTTGGGTAATTACCCTATTAATGACCCTATGATGCTCCCTGTGTTAGTATGTTTGTTTGAATTTTCTCCAATTAATTTTGCCTTTTGTGAGTTGATTTTTCAGAGCAAAAAGGGAATGTTTTCCCATGGCCTCTGCAAGGATAATAAATTCAGATGTAACATAAAAAATTTTGGAAATTTTGGGAGAATTTATACTTTTAAATATCCAAGAATTTGTCTTAGGAAAAAAAAAGGAATAGTATTGGAAGGAGGATGCAGGAAGAATGAGAGAGAAACAGAGATACAGAGATTGGGGAAAGTGAGGTTGAAGGAGGGTTTGTACACATCTGACATGCTGGAGAGATAGTGAGGAGATCAATTGGGGGAATGTGAGCTTAGGCAGTTCTAGTGTGTGCCTATTCGAGACACTGGTGAAATAATGGAATTATCTTTTTAGAGCTTCTCTGGATATAGGAGATGGTTTCCATTTGAATGGAATGCTGCCATGCTGAGCCAGGAAATAAGGCTTTCCTTAAAGGTGCCTTATAGATCATCAACCTTTTGAAAAACTTGCCAATCAGTGACCTTGCTGCATCTGCACTCAACTATTTAGGTTGGTGCACAGGTAATTTAAGTTTTGCCATTACTTTCTTCCTTTTCTTTTTAATTTGATGATTTTTAGTAAATTTACCAATCTGTGTGGTTATCAACACAATCCAGTTTTAGAACATTTCCATCACTCTGGCAAGATGCTGTATGCCAATTTACAGTTAATCCTTGTTCCTGTTCTCTGTCTCAGAAAATCGCTATTCTCTGTTGTCTTTAGAAGTTTGCATTTTCTGAACATTTTAAAAATGGAATCATGCAATATGTAGGTTTTTGTGTGTGCCTTCTTTAGTTCAGCACAATGTTTTTTTTTTATTATTATACTTTAAGTTCTAGGGTACATGTGCACAATGGGCAGGTTTGGTACATAGGTATACTTGTGCAATGTTGGTGTGCTGCAACCATTAACTCATCATTTACATTAGGTATTTGTCCTAATGCTATCCTTCCCTCAGCCCCCTACCTCAACACAGGCTCCAGTGTGTGATGATCCCCACCCTGCGTCCAGGTGTTTTCTCTGTTCAATTCCCACCTGTGAGTGAGAACATGCAGTGTTTGGTTTTCTGTCCAAACACTTTGTTTGGACAGAAAAAAACACTTTGTTTTTTGTGATAGTTTGTTCAGAATGATGGTTTCCATCTGCATCCATGTCCCTGCAAAGAACATGAACTTATCTTTTTGATGGCTGCATACTATTCCATGGTGTATATGCGCCACATTTTCTTAATCCAGTCTATCACTGATGGACATTTGAGTTGGTTTCAAGTCTTTGCTCTTGTGAATAGTTCCACAGTAAACATACGTGTGCATGTGTCTTTATAGTAGCATGATTTATAATCCTGTGGGTATATACCCAGTAATGGGATGTCTGGGTCAAATGGTGTTTCTAGTTCTAGATCCTTGAGGAATTGCCACACTTTCTTCCACAATGGTTGAACTAGTTTACACTCCCACCAACAGTGTAAAATCATTCCTATTTCTCCACATCCTCTCCAGCATCTGTTGTTCCCTGACTTTTTAATGAAAGTCATTCTAACTGATGTGACATGGTAACTCATTGTGGTTCTGATTTGCATCTCTCTGATGATCAGTAATGATGAGCATTTTTTCATGTGTCTGTTGGCTGCATAAAAGTCTTCTTTTGGTAAGTGTCTGTTCACATACTTTGCCCACTTTTTAATGGGGTTTTTGTCTTTTTCTAAGTTCTTTGTAAATTCTGGATATTAGTCCTTTGTCAGATAGGTAGACTGCAAAAATTTTCTCCCATTCTGTAAGTTGCCTGTTCACTCTGATGGTCGATTCTTCTGCTGTGCAGATGCTCTTTAATTTAATTAGATCCCATTTGTCAATTTGGCTCCTGTTGCCATTGCTTTTGGTGTTTTAGTCATGAAGTACTTGTCCATGCCTAATTCCTGAATGGTATTGTCTAGGTTTTCTTCTAAGGCTGTTATGGTTTTAGGTCTAACATTTAAGTCTTTAATCCATCTTGAATTAATTTTTGTGTAAGGTGTACGGAAGGGAACCAGTTTCAGCTTTCTACATATGGCTAGCCAGTTTTCCCAAAACCATTTATTAAATAGGGAATCATTTCCCCATTTCTTCTTTTTATCAAGTTTGTCAAAAATCAGATGGCTGTACATGTGTGGCTGCATAATTATCTTCTTTCTGAGGCCTCTGTTCTGTTCCATTGATCTATATCTCTGTTTTGGTACCAGTACCATGCTGTTTTGGTTACTGTAGCCTTGTATTATAGTTTGAAGTCAGGTAGTGTGATGCCTCCAGCTTTGTTCTTTTTGTTTAGGATTGTCGTGGCAATGCGTGCTCTGTTTTGGTTCCATATGAACTTTAAAGTTGTTTTTTTCCAATTCTGTGAAGAAATTCATTGGTAGCTTGGTGGGGATGGCATTAAATCTATAAATTACCTTGGGCATTATGGCTATTTTCACAGTATTGATTCTTCTAACCATGATCATGGAATGTTCTTCCATTTGTTTGTGTCCTCTTTTATTTTGTTGAGCAGTGGTTTGTAGTTCTTCTTGAACAGGTCCTTCACACCCTTTCTAAGTTGGATTCCTAAGTATTTTATTCTCTTTGTAGCAATTGTGAATGAGAGTTCACTCATGATTTGGTTCTCTGTCCATCTGTTATTGGTGTATAGGAATGCTTGTGATTTTTGCACATTGACTTTGTATCCTGAGACTTTGCTGAAGTTGCTTATCAGCCTAAGGAGATTTAAGGCTGAGATGATGGGGTTTTCTAAATATACAATCATGTCATCTGCAAACAGGGACAGTTTGACTTCCTCTTTTGCTAATTGAATATACTTTATTTCTTTTGCCCAATTGCCCTTGCTAGAACTTCCAACACTATGTTGAACAGGAGTGGTGAGAGAGGGAATCCCTGTCTTGTGCCAGTTTTTAAAGGGAATTCTTCCAGTTTTTGCACATTCAGTATGATATTGGCTGTAGGTTTTTCAAAAATAGCTTTTATTATTTTGAGATATGTTCCATCAATACCTAGTTCATTGAGAATTTTTAGCATGAAGGGCTGTTGAATTTTGTGAAATGCCTTTTCTGCATGTATTGAGATAATCATGTGGTTTTTGGCCTTGGTTGTGTTATATGATAGATTATGTTTATTGAAGTGAATTGTTGAAGTAGGCTTGCATCCCAGGGATGAAGCCAACTTGATCTTGGTGGATAAGCTTTTTGATGTGCTGCTGGATTTGGTTTGCCAGTATTTTGTTGAGGATTTTTTCATCAATGTTCATCAGTGATATTGGTCTAAAATTCTCTTTTTTTGTTGTGTCTCTTCCAGCCTTTGGTATCAGGATGATGCTGGACTCATAAAATGAGTTAGGGAGGATTCCCTCTTTTTCTATTCATTGGAATAGTTTCAGAAGGAATGGTACCAGCTCCTCTGTATACCTCTGGGAGAATTAGCCTGTGAATCTGTATGGTCCTGGAATTCCTTTGCTTGGTAAGCTATTAATTGTTGCCTCAATTTCAGAACCTTTTACTGGTCTATTCAGAGATTCAATTTATTTCTGGTTTAGTCTTGTGAGGGTGTATGTATCCAGGAATTTATCCATTTCTTCTAGCTTTTCTAATTTATTTGCGTAGAGGTATTTACAGTATTCTCTGATGGTACTCTGTATTTCTATGTGGTCGGTGGTGATATCTCCTTGATCATTTTTTATTGCATTTCTTTGATTCTTCTCTCTTTTCTTCTTTGTTAGTCTTGCTAGCAGTCTATTAATTATGTTGATCCTTTAGAAAACAAGCTCCTGGATTCATTGATTTTTTAAGGGTTTTTTTTTTGTTGTTGTTTCTATCTCCTTCAGTTCTGCTCTGATCTTAGTTATGTCTTACCTTCTGCTGCCTTTTCAATTTGTTTCCTCTTGATTCTCCAGTCCTTTAATTGTAATGTTAGGTTGTTGATATTAGATATTTCCTGCTTTCTCCTGTGGGCATTTGGTGCTATAAAATTCCCTCTACACACTTCTTTAAATGTGCCCAAGAGATTTTGGAACCTTGTGTGTTTGCTGTCATTGGTTTCAAAGAAAATCTTTATTCTGCCTCCCTTTCGTTATTTACCCAGTAGTCATTCAAGAGCAGGTTGATCAGTTTCCATGTAGTTGTGTGGTTTTAAGTGAGTTTCTTAATTCTGAGTTTTAATTTCATTGCACTGTAGTCTAAGAGAGAGTTTGTTGTGATTTCTGTTCTTTTACATTTGCTGAGGAGTGCTTTTCTTCCACCTATGTAGTCAATTTTGGAATAAGTATCATGCGGTGATGAGAAGAATGTATATTCTGTTGATTTAGGGTGGGGAGTTCTGTAGATGTCTATTAGGTCTGCTTGGTGCAGAGGTGAGTTCAAGTCTTGGATATTCTTGTCAACCTTCTGTCTTTTTGATCTGTCTAATATTGACAGTGGAGTGTTAAAGTCTCGCATTATTATTGTGTGAGAGTCAAAGTCTCTTTGTTGGTCTCTAAGGACTTGCTTTATGAATTTGGGTGCTCCTATATTGGGTGCATATATATTTAGAATAGTTTGCTTTTCTTGTTGAATTGATCCCTTTACCATTACGTAATGGCTTTCTTTGTCTTTACTGATCTTTGTTGGTTTAAAGTCTGTTTTATCAGAGACTAGGGTTGCAACCCCTGCACTTTTTTTTTTTTTTTTTTTTTGCTTTCCATTTGTTTGGCAGATCTTCCTCCATCCCTTTACTTTGAGCCTATGTGTGTCTCTGCGTGTGAAATGGGTCTCCTAAATACAACACACTGATGGGTCCTGACTCTTTATTCAATTTGCCAGTCTGTGTCTTTTAATTGGAGCATTTAGCCCATTTACATTTTGTTACATGTGAATTTGATCCTGTCATTATGATGTTATGTGGTTATTTTGCCCATTAATTGATACAGTTTCTTCCTAGCATCAATGGTCTTTACAGTTTGGCATGCTTTTGCAGTGGCTGGTACCAGTTGTTCTTTTCCATGTTTAGTGCTTCCTTCAGGAGTTCTTGTAAGGCAGGCCTAGTGGTGACAAAATCTCTTAGCAATTGCTTGTCTGTAAAGGATTTTATTTCTCCTTCATGTATGAAACTTAGTTTGGCTAGGAATGAAATTCTGGGTTGAAAATTCTTTCCTTTAAAAATGTTGAATTTTGGCCCTCACTCTCTTCTGGCTCGTAGAGTTTCTGACAAGAGATCCACTGTTAGTCTGATGTGCTTCCCTTTGTAGGTAACCCAACCTTTCTCTCTGGCTGCCCTTAACATTTTTTCCTTCATTTCAACCTTGATGATTCTGACAATTACATGTCTTCAAGTTGCTCTTCTCGAGGATTATCTTTGTGGTGTTATCTGTATTTCCTGAATTTGAATGTTGGCTGGACTTGCTAGATTGGGGAATTTCTCCTGGATAATATCCTGAAAATTGTTTTCCAACTTGGCTCCATTCTCCCTGTCACTTTCAGGTACTCCAATAAAATGTAGATTTGTTCTTTTCACATATTCCCATATAGTTTGGAGGCTTTGTTCATTTGTTTTTACTGTTTTTTCTCTAAAGTTCTCTTCTCACTTCATTGCATTGATTTGATGTTCAATCACTGATACCCTTCCTTCCACTTGATCAAATTGGCTATTGAAGCTTGTGCCTGCATCGTGTAGTTCTTGTGCCATGGTTTTTAGCTCCATTAGGTAATTTAAGGAGCTACACTGTTCATTCCAGTTAGCCATTCATCTAATCTTTTTTCAAGGTTTTTAGCTTCCTTGCAATGGGTTTGAACATCCTCCTTTAGTTTGGAGAAGTTTGTTGTTACCAACCTTCTGAAGGCTACTTCTGTCAGTTAGTCAAAGTCATTCTCCATTCAGGTTTGTTCCATTGCTGGCAAGGAGCTGCAATCATTTGGAGGAGAGGAGGTGCTCTGTTTTTTAGAATTTTCAGCTTCTCTGCTCTGGTTTCTCCCTATCTTTGTGGTTTTATCTACCTTTGGTCTTTGATGTTAGTGACCTACAGATGGGGTTTTGGTGTGGTTCTCCTTTCAGTTATGTTGATGCTCTTCCTTTCTGTCTGTTTAGTTTTCCTTAAAATGGTCAGGTCCCTCAGCTGCTGGTCTGTTGGTGTCTGCCGGAGGTCAACTCCAGACTGTATTTTCCTGGGTATAACCAGTGGAGGCTGCAGAACAGCAAATATTGCAGAACAGCAAATATGGCTGCCTGATCCTTCCTCTGGAAGCTTCATCCCTGAGGGGCATCTGCCTGTAGGAGGTGTCAGTCAGCCCCTACCGGGAGGTGTCTCCCATTTAGGCTACACTGGAGTCAGGGACCCACCTGAGGAGGCAGTCTGTCCATTCTTAGAGCTCAAATATCGTTCTGGGAGAAAGACTGTTCTCTTCAGAGCTGTCAAACTGGGACATTTAAGTCTGAAGAAGTTTCTGCTGCCTTTTGTTCAGCTATGCCCTGCCTCCAGAGGTGGAGCCTACAGAGGCAGTAGGCCTGGCTGAGCTGCGGTGGGCTCCATCCAGTTCAAACTTTCCTGGCTGCTTTGTTTACCTACTCAAGCCTCAGCAATGGCGGATGCCCCTCCCGCCAGCAGGCTGCTACTTTGCAGGTCGATCTCAGGTTGCTGTGCTAGCAGTGAGCAAGGCTCCTTGGGCATGGGAACTACCTGCCAGACATGGAATATAATCTCCTGGTGTGCCATTTGTAAGACCGGTAGAAAAGCACAGTATTTGGGAGGGAGTGTCCCGTTTTTCTAGGTACCATCTATCATGGCTTCCCTTGGCTAGGAAAGGGAAATCCTGTGACCCGTTGCACTTCCCAGGTGAGGCAATGCCCTGCCCTGCTTCAGCTCACCCTCCATGAGCTGCACCCACTGTCCAACAAGAACCAGTCAGATGAACAAAGTACCTCTGGTGGAAATGCAGAAATCACCCGTCTTCTACATCAGTCATGCTGGGAGCTGCAGACCGGAGCTGTTCCTGTTCAGCTATCTTGGAACAGACCCTGCCATTACTTCCAGTGGCAAAAACTGCAATTACTTTTGCAACAACTTAAACTTCAGCTCTTTCTTTCCTGAATTGAAATTATTTGTCCATGAGTCAGATCTGTCCTCAGCACCTCACCTTTGTCCCCTGACTCCCATTGCAGTTTGGCTTCTCATGCTTATTATTATAACTGATGCCAAAAGGCAAAGTCTTCTCATGTCTTTTGCACCCAGGGTAGCAAGATGCAGGACCATGTAAAATGTTAATAGTGTGTCTGTAATACACACACAGCCACATATAGCACCATCTTTATGAAGGCTTAAGATGATGTAGTCATTTTCCTTGTCATTTCCATGGGAAGCTGCTCTTGGTCACACAGGGAAGGCCCCAGTTCCCTATCCAAAGTGGCATCAAGGAGATGCTATAACAAAAAATGAAATGCAATTAGGGACCTGCTATTCCTATTCGAATGCTTAATATCAGCCTCATGGTTGGCACTATCCATCCCAGATGCCAGCCAATGTAGCAAATTGTGTAGGTGATCCCAGCGTCTGAACCTAGCTGAACACAGTTGGCTAGCTCATTCCCCCTGTATATTAGGAACTGAACGTGGGATTGTATCATCACCTTGGAATGGCCACTGAGAGGTGTCCCAGTGCCGTTGTGAGAGGCGGCCTGCTGGGTTTTGAGAATGGCACAGCCAATTCATGCACATGTCTGCCGGAATCAACAGGGAAGGGGTTTTCTGGCTCTTCTCCTGACCTTCAGCATGTGTAGAGGTTCTGAGGAGAGAGGAGTGCTTGATGAAGCTCTCAGAGTCTTTTGCATCCATATGGCCAGTATTTTAGCTTTTCTAGCTGCAAATGGTATTCCTGCTCAAATACATGTCCTTTTATTCTATAAAAAAAGTGAAATGTTCCTTTTTTGTTGAAATTGCAACTATATGGGAAAGTTATTTTTGCTTTGGAACAAACTGATAGGGAAGAAAAATCATCCCAAGGGGCCACCTCAACTGGTATCTAACTCCTTTGCAAGCTGGAAATAATTGAAAGAAAGGGCTTCTGCTATAGACTAGAGATCCTCAGAAACTAAAATGCATATAGTGTTCACTGCACAAATGCCTTCAATGCACCCCCCTTAGTTTCTATCACATTGCCATCCCAATTATTCAACACTGCCAGAGATGTGTTCTGTAGAATTGTCATGAACTGTCGGTTAAACTGAGATGCTTTAAAGTGTCAATGGCAAAAGTTTGTTCCTTCAAATTTGCTCAAAACTATGCACATGCAAACTTTAGTGGGTGGGCTCTCACATTTATCATTAATCCATGTCTTAGTGATTTATTATTATCGATATGAGCATGACATATCCATATGAGTGTGTCAAAACTATAGCTATAAATACAGATGTGCATATTGGTGTTGAGAATGGAACCAGCAATAGCTGGTTATGATTTTTGAGGACATTCACTGGAACGTTGCATTCACAAAATGTCTGTAATCCTTCCTCAATTTCTGAGACTTGCTGCAAACTCATAAAAGCAAGTGAAGGATAGGCTAATTTTCAGGACAATATAATATGGCTGATTTTATGCAAAATTAATTACAGCATTACAGACAGAACTGTTCTTTGCCCAAGTGGTTTTCTCATCTGCCCGCAAAATCATTTTATCCCTTCCCGTTGTCAGCATCCTGGGCTTTATTGGTATCATTCAAACCACTTCATCATCATTAACAAACTGGACTGTGGGCACCATCTCGGCCAGGTCGGTACTTTCCTCTGCCTTCCTTCTACTGGTACTGAGATAAAGAAGAAATTCTGTCTTCTACTTTAAGAATCCATACTGAAGGAAGGGCATGGTCCAAAGTCCACAGTTGTTTTATCCATACCAATAGAAGTACTGAGGGCAAAGATGATGCAGCACATGATGACTCAGAGCCCTTCCATATGTGTTTGAGATGTCTGTGCTTACCAATATTGCATGAAGTACATCCTGTTTCTCAGGCTCTGGATTCATGAAACAGAGCTGGGAAAATGGAGCTCTGGAAATGGCTGATACTTGATTTAAAGGTTAAATTAAAACTAGGAGTACAGCAAGGGTAAGATTTCCCATGGTAGCTACATGATGGGCTAAATGTATCCTCAAGTTTTCTCTGTAGAAGTTGGTTCCATTCTTAATCACAAAGTGATCCACAGGTCCAGTCAATAAGGCAATGGGAGCAGTCTCTTGACTGCAAAGCATATTAGGATGTGAGAATCACTATGGAGCACATGTGTATGATTCTGGTTTCCACTGCCAGAACCCCTGGGTTCAAAATTTGACACTGCCAGGAACTGCTCATTTGAAGAATTACAGCAATGTGCTGGGCTTCCATTGCTTTCTCTCTGAAATGAGGGTATTTAGAGCATGCTATTGTTTCTGGAATATTACATTTGAGTAAGGGAGAGATTTCCTCTTCTGGACAAGAAAGAATAACATAGATTGGCTTAACTCTCCTAACTGAAACAACCAGAAAAACAAACAAAATATATGAAAAAGTGGTTTCCTGAGTCTAGAAATAGGACAATGAAGGACAGTGCTCCCTGAGAGCCAGGAAATGAACAAGGTGAGCACCATGTTTGACACAGCTGACTGCCTTGACAGGGCTGTAGGACACACAAACCACTGGGGAAAGAACCATCTGAAATAGAGAAAATAGTGTGTGGTGCTCACACAGGGCTGGAAAGAGTGCCCGTTTCCACCAGCCAGACTAAAAAAAAACCTTGTAATTCATGAGCCATTTGGCTAGACTACTCAGAAAGGTCTTGTGTGAATAGTGGGGAATATTTATCTGCAGTCTGAGTCCTGCTCTGAATCTTCCCAATGATTCGCAATAGCAAGGCTCCAACATGCCAAATATCTCCAAGTAAATTAACCTAAAGTGAGCAGATTGCTCAAATATATTTGGAGGAATACAAAAATATCTGGCATACTAAAAAGAAGATTCATAGCGTTTGGCATCCAATCAAAAATGTCTAGGCATGCAAAGAAGCAGGAAAAGCTCATCAGCGGACACTGACCCACAATGGATGCATATGTGAGATCATATTTTTGGGTCTCAAGATTTTGCCCTTTGTTTCCTTCTCAAAGTCTTGTGGTTTTAGGTTTTATATAAAGGTCTATGATCTATCTTGAGTAACATTAGGATGCATGTATGTTTATTTATGTGTATTATTTGTAGGCATGAACTGAAGTTTATTTTTTTGCATATGAATATCCAGTTGTTCCAACACCATTTGTTGAAAACACTATCCTTTTTTCACCGAATTGCTTTGTACATTTGCCAAAATCAGTTGTGCATATATGTGTCTATGCTATTCCATTGATCTAATTTGTCTATCTTTATGCCAATACCACACTCTTTTGATTACTACAGCTTTCTAACACAGCTTGAAATCAAATAGCATTAGTCTTCCAATGTTGTTCTTTTTTTTTTCAAAGTTTAACATCTTAACATTATTAGGTCTTCCAACAAATGACCAATTTATATCTCCTCATTTACTTACATCTCCTTTTATTTCTCTCAAGAATACTTCTGTAGTTCTCAGGGTGCAGCTCTTATACATATCTTTCAAATTTGTTCCAGAATATTTCATATTTCTGATGCTATCAAAAATGGTATTAATTACTTTAAATTTTGATTGTTCAACTAGTACATAAAAATAGTACATTATTTTTGTATATTGAACTTGTGTCCTGTCACTTTGCTAAACTCAATTTGTAATAGTTCTAGTAGCTTTTTTGGGTATTCAAATTGGATTTTTGTTTATGCTGTCTATGCATAAAGATGGCTTTACCACTTGTTTTGTAATCTGAGTGCCTTCTATTTTTATTTTGTTACTGCACTAGTTCTGATTGCTAGTAAAATGTTGAATAGAATGGGGAAAGTGGGCATTTGTATTTTGTTCCTGAATTTAAAGAAAAGTATTCAGTTTTTACCATTAACAAGAATTTTAGATTTTTAGTAGATTCCCTTTATCAGGTTTGTTGAAAGAGTTCCTTTCTATTCCTACTCAGCTGTAGGATTTTAATCATGGCTGGAGATGGGGTTTTTAAAAAATGCTTTTTCTACATCTGTTGAGATGGCCATGTTGTTGGATATTTTTGCTTTTCCCTCATTTTAGTTTGACAATATTGTGGTTAACACTGATTGGTCTTCAAATGTTTTGAAACAATATTATATTTCAAATTACTTCTTACTTCTGTGATATAACCTAGGATTCTTTGTCTGAGTGTCTGTGCATGATTAAATAGATCACAGTATCACATTCTGCCAGGACCCACATGGCTGCAATGTACTCTTTTACTAGCAGAGTAGCACCTGAATCTGAGCAATGCCTCAGAGGCGATGGAACTGAACAGGAGTGAATCTGCCTGGGCATGAAGGGCTCTCTTAGAAAATAGTGTGATTGCAGTTTATGTTCTCGGGTGTAATTACGTAGGAGGATTTTTTCAGTCTTCTGTAAGCAGGAAGACAGTGTTCCCCACTACTCAGAGAACTGTTGTAGGTGTTCTTCCTGTTTTTTTTAAAATGAGAGCTGTGGCCAGCCTGTCAGAGCACATCCTCTTCTCTCGGGCACATTCGGGATTTGCTTACTGGTCTGTTCACCTTGATAGAAGTTACTCTTCTCTGTCTGCTATATAAATTAACTCCATTCGGTGGAATTTCTATTTCCCAAAATTCCGCTTCTGTCTTAAAATCTTTTCCAAGTATGGCTTCTCTTTACATATTTGGTGCACACTTCAGTGATTACAAAGGTACTCCAAGGTCCTGCCATGATACTGAACAAAATTCAGCTGCAGCAAAAGTGATCAAGGAAGGCAGCAAAGGATTATCATTGTGGAGATGTAGTACAACCTTCCAGCTGTGAAACCTTGCACACATCACTGCATATATCTGTGCCTGACTTTTCTGAACCTGAATTACTCAGTGAACAGGGCACCTTGCAGTTTGAATGACCCTCAAGCTCTCAGAACTTCTCCAACTTTAAATCACCTTATTCTAAGAGAGAACTGTATTTGCTAACCCCAAGGGAGACAAGCTTGTCACTTCAGCCTTCCCTTTATTTAAAAAAGGTAACTTGTGCTAATTCTCCAGTACATAGCACTTAAGTCATTTCATCACAGAAAGATCTTTAGGGGTAAAGTGATAAATATACTATGTCAACTTGGAACATTTATTTAGCACTTTTCACTGTGAAAACTTCAGATTTCTCAGGTCAGCAAAGACAGGCTTTTGTTTAATCGTTTTGCATCATCAGATATCAATCTGCAGGGTGGAGGACACATCATTTAGGAAAAGGTGAAAGGGAAGGTAGGGACACCTCATTTAACAGAAATTTCTGCTGAAGCCCTAAGTTAGTGTGTTGGTCTTCCCCATAAGCCTTCTGGCTTTTAGAGAACAGAAACTGCTTATTCTTTTATTAAGCTGGGGGAGGACTTCTAAACTGCATAACCTCTCAGAACTATAAATGTGTATTGTTTCTATCCATCTGGACCTTCCCAAGGCCCCAGCAGCCTGCCCAAGGCTTCATTATCCTTGTAACAATCATGGCACAGTATTGATGGGAAGAAAAGCTGCTGGCTCGTGCTCCTTGCCTACAGGGAATGGTGCTGATTCCTGTTGCAAATCAGATTCATTATCAGAGGCCCATCAAGTCACAGTGTCCCCTTCCCTGCTGTCTCTTGGGCCTGCAATGTCAAAGACGTGGCAGAAATGCCACTATTCGCTACTCCTCTGCTTTGGCCAGATGCACTGATGGATCATTCAATTCTTTGACACAGATCTGTGCCCTCAGCTCCTTCTGATAGAGTGCCAGATATCCAGCGTCACCTTTGCAGTTTGGGAAGTGGCCCCCAGCATCCACCCTGTGCACTTTCCTTGATCTTGTCCATGGTGCTGAGATTCTGTGTGGCCCCCATGCCAATGATCTCGCTCTGTGGGTCTCCATCCAGGGTGATGCCTGCCCTCCTACCACCTGTGAACATTTGGTAATATCTAGAGACATTGTTGGTTTCCATCATTGGGAGCAGGTGCAACTGACATGTAGTAGGAAGAGGCCAGGGACGATACTATGCATTCCATGTTGCATAGACACCCTCCCACAGAAAACAATAATCTTGTTAAATGTCAGTAGTGCTGATGGTACACAGATGATGTCTCACAGCACAGAATGATCTTCCTAAATGTCAGTAGCACCAAGGCTGGGGAACCCTGGTGTGTCCGACAAGGAAACCTGGGATTCTCTCTCCTCTAGGATTGGACTCTGTCCCATGGTGCTGTCTGCAATGACTGGGATTTTGATACCTAAATCTTCCCGGAGGAAGAAATCTTTCCTCAGGAAACTTAATTATCCTGCCAATGCTCACCAGCTGGAGTTTGACTTCGTATTTTTGTTGGTTTCCAAGAAACCTCTCATTGCATTCCCTCAGGTATCCATGATACTCAAACCATGCATGTGTATAGCACACTATGTTTAGCTTGCACAGCATCTCATGCCAGAACCATTTATGGCAGATTGTTTCAGCTCATTCTCCCATCGCAGGCCTGCTCCCCTATGCCTAGTTACCAGCAGGTCTCCCAGTTGAGCCTGCTGCATCAGGATAAAACTGTGGCCACAAGCCAACACTGAACACTGCCACCTGCAGAAGCTGGCTCAAGTGCTGCCTGCTAACAACCGAATAAGTAAATTTTTGCTGCAGAACCAACCATGTATACAGGTCTTCAATATCTTTCTGAGCTTATCCTAAGAGAGCTTTTTCACACTTCATTTGCAAAGCAGGATGACACATATATGTCTTAAGTAGAATATATATATATATATATATATATATATATATATATATATACACACACACATATATATATATACACACAGAGAGAGAATATATATTATATAAACAGAATATATATATTCCCAATAAAGGGAATATATTATTTTATTTATAGACTATATATATAGACACTATTATTCTATATATAGCATATATAGAGAAGTCTATATATTGTCCTAGCAAACTCATACAGACTTATTATTCTCTATATAGTCTAAATATTAACAGACTACTATTATGAATAGTCTACTATTATTAGTAGTCTACTATTATTAGTAATAATAAACTATATATGGAATTACAATATAGTCATCTAAGATTTAAGTTTTATTTGTCTTCATGTTCTTTGTCAGACAATGATCTGTAAATAAGTACTACAATGTTGTCATGTTGCATATGTAAACACTATTTGATGTTTGTTTAAACATGACTTTAAGTAATGTTGTAAAAATGACTACTGTGGTATGTGTGTGTTTTATTGCTAATTAGTACTTTTGTTTATATTATTCATTGATCCATCCGTCTGTCCGTCCATCTCTATCTCTACCTCTATCTATCTATCTATCCATATCTATCTATCCGTATCTATCTATCTATCTATCTATCTATCTATCTATCTATCTATCTATCTATTCCTGCCTTCCTCCTGCTCTCCCTTCATCCAACCATCCACCTGCCCACATCCACCTACCTACAAGTAAGCCAGATGTTGTGCTGCATTGAGTTAAGTAATAGTGCTGATGTGGGGGTCAGTATCTCCTGTAAACTGCAGTTTTAAGGTTTTACTGAATCAATAGTGCTGTGAAAATCAAACTATAAAACCTATACTGATATAAACTGTTTACAACAAAATCCTCTAGAGTTACAAGATAGTAATGAATGAACTGCACCTCTAAGTTGGTTCTCTCATTTGTAGAGAAAAGCCTTTGAAAAACTTCAGGATTTAACAACTTGGTTGAGGGGTGGCAGGAAAGCTTCCTAATGAATTCTCTCTGTGTCATTTTATTCATAAAAAGCACATGACGGGCATTCTTAGCATGCATATCAAAGTGTATATACGTAAATTAAGCAGTGAGCAAAAGACTTTAAGACAGCTCAGAAAACCTTCCCGATTTCCTCTTTTAATGGTGCAGATACCGTGTCCACCATCTGTCAGACAGCAGTGAAAACCCAGCAAGGCCCTGAAAGGGGCTGACTGTCTTAGAGTCAAAAACAAACCTCAAGTTTCTAGATGGTCACTAGAAATCATTTTCTTTTTCCACTTCCTCTGGGTAAATTGTGTTAATTCATTTTCCATAGTCTTCTGCATGAGACTTATGATCTGCAGGTGTGACAGAAGGCCCTATCAGTTTTGTGTGTTTAGAGGGACACTATGACTTCAGACAGACTCAGGAAGATTAGCCATGTACAGGAATAAAATGCTCTAACCTGTAGAGCAGCAAGTTGTGTTTATTTTCAACAGCACATTTGATTATAGAAAAAACACATTTAGATGCCTTAGATGAGACCTGCTTGTGGTATGCTTGCTGTATAACATGACTACACACACTGTTAGGACAGCAAAAGCACAGTGAAGTTTTGCCTGCCTTTGAGAGAAGCTACAGAGGAGGCTTCCCCAAACAGGATTATCATGGCACAAAGAGAGTTCCTTTGCTGGCCTGTGTGAGTGATTTTTCCATGTCATCTCCAAATGTGCCATGTAGAAGAAGCTGCCATTTATAATGAGAACTGATAAACAGAGAGAAAAGCACCTAAGAAATTCATTGGACCTGAAGGGGATTAAAAGACTTCATGATTAAATGAGCTAGTGGATGAGCTAATGAGCTGTCTGTATGGTGAGCATGTGGTAGCTGGCAATGCAGAGGCCTCTCTTTGGTCCTCTCCTTGGTCCTTTCCATCCCAACACCCTTTG
The DNA here is from genome assembly GCF_000001405.40 of Homo sapiens. Lineage (NCBI taxonomy): Eukaryota > Metazoa > Chordata > Mammalia > Primates > Hominidae > Homo > Homo sapiens. The sequence goes on from NC_000024.10 coordinate 15,331,234, forward strand.
TGCATGGCCCAGAAACCTACTCAACAGGAGATGAGAGGCCGTTAAAAGAGGAATAGTGGACCAGGGATTCATCCATCAGTATTTCCTCCACATAAAGCACAGGGCACAGTGCCATCTTAGAATTTCTCTAGTCAAGCATAAAGAAGATATTTGAAGGCAAGCCATGTGAAGAGTAAT